>NC_000015.10:23579904-23882934 GCF_000001405.40 Homo sapiens | reverse complement strand
ATGAATTACCAGTTCTGAAACCAATATCTATCTACAGTATTTAGGGATGGAAGGATTAAATTAATGGAGCCAACTGTCTCACTGTTACAGCGGAGGTTACATGCAAGTAGTGGGAATGGGTAGATTGATTTATGTGGTGCTGGATTAGATCCTGTGGTCCTGGAGACATGAGTAGCAATTCATGTTTAATTTAATATAAATACATATGGACACATGTTGAAATATTTATAGATATGTGTATGAGTATAAATTAGCATATACACATAGATTCTTTGTTCTGTTAGCTAACAAAGCCTTGAATCAACAGGCATTCAAACAGCAATGAGTACGTATGGTATCCGAATCTTAGTTTCTAATACCACTCTCCAGTAAAAGGAACTGAGGCTCCTTGAAGAAACAGCGGCTACTTGTCTTGGACATGAAGTCAACAAAATTAACTGGGTAACTACATATACATATATAACATACAGTACTAGAAAGTAAGAAAATGCTAAACAACAGAGCAACCAAGGGACCAATCAAACAAAATTACACTGAAGTGATCTGGGAATTTCAAAATGGTACAGGAGCCTAATGAAAGACCTTGCAATGGCCTAAGTAGAGTGTAAGATAAATATGCACGATCCCATATTGATCTAAATAAATAAGTGAATAAATATAAAATAAACAAAGGAGAACAGACAAATTGTCCATGGTGAAGAATTCCAAATAATATTTGTATTTTTTCTGCACATAAGAAGGTAGATCACAACTCTCCACTGCTTTTTTATTTTTTATTTTTCAAGAGGGAGTCTCCCTCTGTTGCCCAAGCTGGAGTGCAGTGGCCCAATCGCGACTCACTGCAAGCTCCGCCTCCCGGGTTCACACCATTCTCCTGCCTCAGCCTCCTGAGTAGCTGGGACTACAGGCACCCGCCACCACGCCGGGCTAATTCTATGTAGTTTTAGTAAAGATGGGGTTTCACCATGTTAGCCAGGATGGTCTCAATCTTCTGACCTTGTGATCCGCCCACCTTGGCCTCCCAAAGTGTTGGGATTACAGGCCTTGAGTCACTGCACCCGACCATAACTCTCCACTTCTTAAGCATGTGCTGCATATAGTGCCTTCCATTCAAAAACAGAATGGGAAAAATAATTTTACAGAGGAGAAATTTGATAAAACTACTTCATCCAGCTGATCAAATTAACATGAACAGTGATAAGGCATGTCAATAGTCTAAGCACTCTTGGTATGTTGTAATTGAGAGGTGAAGCCGGCTGGGCTTGAGTCAGGTGGGGACTTGGGGAACTTTTCTGTCTAGCTAAAGGATTGTAAACACACCAATCAGCACTCTCTGTCTAGCTAAAGATTTTTAAACGCACCAATCAGCACACTGTAAAAACAGACCAATCAGCACTCTGTAAAATGGACCAATCAGCAGGGTGTGGGCGGGGCCAAATAAGGGCATAAAAGCTGGCCACCCGAGCCAGAAGCGGCAACTGCTGGAGTCCCTTTCCAGGTGTGAAGCTTTGTTCTTTCGCTCTTGCTGCTGCTCCCTGTTTAAGTCCAGACTACCTTTGTGAGCTTGTAACACAGTGAGGGTCTGTGGCTTTATTCGTGAAGTCAGCTAGACCACGAACCCACCAAGAAACAATTCTGGACGTGCCACCTTTAAGAGCTGTAATACTTGCTGCAAAGGTTTGTGGCTTCACTCTTGAAATCAGCAAGACCACAAACCCACGGAATGGAGAAACTCCAGACACACCATCTTTAAGAGCTGTAACACTCAGGATAAGGGTCAGTGGTTTCATTCTTGAAGTCAGTGAGACCAAGAACCCACTGGAAGGAATAAATTCTGGACCCATGAGGGACGGTCGTTCTCCATGATATTTTTTTTCCTAACTATCCAAATCCAGTGTGGACACTGAGAAAAAGGCTGGGTCCATCCCCAAGGAGGGACAGTAAAATAAGGAATTGTTGCGGAACTGTCACAGGAAAAAATTAAAGGGAGCTTAAGGAGAAATGCTACGTAATTATCAAATGTAATGTAGCTTCTAGCGTGGCATGCTGGGCTCGGTGCTGTGGGGTTAACTACCAGCACTTTGGGAGGCTGCGGCGGGCGGATCATGAGGTGAGGGAATTGAGACCATCCTGGCGAATACCGTGAGACCCCCCTTTCCACTAAAAACACAAAAAATTAGCTGAGTGGTGTTGCAGGCGCTTGCAGTCCCAGGTACTTAGGAAGCTGGGGCAGGAGAATGGCATGAACCCAGGAGGCGGAGCTTGCAGTGAGTTGAGATCGCGCCATTGCACTCCAGCCTGGGTGACACAGGGAGACTCCGTCTCAAAAGAAAAAAAAAAAATGGGATCCTGGAATAAAAAATGGGCATTAAGTGAAAACTAAAAGTATTCAAATAATGTGTGGATGTTAGTGAATATTCTATCGCTTCATTGTGACAAATGTTCCACAGTAATGCAAGAAAATAATAGAAACTGTGGAAAATGTTAGTGCTTTGTACTGTCTTCACAACTGTTCTGAAACTAAAACTCTTCTAAAATAAAAACAAAGTTATGTGTTTTTTAAGTCACTGCTGAGCTTACTGTACAGGACATTATTAATATTCCTGATGCCTGCTGAGTGCATCTCCCCAATTCCAGCCCCTTTCTTACTCACTGCAGGTAATTATTATTTTAAATTCTCTCATGCCCTAATTCTTATTTTTCTAAATTTTTATTTCTAAATTAACTGATTATTGCCTTCAAACTTAAATGTATCTAAATCCGTATTCCTAATTTAATTTTGAGAAACCAAACAAACCCATATTGTAGGATATTTTGCAAAACAAAAACAAGGCTCACGCCTGTAATCCCAGCACTTTGGGAGGCTGAGGCAGGTGGATCACGAGGCCAGGAGATCGAGATCATCTTGGATAGCATGGTGAAACCACGTCTCTACTAAAAAACATACAAAAAATTAGCCGGGTGTGGTGGTGGGCGCCTGTAATCCCAGCTACTCCGGAGGCTGAGGCAGGAGAATGGTGTGAACCTGGGGTGCGGAGGTTGCAGTGAGCCAAGATTGCGCCAATGTACTCCAGCCTGGGCGACAGAGCGAGACTCCATCTCAACAAAACAAAAACAAAAACACCTGACTACTTTACCCTTTTCAAAAGGGTAAAGTGATAAAAATTTAAGTGAAGACTGAGAAACTGTTGCAGACTGGAAAAGACCTGATGTGGCAGATAGAACCTAACATGCTGCCCAATGATGCCCACCTCTTGGTGTACACAACCTTGTATTCTAATCCCCTCCCAGTGCGTGTGGTCAAGAACCGTGACTTATAAACAACAGAATACCAAAAGACTGACGCGATGTGACTTGGGTGATGATCTTACATAAGTCTGTGATTTCTTTCTTCCTGGCAAACTCTTTCTCTTTATGGCTTTGGAGGAGCATTCCGCTATGTGGGATAAACCAACATGAGAAGAACTGAATGCAGCCTTAGGCCAACAGCCAGCAAGGCGCTGAGGCCCTTGGTCTAATAGCCTGCCCCAGAAGTTGCAATATACATTTACAAATAAAACTACATTATTTCACAAGTATTGTGAGTATCTTATAATAAGAGAACAATCCTAAATCCTCTGTCCTGTAGCTTGTATCATTATTCATTCATGTCACCTATATTGGAGCATATATATAAACATACATAAAAAAGTCAATTGTTGCTATTATTGTTTTCAACCAGCTCTTATCTGTTGAATCAATTCACACAAGGAAAAATAAAAGCTTTTATTCTCTAGAGAAATTACTTTAAAAAGTTTATTGCTGATATGCTAATAAAGGATAAGAATGGAATATAAAATATTCAATTGAAATCACACAATGCAGAAAGAGTAGAATACAAAAATATAAACAAAGAACAAGAACAGCAAATATAAAACAGTAAGAAATATGGTTGGTATTAATGCAATTGTATCAACAATCACTATGAACGTCTCTGGTCTAAGTGCACCAATTAAAAGACACAAACGGCAAATTAAAAAACTATGTGTTGTTGTCTACAAGACACCCACTTTTAATTTTAAAAAGATACGTATAAATTAAATTAAAAGATATAAGATATACTTCACATATATTGAAAAAGAAAAAATCTAAAACAATAATCTAAGTTTCCATCTTAGGATCCTAGAAAAGAAGAACAAATTAAATACAAAGTAAGCAGAAGAAAACATATGAGACTGCAAAGATAGTAAAAGCAAAGTAACAGATATGCCAACTGAATTTTTCAAATGAATATTAATTACGTAACACTTTCCAGAACACAGAAGTATCCGAATTTAAGAAGGAAAACACAACCCCAAATAGAATCTTTGCTTAAGGCATGCAGGGGTGATACCCTCGTGAAATAAGTAGACAGTAATCTTCAGAAATGATCAACCAAAGGCTTATTAAAGTAGATAATTTCATTTTTTACTCAGCTGGGAAATACTTTATGAATAACCCACCAGTAAGAAACTTAAGTAAGCAACCATTGCTACATATATAATGAAAACGAGCACAGGTGACAAGACATCAAAATACTTGTTACGCTCTGAGACACAGGAGAAAATCATGAGATTTGTATGAGAATATCAAAGAGCATGTTGGAGGAAACGCAGACACAGGTGAACCTGCGCTAAGAAACGTCCCGTGAAGGTTCGCCCGCCGCCGCATCTGGCGCATCTCCTACACGCCTCTCCTGCGTCCTGGCGCCAGGCGCTTTACTCTGCGCAGCTGGGCACCGGTTTCATCCACAGCTTCCGGTGAGGCTGCGCTCAGCTTCTGATGGATGGACGCTAGGGGGCGGAATGAGACCGCCGCTCTAAAGTTCTGCGGGGATCCTACCTACACCTGCAAAGTGACCAAGGGACGGAGGCCAGTGCTAGACGTGTGGTGCAGGTTCTAAACGATGGAGAAACGGGAACAAGACCATCTAAGCACCCGAGCCTCCCTTTCCGGGAGCCTTGGGTCCTCTCTCTCCACCCTCGTTCCTCTCTAGACCCAACCCCTCCTGATAATGCCCAGGGACCATCTTGACTCATTCTGTCTTCCTCCAAGCAGACCTCGTGCGCTGGGGAACCATTTTAGGAAACCAGAACTAGATATTCAAATCCCTCCCCACAGAATGCAGTCCTCAGGGAGCAGCCCTCCCTTCCCTGCCCAGTCCCTCCTTGGTCAGCGCTTCCTGCTCCTACCTCCTCAGGTATTACTCATCCCAGCGGTCCTTCCAATCCACTGCCCTCTTCTCATGCCCTGGCCTGTGCCATGGACACATTGTTTCCTCGTCTCTTTCCCTCCCCTGCTGGCTGGACTCACTGCTTCTCACTCTCCAGAATCTCCTCCAATGCTCCTCCTCCTGGAGACCTCCCTTGTCCATCCCAGTCCAGGTCTGATGCCTGTCCCCTGAGTTTGCAAGGGCAGTTCTTCCACCTACAGTTTGGTGTCTGTAAGTTTCCTAAATCCTCGCTGGACTTAAACATCAGATAATTTTAAAACTTTTTCTATGCTCCTTCCCTGTAAGCCCCACACATGTAGTGGACAAAGAGCAACACAGAAGATTCTTTATATTTAACTTCACAAATGAACTAATAAATCTCTCCAAATCCTCACCTGTATTCTTGTCTACTTCCCAATAAACTCAAAGGATGTTAATATGAAGAGGGTTTGCACTAGACAATAAGCATGTTTCTGTTTTGTTTTGGTTTTGCTCCCTTCTGTTCTCAGGCCAGGATGGGAGCCCTGACTTCCCCTCAGCCTCTTCTCCAGCCTCTCCATCCTCAATCCACTGCAGGGCCCCTCTCATGGGTTAGGCTGCTTCTACCTCATCTGCTCCTCTTCTGTCCTGCAGGACAATGTTACCCTCTTAGAGCATGTAAAATCATCTTCTCTGGATTCATATCTATTAATATAGGTCCCTTCATAAATATTTCCAAATCTTTATTATTTACCCTATTTCACTAATTTTATTATGCATGTTTTTGAATTTTTACCACATTTGCTTTTTGGCTAGTGTGAGTCAGGACATGGTTTTCATTATCTGCACTTGGATGAAACTTTTCTGGAATTTTCTTCTGTCTCCTTCTGGTAGGGCCACCTGCATCAACACTGGTAGAATGGAGGGAGAGGTGTAAATCACACAAACAATGGTGCAGCCTTCTTTATTAAAAATGATTTCTTTATCCCCACTCTTCATTCCACAAAAGGAGAGATTAAGATATCCATTATTTGTTTATTTTATTTTATTTCAATTCTGGCACTTTTTATTTTCCCATGTTCTGGCTTCTTTTTTATTTTCTTCCAACTTTTATTTTAGATTCACAGTGTCCATGTGCAGATTCGTTATATGAGTAAGCTGTGTGTCACTGGGGCTTGATATACAAAGGATTTTGTCACCCAGTTAGTGCACATAGTACCCAATAGGTAGCATTTTTAGTCCTCACCCTCCACGCTCAAGCAAACCCTAGGGTCTATTGTTCCCCTCTTTGGGTTCATGTGTACTCAGTGTTTATTCCTCACTCTTAAGTTAGAACATGTAGTATTTGGTTTTGTTTTATTGTGTTAACTCACTTAGGATAATGTCCTCCAGGTGCATCCATATTGCTGCAAATGACATGATTTCATTTTTTATGGCTGCATAGTATTCTGTGTATATATGTGGCACATTTTCATTATCTAGTCCACCATTGATGGGAATCTAGGTTAATTCCATGTCTTTGCTATTGCAAAATGTACTGCAGTTATCCATTCTTTAAATCAAATTCTGATTCAAAATCAGAATAGGACTATCAATATACTTTAAAATTCATTGGCAAATGAATTTTCATGTTGTTTTCATTTTTATGTGAATATAATGTATACTCTAATAATTCCACAGGGACTCTTAAATAAGTATAAAATAAAGCTATTTACTGTGTCACATTTTGACTGTCATATTTATCTTTTATTTTAGATGCATGTTAAATCTTTCATTCAGTGGCACACAGTGAATGAACCCATGGAGGCTCCTACAGACATCGTGAGTAGAAAAGTTCTCACTTTCCCTTTCACATTACAAATGCCAGTTCACTTGTCTGTTTTCCCTGTGAATTTGATTCACAGTGTTCCTTCTTCACCTTAATTTTGCCAACTAGGAGCATACAGCCAGTGATACAATAATAATTGAATAATCGCCAGATGAATGAATCACAATGTTGTGGATAAATCATTATGGTTTGAATGTCTTACCACATGTAAACATATAAAAAATGGGTACATATGTAAATCAATGGTTTGCAAGACAGTGTATATCAAATATTGAAGGTCGGTGCAGTGACACGTGAAAGATTTGAAACAATGACCTTTGTCCTAGTAATGCCCCCAGTTTAATGATTCCAAAAATTTTCCAGTGGCAAAGATCTTGGAAAACTTTTTTATTTGAGATGAAGAATCTGAAGTCTGAAAGAACAAGGTGGCTCTATTTTCTAGAACAGGTCTGAAGAAGACAGGTCTAGTCACAGAAAAAACTCTAGAGATTGGCAAAAGTTCCTGCAGCGCATCTGAGTTAAGAAATTAACTGCGGCTGGGCAAAGAATCACCTAATTTGATTAGAGGTGCCTCACACACAAGGTTGGAAACAATTTCTTTTCTTAAACTACATCAGCCAAATTGGTAAACTTCAGGATTCATAGGACATTGGAAAGAAGACACAGATGGGTCTTCTCTCAGAAGTAGAGAATAATTGGTCCTACATTAAATACAGTATCTGGGTCCAAGTAGCAAACATAAGAGGCAAGATTGCAAAGAATGAAACTGTTCCCAAAAAATGTCTCAGAATAGTCAAGCGTATTTATTGAAATACAAAAATTTACAGTACCCAACAAGCTAAAATTCACAATAGCTGGCATCGAATAAATATTGGGCATGCAAAGAAATATAAAAATATCACCCAGAATGCATAGATAATTTAATTATTTGAAACCGGCCCAGAAGTGACACAGCAGTTATATAACATTAAAAGTTAGTGTTTTTCATACATAGTTTTTGTCACTGCACTCTATACGTTGAAAAGTTAATAGAGATGAGGTGAAAATAAAGAAGACCCAGATAAAACTTCTAGGGAGGAAAACTATAATGTCAGTGATGTTTTAAAAGTACAGGGAATGGTATTAACTGCAGATTAGACTTCCAGAAGAAAAGATTAGTAAGCTTGAAGATATGGCAATGGAACCCATCTAAAATAAAAGAGACAAACATAATAAACATGAATGAAAACAGTATCAGTGAGCTGTAGTATAGCTTCCAGCAGCCTCACATATGTGTAACTGGAGTCCAAATTTATACAAAGTAATAAACCCACACATTCAAAAACTCAGTGAGTTCCCAAACACAAAAAACATGAATATATCTATTTAAAAAGCACTTCATGACCAAGTGGCTCCAAAACAATGATAAAGAAAGCACCTAGACAGAAGAAAGGCATGTTGGTAGAAAAGAATAGAAATCAGGCCAGGCGAGCCCGGTGGCTCACGCCTGCAATCCCAGCACTTTGGCAGGCCCAGGCGGGTAAATCACGAGGTCAGGAGATCGAGATCATCCTGGATAATATGGTGAAACCCCATCTCTACTAAAAATACAAAAAATTAACCGGGCCTGTTGGCGGGCGCCTGTAATCCCAGCTACTAGGAAGGCTGAGGCAGGAGAATGGCGGGAACCCGGGAGGCGGAGCTTGCAGTGAGCCGACATCGCGCCACTGCACTCCAGCCTGGGCGACAGAGCTAGACTCCATCTCAAAAAAGGAAAAGAAAAGAATACAAATCAGGATAACATCAGATTTCTCAATGAAAATGTGTCTGGAAGTGGTTCCTTCCGGTAGGTTCTTGGTCTCACTGACTTCAAGAATGAAGCTGCAGACCCTCATGGTGAGTGTTACAGCTCTTAAAAATGGTATGTCCAGAGTTTGTTCCTTCAGATGTTCAGATGTGTCTAGAGTTTATTCCTTACGGTGGGCTCATGATCTCGTTTGACTTCAGGAGTGAAGCCACAGACGTTCGCAGTGAGTGTTACAGCTCTTAAAGGTGGCGCATCCGGAGTTGTTTCTTCCTCCTGGTGGGTTTGTGGTCTTGCTGACTTCAGGAGTGAAGCCACAGACCTTCACAGTCAGTGTTACAGCTGGTAAAGGTAGTGCAGACCCAAACAATGAGCAGCAGCAAGATTTATTGTGAAGAGTGAAAGAACAAAGCTTTCACAACCTGGAAGAGAACTCCAGCAGGTTGCCTCTGCTGCCTCTCCCGGCCAACTCTTATTCCCTTGTTTGTCCCTGCTCACGTCCTGCTGATTGGTCTATTTTACAGAGCGCTGATTGGTCCATTTTACAGAGTGCTGATTGGTCCGTTTTTACAGAGTGCTAATTGGTCTGTTTACAAACCTTTAGCTAGACACAGAGTGCTGATTGGTGTGTTTTAACAGAGTGCTGATTGGTGTGTTTACAAACCTTTAGCTAGACACAGAGCGCTGATTGGTGTGTTTACAATCCTTCAGCTAGACAGAAAAGTCCCCCAAGTCCCCACCGGACCCAGAAGCCCAGCTGATTTCACCTCTCAAAAACAACACAGAAGTGACAGTGTGGTGATACTGTTAAAGCAATGAAAATGCTTTAACATTTTAATTTTAAAATGCTTTTAAAATTAGCATTTTAGCATTTTAATGTTAAAATGCTTTAACATTAAAAATGAGCTGAGATGGCGCCACTGCACTCCAGACTGGGCGACACAGTGAGACTCCGTCTCAAAAAAAAAAAAAAAAAAAAAAAAGTATGGTACCAATGTCAAGTTCTTGGTTTTGATAATTGTACTGTGTTAAATAACATGTTATCACTGGGGGCCAGCTAGGTTTGTCATGGGTAAACATGGCTCACAATTCTATTTTGCTAGCAGTTTACCACCAAGAAGCAACATGTTCTTTGTGTGCTCATTTCCTTAGTACTTTCATTCTCTCAAGTACACAAAACATATACTTTGAACAGGATCCTTTTCTCACTTTAGGATCCCAATCAGCAATGTGGCCTTTGATAGCAAATTTTGCATCTCTGATTTGGCAAAACCAAGACTTCCTATTTTACTCTTGAGAAATTTGCATTGCAGTGAACACAATATTGGGAATTAACTAATTTTGTAGTCTGCCACTCTCCATTCATGACTATTAATGATAGTCCTAGATGAGGACTGTGACCAGGTCCTGAGTTTGAGATCAACGTAATATTTATGCATGGTATCCCACAAATGCATGGTTGCAGGACGGGAGATGATACAATAAGAAGCAAAGAATAGGGAGGCATAGGAAAAAAATGTATGCCAAATGCCTCATAATATCACTGCTGTTTAATGCTTAAAATTGAGTTTGGCTTTATGACATTGTTTCAGTTAATATCATAGTCTTGTCACACACAGTGTGACCTTAAGAAACATATTTTCTCAGTCTTAGAGTATTGTGTTTTTAAACTTCTTTAAGTGCTGTTTTCTATTTTTATCTTTAAGACAAGATGTGTAAATTCATGTGAATAACTATTAAGATAATGGCTAGCAATTATTCAATTCATTTTACGTGTCAAGAATTGTTCCATGTGTTTTCCATGAATCACGTCATGCCATGGCTACTGTTACAGGTCTGACTCAGTGTAAGGTGATTCTCCCTACAAGAAAATGATAAGCCCCTGGAGTAAACCCACAGCTTAACTGGTAGGTGTTTAGTTTGAGCAAGTATACAGTATTTTACAACTGAGCAAGTAATCCACACATGCCATCTGTCAAGAGATGTAATGGTAATCCCCATCACTGACCTCAACTCATCCTCCAATACTGGAGGAATAAGAAGGTCTACATGTTGAGCGTGGTAGAAAAGAAAATCAGGTTGGGACTCAGGACATACCTGAGCTTTCAGAACAGTCCAAGATGGTTACGATGATTTGAATATTTGATGTGATATGAAATAAATCCTCATTGCATCTTAAAGAAATGAGATTAAGATTTTTCTTTTATACCAGAATTCTTAAAACATGGTCTTTAGGCTTGAATTACAAATAGGCAGCACTTACAGCAAACACCCACACCAAAGTTCCCCAGAATGCCTCTCAATGTTTATTTTAAACACGGTCTTTGTCATTTGCTTTCTCTCTGCTCTTTCCTCTGGTTTATTGTCCATCTGTAATGAGTCAACCAATCAGGCCACTCCCAAAAAAACTTACCAAAGGCATGTGAAAGGTTTAGTTAAAAGCAATAAAAAGTATTTAAATAGCTGCTAAATCAAAATGACTGAATTATGTATTCTAATTAGTAAAGGAGAGGAAATGTACTTTTTCAATATGAAAACTGTTTCTCATATTATGTCATATACAACATAACTCTACAAGATGATGTACATTATAGTAAAAAGTAATATAACTTGGGTAGCAATTTGCTACTATATAAGATTTCAGAGATGCACATCCTTTGACCCAGAATTTTAAATTCTATGAATATATTCTACAAAAATAATAGACCTCTAGTACAGACGAATGTACAGGGATGTGGACTCCAATACTGTTTCTTTTGGCAAAATACAAAAAGAAAACAAACTACTGTATATATCCATCAAAGAATAATGGATAATTTTTTAAATATACTATAACACACCCTTTCAACAGATTAACATACAAATATTAGAGATAATCAGTAATTTCTGAATATTTAACACATCCACAGTAAAAGACTATAGAACAGAACAGTGAGATGATTTTTCTTCCTATACAGTGGTGAAGAGGATGGTAGGGTGCAGCGAACCAGAGGGATGGTATTCTGATTTCATCACTTAATGCCTTTGTAACCTTTCAATAGTTACCCTATCACATTTTAGTGTCCTCACTTGTGCAGTGGATGTAAGAAGGCATACTATGTATTTTTTTAGTTATAACGTTCCAACCAATTAAAGGAGCATTGATAACACCGCATGGCAATTCTATGACTTGATATATCTAGTTTAAATTAACACAATTAACCTTGTATAGTCTACTGCACGCAGGAAAACAGAAATATGCATATTTGTGTATATAGGTATTTACAAGCATAGATCTGAAAACGCAGACACCCAGGTATGAATGTTGAAGGTGGTTGCAAATTTCAGGATTCAGAAAGTAGATGACAGTCTATTATTATGTAATTTTTTTCTAGATTTAAATTTTTATCAACAAAATATTTTCTTCCCTCAAAAATTAGAAAGTTAACACAGCAAAATAATTACTCGCATATAGTTCTGAATATTCCTCAAAGAAAATTTCTAAGTCTATAAGAAGACAGCTGAATATCATTCCTAAATGTCATATCAGGAATTTTGTTATTGGGATTTCTTTCCTGCCTCTGCTTCACCCTTAACTTTGTCAATGTCCTTTTATAATACTTTTAGAATACAGAAGAACATGGAGGTAAATTCCACATAATTTACAACACATAGGAAAAAAGGACCTACACTTGCTTATTTTGTGAGAGGTGGCAGTGAAGAGATTTCTGCAACAGATGACTGAGCTAGGAGATGGCACACGAGGTACAAGGGTGGGGGTAAGTTAGAAACAAAATTCTGAAGTCGGAGGAGTTTCATATAGAAGTGGTTCAAAAATGAAGTTCAATAGTTTTCCTATTAATGAATTTAATAAAGTTGTTTAAGTGGAATGAAAATTAAAAGATTGGGGGTAAAAATCACAAACTTTTAAATAAGGTTATATACTGGTAATAGTCACAGGATTTTAAAGATAATGTATAAAACTATGAAGAAATTTTGCTTCTGGAGCTTTTGTGGTAGATGAAAAAGTCCAAAGAACACAAAATAGAGAATCAGTATCCAAATCTAAAATCAAAATTGATGTTGACTTCCCATTAAACAAAAAACTCCACATCAATCTAAACATTCAAAAAAAAAAGTCTTACCAATGTAATTAAAGTAGAAATATAAAGCGCTAATAATACAAAGGAATACAAAAACTTTATTTGTGGATCGTCACATGAATATAAAATCGATAGATATTAACAACACTTTTACGTTTTCCAGAAAAAAAAAAAAGCCACTCCCTTTATATGGTAGGAAACAAACAAACAAGCAAAATCCACGTCTGGGGGCCTAAACCCTAGAAAGAATGAAGTCAGGGGAGTTGAGCGATATTTCCCATCTCAATTTCCCCGCGCAAACCAGAGACGAGAAATTCCTAGCAAGCGCCCTGATCTTAAAGGGACCTGGCCAAGGCCCAAGAGCCTGAGGCCCGCAGGAGCGCAGCCGCTCCTCCTGGCTCCGCCTCACCAGCGCTGAGCGGAAGCTCCTGGCCCGACCCCCGTAGCCGAAGGCCTCCCCGCCCACATGACCTTCCCACAGCACACCGCGAGGTAGCCTCCTGTCTGACCGGCGCTCCTGCGGCAGTGCGCTGTCAGGCGCACCCATGGTTACCATCCTGGGACAAACCGGGAATACCCGGAGACCAGAGGGTTATTGAGTCTTCTCTCTGGGCTGTTAAGAAGTCAAGAATAAACAGTTTCCAAAAGTCTCTGTCACCCCACGATCGATTTCTATATCCTTGCTGCTTTTCAGCATAGCATAAAATAAGTGTAAAATAACTTTTTTTTTTGCCGTTGCTTCCAGAAAAAAGCATTTCAGGTTGCATGGAAAGAAAATCCTGTAGTTTATACGTTCTGTAGCTGCATTCTTACAGGTCAGTCCTGAAAAGCTGAATCTGAAAGGTTAATAGCTTACGAAGTAGCGTGCACCCTAAAATACGTATTTAGACAAATGTACCAGTACCAACAAAATCACAGTAAGAAGAAAATACTCAAAAATGGTTTTAAAAAATAGCACTTGTCATACTATTCAGGGAGACTCTTGTTACAATTTTTCACTGAATATATTTTGTATATAACATAAAACTTAATAAAAATCTACAATCCAGAGTGGATGTATAAAGATTTTAGAATTTCCAGCCATATATTAAAAAGTAACCTTAGATTCTCCACCTTTGACCATATATATAAATTCTAGATGTAATAAAAGACTATGCATCTTAAAAGAAAATTAAACAGCAATAAAATATTTCCTAACTGTCCACGTGAAATCGGAAATATTTACATTTGTCCATAAAATTATTTAATAATGTTTAAGCATACTAGAGAAAGACTACAAATAATAGTTAAATATTTGTAATGTATTTGCAGTGAAGGACCCAATATAATGCTAATAAAATATCATGACCTAAAATTAATAAGTAATAAAAGCAACCTAATTTTAAAAATAATGTATTAAGTGACATGAGCAGGCACTTTTCCAGAAAAACATAAATAACACAATAAACACTATGTATCCTCCAAAATTAAATAAGCTAATTAGAGAAACCACTTTAGCCTGACTGGGGAGAAAATGAATTACTAATATTTAGGCTTGAGAATTGCCTATGTAATTTATTACATACACTTTTTTTTTTTGAGACATTGTCTCACTCTTGGTGCCCAGGCTGGAGTGCAGTGGCGTGATCTCGGCTCACTGCAACCTCCGCCACCGGGGTTCAAGCAATTCTCCTGCCTCAGCCTCCTGAGTAGCAGGATTACAGGTGCCCACCACTATGCCCGGCTATTTTTTGTATCTTTAGTAGAGACGGGGTTTCATCATGTTCAGGCCAGGCTGGTCGGGAACTCCCAACCTCAGGTTATCCACCCACTGCCGCCTCCCAAAGTGCTGGGATTACAGGCGTGAGCCACGATGCCTGGTCTGTTACATACACATTTTAATGTAGGGTATGTATTGCTATATACGTTTTTGACTCACTGATTTTATTATTACTGAAGTGTAAGGTTCATCAGAATGCTTTCTGCAGCATTTTCTGCAAAATTTAAAAATAAAAATACACTAAATTTTTATGAATAGGCCATAGGCAAATTGAAGGGTATATGTATTTTGGAATACAAAGTGCTAACAAAAATACTGCAGTGGATATCTAATGATATGGAAAGAGCACTATGACATACTACAGATAACCAATTTGGAAAATAAAATGTGAATATCACCTATATAGCTATATATACATATATATATAGCTAGATCAATCTATTAAATATATATAGAAACATATACATTAGTAGATATAGATCTGGTTAAATGCCATTGAAAGCATTATGAAAAATCTAATATCTATATTTATAGCTGTATCTACATCTAAATTGCTATCTCTATGTAGGTAGACATATAAGTTCATTTGGATACATTGGTAGACGTACTGGAAAATATGCACACATAAACACAGTTAAAAATGGTATGCAGTCGGCGGGCCCAGTGGCTCACGCCTGTAATCCCAGCACTTTGGGAGGCCAAGGCAGGCAGATCACAAGGTCAGGAGATCGAGAACATCCTGTCTAACACGGTGAAAACCCGTCTCTACTAAAAAACAAAAAATTAGCGGGGCGTGGTGGCGGGCACCTGTAGTCCCAGCTACTCGGGAGGCTGAGGCAGGAGAATGGCGTGAACCCGGGAGGCGGAGCTTGCAGTAAGCCGAGATTGCGCCACTGCACTCCAGCCTGGGCGACAGAGTGAGACTCCGTCTCAAAAAATAATAATAATAATAATGGTATGCAGTTAAATGGAAAAAAGGATATTGTGTATATACATTTTAATGTTTAATTTGTAATCTTCTGTACGTTTGAATATTCACAGTAAATTGTACGAATTGTATAATTTAAAAGACATTATAATTTGCTGTTCATTGAAGTCCATCAACAGTGGTTCCTTGGAATCGTTTCTGTCCAGGACTCTGAACTCTGTCTTCACAATCACCACCACGATCTACAGCAGCTGCTGGGAGCCTGGGTTCTTAGAAATTTGTTTGCTCTCATTCTTCCATTTTTGGATGACAGATGGCGCTACAACATGGGTTTCTGATAGTTGCATAAATTTCTAACACTGACAACTCACATATGAATGAAGTGGATTTTAACGTTAAAAAATGGAGTTGTTCTCAGGGTTCACACATTTTCTTCGAGGAAGAGAAATTAATGTAAATTTTCACAGGAAGAGTTTAAGGGCTTTAGCAACTGGGGAATGCAGGGCACTATCCCTGTGCTAAGAAAAAGCTGCAAAATAAACTCTCTTGACTTCTCACTCAAATGTCTTCTCACTCAAATGACTTCTCACTCAAATGTCTAAGAGCAGTTTCTGTTACAATTCAGTAATTTTTATGGACACAGGATGGCTCCCCAACTCCAAAGTGACAGAAATATTAATATAATAAACAGTGAGCCTGGAGGAAGATTTAATTGCGGTATATCTCAGTTGGAATATGCAGAAAATGGATAGAAGAGGTAGTGGAAGAGGTGCTGGAAAATTGTGGGTTGAGAACAAAAACAGAGGTATACATTTAAACTGAAAGACTTTAATAGAGAAGGCAGTCACTTCCCTCAAATTATTGAAGCACAAGCGAATTTCCCAATATTAGCAATTTTTAAGCTATGAGCAAAATCTTCCATTAGCCACTTTGTTTTAGGGTATTTCTAGGGGCTTATGGGCTTACAGAAGACCCTGCC
Organism: Homo sapiens; assembly: GCF_000001405.40. Taxonomy (NCBI): domain Eukaryota; kingdom Metazoa; phylum Chordata; class Mammalia; order Primates; family Hominidae; genus Homo; species Homo sapiens. Next base: position 23,866,366 of record NC_000015.10, on the reverse strand, counting down.
TCATGATTTAACTAATGCATTCGTCACTTTTGCATGGTCAACAAGTGCTAGTGAAAAAGGGATAATAGAAAAATAGTATAAAGCTGAATGTAGCCCGTGAGTATATAAACTCATATAAATAAGATACTACAAATCAGAAAAGAACTGAATAATTTATTTTTGAAGGAAAACAATATTCCAGTAAGGAAGTGCTGGAAAAAAGCATGGGAACATGTCAAAGTCTACAGAAGCCAGCCTGAAGGAGTCAGAATTCCAAATAATTTATATAGATAATCTCCCCTTGAGGAGGTAGAGCATATCTTATGACTTAAGTGTGGGCTTCTCATAGTGACTTCCTTCTAAGGAGTATAGTATGGAAATGGAGAAAAATAAATACTTTTACAGTGGAGAACCCTGAGAATCATTGTCCAAACCAGGTGTTGAAGGTCAACATCAACAGTGATAATTCATGTTGATAACATATACCATTGATAGGATGTTATAAAACTGGCAGTTTATCTTGATGAACCTTCTCCCTCAAAATCCATAGCACCAGTCTAATAATGAGAAAATCATAAAATAGATCCCAATTGATGGATGTTTTACAAAATATTTGACCAGTAATTCTAAAAAGTGTCAAAGTTATCAAAAACAAGGAAAGTCTAAAAAAGCCATCACAGTCTAGAGGATCCTAAGGAAACATGATGAGTAAATGGGGTTTGGAATTCAGACTGAGATCCTGGAAGAGACAAAGCACACATTAGATGGACACCAGGGAAATTTGAATAAGTGTGCATTTTAGTTAATAATACACCAATATTGGTTCATTCACTGTAATAAATGTACCATACCTATGTAAGATGTCAGTAAGGGCAAAACTGGGTGTCAGATACTCTGGACTATCTTTAGGAGGAACTCTGAGTAGCTACATAGGAAATTTCTTTACTACTTTCCCATCTTTTCTGTAAATTTAGAACTGTGTTACAAGAACTTTAATTTTAAAAAATAGATAAAAGGTAGTAAGGGATTTAACCCAATGATCGAAATGAGAATCATGAGTCCAAACCAATATAAATCAGTGAATGAATGAATGAAGGTGAAAGTAAAACTCTTCCAGACAGTAGGATACCGACTAATAACTAAAGGATAAATGATAAAGGAATTACAAAGTCATGAATTTATGCTAAAATAGTAAGTTAAATTGTGACTATGTATCTTCCCACAAATTACCTTTATTAATTACAAAATGGAAATGTTAATTATGGAGAAATCTATCCTAATCAAGTGATCAAAGTTACTATCACCAATATTGGTAAAAATCAACATCATTTGCCTCATTGAAAAGATGCTCTAAAAAGGACACAGCATCTCTTCAATAACATTCTTGCTAAAAATGCATAACATAAATCTAATCATGGAACAACATTAGACAAACAGAAATTGAGAAATAATTCACAAAATAAGTGACCATAGGCCTCAAAAACCTAAAAGTCATGATTCTCAAATAAATGTTGAAGATTTATTCCAGAGAAAAGGTGCTGAAAGAAAGATAGTTAAATGCAACATATTGTCCTTGATTCTAAACTAATGGCTGTAAAGGACATACTTGTGACAAGTGACAAAACTTGAATATAGATTGTGAATTAGATAATAGCATTTAATCAATCCTAAATTTCCAGAACCATGTTTATGTAAGAGGATGTCAGTGTTACTGGAAATGTACTCCAAAATATTTAGGATTAAAAGAACATTCTTTATCTAATTTATTAACAAATAATTTGTAAAAAGTGTGTGTGGAGGGTAGTGGGTGTGACATGTTTACGCAAACCCATATATCTATCCATGTGTATAGAGAAAGACAATGATAAAAATAATAAATCAAATGAAGCAAAAATGAAGCATTTTAAACAAAATATAAATGATGAATCTGGGTAAAGAAAGTATAGGAGTCCCTTGTCCTATTCTTGCAACTTTTTTTTAAGCTTAAAATCACAGAAACAAAGTTACAATAAATAATTTTGGGAATAATTTACTATTTCATTAATCTAGAAAAAATATGCATCACTATATTCATAAAAGTGAGTTTAACAATACTGTGCATAGTGACTATAACTACTACTGCAATTCTGGAATCAAATAATGAAAGTATACTATCATGTATTGGAAATAAATGAATACTTTAATTTTCCAGCCTTCTATTTATTCTATATACATTTCAATATTCTGCTTTCCAAAAATGTTGGAAATAATGCCAGTGTGAATGATAAAATAAGTTTTGACTGTTATTAACTAGTATGGCTAATTCCAGTTATGCCTGATGAAATATTTGTGAAATGAAAAGACTAATCCAAATAGTTAGAATGTTTTGGAGCGTTCTGAGAACAAGATAAATTCCTGAATTTCAACTGAAAGGAGTAAATGAACAAGTTGTATTGTTATTTATCATTTCCTCTTTGTCTTCAATACCTCAATCATTAACAAAATTGCAAAAAAAAAAAAAGCCTTAAAGTATCATCATGTTCTTCATTTCTTCATGGTTTTCCCACTCTAAACACAGATATCTACCTAAGGTGCTTGATGCTGAGGCTTTCAGCTGGGCCCATCCATCTACCAACTACATCACCAGGATTCTAGCCAGGACAGGAATAGAGCCTGGCATGTCTTTTAAAGCCATAGAAATGTATTGGAGATTATCATGCGCTTTCTGACTGCCATGAATCAAGAATAGATGCTGTGATTATTTTTCATGTGGTTGAAATATTTGTAGTGAATTTGAGTTAGAATTAAAAAAAAATTCTTGTCCCACACAGGAAAGTCTATGCATAATGAACAATAATGGGTTACTCTACAGACACTACCTATTTGCAGCTAAGTATTCATGCCTCTCTGGGTGTGTTTTCCCCTCACTCCATCGAAATAAAACTTTCAAACATCACTGTGAACCTTCTGGTGGACACTTCTCAGTGCTCGTCTTATTTGACCGCTCGTGTGCATCCACGTATTTCTGAGCCTCCCCTTTAAGTAGCCTCCTTTCTGCTTCTGAGCCTCCATTTTCCATGTAATTCACTGAACTCTCTGACTTGTCTAACTCAGTTTTGTTTATTGATTCCTCCTCCTCTGTTCATAAGTCTAAAACGTTGGAATACTCAGTATGGTAATAGCCCCTACACAAATCCATTTCCATGCATGCAAATGTGGCAGCAATAATTCCACTCCCTGTATCCAATCCACTGGGTTGTTCTCTCCCACACTGACTCTGGGTCTGGCCAAGTTCATTGCTTTGGTCAGTTCATTGCTTAGGAACAATAGCAAATGTGACCCATCTATAGATGTAGAAAAAAATGCTTACACGTTTGGGCTTGTCTTCTCCTGCTACTTTTGAACTCTGAGGTTATATGAAGCAGACTGGGCAAGCCTGCTTAAGAATAACAGACATAATGCCAAATCATCCCTAAGCTGCCACCAAGCCAACGTTCACATATATGAGGCCATTCCAGACAATCTAGGGCCAGATGAGATGGCCCAGATCAGAAGAACCACTAAGATGACCCACAGGATCATTAGAAATGTAGCTGTTGTTTTAAACCACTGATTTGGGGAGATAAATTGATATGCACCACACAGCTATGGGACAAATACATAGATACCTAGAAGTGGGGCACCACTGTAAAATATATATTTTTTATATATATATATATAATATATATATATAATATATATATTTTATATATATATATTATATATATATATATATAAAATATATATTTTATATATATATATTATATATATATATATATATATAATATATATATATATATAAAACGCTTGTGGCACTGGCTCTGAGATGCAGCAGCCGGTATAAAGGAAAAGCACAGTGAGGAAATCTGTCAGGAAAAGGTGAGCAAACCTCCTGTGGGCATGGATGGGCTGGAAAATGGAAAATTGGTAAAACTATCACCAGCTGAAGGATCTACCTATGATTCATGGACCTTGGCAAGATTATTTTCAGGTACAATGTTTCAAGCATCAATTGACTTTAGTTAATCATAAGATAAAACAACAACAAAAAATGATGAGCTAAAGAAATAGTTGCTCAGGACATAGGCAAAATTTAGAGGAAACACAGAGGAACCAGAATGTGCTGGGTGGGAAAATAAAACTATTTCTCATGCACAATCTCAAGTAGGCACAGAGAATTTAAATAACAAATTATTAATACTTTAAGCCACTGATTTTGGGGATGGGGAAAACCAACACATACATCATGGCTTTAAATATTCAGGCATGTGACTGACTCCCATGTTTTGTTATCTCTAATACAAACTTCTTCTAAGCTTTGCACATACAAATCTTACAGCTAACTTGAAACCTACTTGAATTTTCAGATTTCTTTCATGCATCAAAAGTCAGAAATGGCACTCTGATTTTTCCTTCTTGAAAGCTACTCCCACTCCACCATTCTACATCTCAATAAATGGCATTGCCTTTAGAATAAGTATCGCAGGTCCAACACCTAGTTTATTCTCCATACTTCTGAATAACCCACTCCCTCCACCTACTCTCCTATTTCAAATTCTATCTACCTTGAAAAGAATAACAAATTTATGTGCTTTTCATCACTAAAGTAATTCAAGCAACTATCATCTCTTGCCTAAGTGACTGCAAAAACCTACCAAATGATGTAGCACGAACATACTTGGGGATATAACTTTATTTTGTTCCACCTCGTATTTTTCTCTTCATTTCCCCCATTCAAGGACACAGTCACATCTCTGCTCATTAAATTACTCGGGACTTCGGTAAGGTTACATCTGTAATGTCCTTGAGTCTTCCCAGTTTCTGTTTTCGAAACCCACATCTTAGATGAGGGAGAAGCCACGATAATAAGGCAAAATGCCACAGTTAGAGCAGGGAGGAAAGAGCAGAACAGAATGAGCAGTTAGTGAGAGGCCTTCAAAAACGCATCGCCTCTTCCTAATCTCCCTCAGAATCCTCACTTTTGATACAGCCATGAGAGGCACAGGAACAGAGATTTCATAATACAGCAATAGCACACAAGCTTCAGACGGGCAGACTGTCCCTCTCCTGCCACTACTCCCTCTCAGAAAGCGCAGGAGTTCAGCCAGGCTGGGAGGGGAGACTCTTCAGAGTGAGATCCTGGAAATGAAAAGTTTCTAGTTTTCTTTGGGCTGCTTCCACCACAAGCTCTCCCACCCCAGTGTGAGCACCCCGCCCCAGTGTCCAGCTCAAGTGCACGCATCAAAATCACTCGCAGGGCTTGTTAGACATCGGCGGGTCCACTCCCAGAATTTCTGACTGACAGGGCATGAGTGGACCAGGCATCTGGTTTCTAACAAGTTCAATCAGCCCTGGCCACTGAGGATGGAGCCCCCAGCGAAGAGAAGGTGGTGGGCGCAGGGCTCAGATGCTGTGGCGAGGCTTCCCTAGGACGGCTCACTTCCGGCCTGTCAATCTACCCACATTGCCTTCATGCAGCTGCTCTCTTTCCAAAATTAGGGTCTGTTATTTGACTCTAATGCTACTTTGGTGACCCGCACAGCGTATTTCCAAGTCCTAACAAACTTCCCAATTAGAAGTTGTCAGAGAACAGAACGGGGCAATGCCTCTGACACTTGCTTGCCGCCTGCCGGCGCAGTAACAAATCAGAAAAGGAACACTTGTGGCTAGAATGACAGGCCAATACCCCCTCCTGATCCCCCCTCCCAGCCCTCGAGCTTTCTGGAAGTTGCCAAACTAGCGCAGCCGCAAAGTGGACTCTGCAATGCTGTAAGAATAGTGCGCAGGCGCCAGGAAGCCCCCTCCTCGAGCAAAGCTAGCCCCTGCAGTGTATAAAGAGTGCGCATGCGCCAAGAAACCCCTTCCCTCCTGAAGCCGACCCCTGCAGTGCGGTGGAGAGACTGCGCATGCGCCAGAAGGCCCCCCTGCCTCTGGGATATTAGTTGATCTCCACCCATTTCCTCCCACCTCTCCTCCCAGGTGATTGACACTAGCTGTGGCCTGGTGGATGAAGGCCTTTCAAAATGGTGGCCCTGTGAGACCCGTTTCCCTACGCAAATGTGGCTTGAACGTTCTGTGTTGCTGCGACATCACCTAAGCACCTGTCCCCATCCCCAGATGGACAGATCTTAGAACAGGAAAGTGTGCTGACAGTAGGTCGAGGTCAGATCGGCTCAGATTTCTTGAAACAGGGCTTTCTTGGGTTGTGATTCTCTTCACTCTGAATTCTTCAAAGCTCCTTAGTCTTCCTCCCTAGAGATGTCATCTTAAGGGCCTGCAACTGGCTTTGCCTTTTCTGCTTCGGGTAACCAGTGTTTCTTTTCTTTTTTTTAACCTTAGAGACAAGGTTGTTCTGTCGCCCAGGCTGGAGTGTGGTAACGGGATCACAGCTCCCTGCAGCCTCAAACTCCCAGATTCAAGCGATCCTCCCACCTCATCCTCCTGAGTAGCTGAGACTACAGGCATCTGAACTGCACTCAACTAGTTCTTTTTATTTGTGTGAAGAAGGGGGCCTCGCTATTTTGCTCAGGCTGGTCTTGAACTCCTGGCCTCAAGCCATCCTTTCACCTCAGCCTCCCAAAAAGCTGGGATTACAGGTGCACCGGGTGACTGTTACCACCAGTTCTTAAAATTTACACATCTACAGCCATGAGACACTGAGCTTATTCTGGATTTTAACATCTCACAGATACAAGAAGTCAGGACAGAAGCACAGGCGGAAGGCCTAGTTACTTTTGAAGGGAGTCTTATTGAAGGGGATGACTCAATTCAAAAGCAGAGTTTTGGAGCAAGAAAAGGAGAGGCAGAAAGCACAAGTGTCCCTGCTCGTCCCCTCCCCGCTTCTGTGTCCTCGCTAAATCCTTACCCTGCTGTTCCCTAACTCTTCTTAGGCTAAGAACCACATTTCCCTAATCAGCTCATGTTTAAACAGTCTGGTTTCAAACTGGCCATGTTATAAACCACACTTTCATCATCCTGTCTCAGAGACCCAGCTAAACAAGACTTCTCTGGGAAGCACAGATCTGGGCTAACACAGCAAAGCTCCTATTTCTCACGTCAGTTCAATACTTCTTAAGGTATAGGGTTTCTCTTACACAGACTGTAGGGAGAGCTTCCCTAGATTGCTTCTTCACACCTCTATCAGGAACGCATAACCACACAGTTTCATCAGACTGAATGGCAGGAAGACGGAATCTGACACAGGTGAAACCTGATCGGAGCCTCATCATCTCTCCCTGGAGCTTCAAAAAATGTCTCCCTGCTTCCACCCCTGCCCCTCCCTCTAGCTATATCATTCATACAGCTGAATGAGAATGAGACCATGCGCAACCTCTCTGTTCAAACCCTGCAATGGCCATGTATTCAGCTCAGAGTGGAAGCCAGATTCCTTGGCATGCCCTTCGCACTAAGAATGACCCTCCGAGGTCAGCTGCACTCCAGCCACGCTGGCCTTGCAGAACCCTTGAAAAATGAGCTCTCTAGTAGGGCTTTTGCCCTCCCTAGGACACACTCCACTCTGCATCTGTTGATTAACTCTTTCATTTCCTTCAAGTTTTTGCTCAAAGCTCAATTCAACTGAATCCTGTCTTGGTCACCCTATTTACTTTTGAAACCTGAGGTATCAAGTACTCTAGTCATCTTACCTTCATGCACTTTGTTCACCGCTCTCATTGACTTCTTACCTACGATATAATTTAATATACATAAAATATAAATGCATAGTAGTATAAATTCTGATTGTAAACTCCATGAGATCAGGTAGCTTTAGTTTGCACACTAATATATTTCAAGCTCCTGGGACAGTGCTTCATATGTAAGGGGTATTTGAGAAATATTTTTAAATAAGTGAATACTTAGGTCTCAAGGTTAAGACACTTAATATGAAATAACAGTTTAGGAAGCGTGAGTTGATTGGGAGAAATAGCAAAAGAAAAAAGTGGCATAGCAAAATTCTTAGGCTCAGAAACAATCTTCCCAAACTCTTTTTTTGTGTGTGTGCACAAAGAGGGTAATGCCGTCACAATGAAGACTTTGTCAAGAATAATTAAGTCTGTACAGGCACCAGAAAGACAACTCCAGAAGAGGGAGGTGCAGGCTTGCTGCCACTCTCCTCTTCCTGCCTCAGGAAGCCATCCTACACGATGTTCACCAACCTTGCTTCCCTGGAACCAAATGTGCACACATTAGGGCATGAACTTGTTTTCCCTAGAAGGCCTCAATTTCACAATTGGTGGCCTCAGTTTTAATATTTTGGTCTCTACATGTCTGAATCACAGAGCCTGTCCTCAGAAGTCCACTTCTGTCCCACAGCCAGGGAGGCCTTCAAGGGATCAGCTGCCTAGAATGAGCAATGGAGACTGGCAGGAGTTGTAGTTCCCTTTTTGAGATCAGGGCAAGGCTACCTGGGACCCTTGGTTCTGTTCATGTGACCTGAGAGAAGCCTCTTCTGGGAGAGATATTTTTTTAACAGCTTGCAATATGTAAAATACGCCTACACTTAGACTTAACCATTTTATTTTTCCATAAATAATATTTTAAAGAGGAGAGAATAAGAATGTCCCAATGCAACATTGTTTGTGATAGTGGAAAAATTAGCAATGATCTAATTATAAATAGATGGCTGACAACAAAATACAGTGTATGTGATACTGCATATCATAGAGGTGAAAAAAGAATGCAGGATCTATAAGCTGATATTTTACAAAGTAGAACAATTTTAAATTTCACTGATAATTTAAAAATAACCTGTTCTATAGTCACTTTTGATTACATTTGTAGAGGCATCAAACCCTTTGTGGATGCTGATCAATTTGTAAAAAGGATCACAAATTTTAAGTTAAATGAAGAAGGGGAATTGACCATAGGACACTCATTAATAACTTTAAGCAACGCTGGATTATTTGACCATTTGCCTTAACTATGAGAATCACAGGTCAGTTTTAGATTCCTGTTCCACTGATGTCCATCATCACCCTGCCTTCAGACCCTCGGCTTCAGCCCCACTGCATCTATGCTGAGTCCGGTCGGCCTGACCTCTCTACCCAGCTGCTCCAATTCAGCACCTCTTTCCCCAGCGGCTCCCAGGGCATTTCTGAAGCAGTTCACTTCTCGCCCAGGACTCCCAGTTTTGAATGCTAGATGGCGCTGTAACCTGATTGAAAGAAGACTGTCCCAACAAAGATAACTCAAATGGAAATGAAAATCATTTTAAAGCGGTCCATTCGGATGTGTTTGGGATTTACTCCTCTCCTTCAAGGAGGAGGTGTTAGTGCTCTCGTTAGATGTTTCTGTTGATGTTAGATGTCAGATGATTCCGTTGACGAGAAGGGCTGACCACAGCAAAGAACTCGGACGCTGAGGTGCTCCCCCTTAACTCACCATTTCCCCAGACCCATTATCCCAACCAGTAATCACAGTCTTGGGGAAATAAAACTTTTCTTGGGGACCTGCCATGTTGGAATCTCCATAAATAAGTCAGATAGGGCAGCCTAAGAAAGGTTTACTTAAATGAATGATATAAAATGGCTAAAATTTTGCATCAGAAAAAAAGACTTTAAATGACAAGAATGGTCAATTAGAAAAATATTCCCTCAAAATTTATCCTGAATTTAGCTGTTATTACATTATGAGAAAAAATCTGCCAAAAGTGGTTTCATTGGAAGAACTTTTGACTGCTGGTACCTACAAAGATTCTGATTTACAGATTTTCTAGTTGATTACTTCTGAAGATTCTATAAATATGAATAATAAGATAAAAAATTAGATTTGTGTTTCATCCAAGTGTACATCAAAAGTTATTCAAGCAATTTGGAATCTTCTAAATAGGATAAAGTTGAAACATTGAAAATATTGTGTTGCAATATTTGGCTAACATTTGAAAAAATGACAGCTAAATCTCTATTTTAAATCCTTTCTAAAGTAAATCCCAGTGGTATAAAATCAGCAAAAGGTAGCGTAAAAAAATAGTGAAAAGGAAAGGAAAGCCATCTTGGTGGAGATATCAGCAACTTTTATAACTAGATTACATAAGAGACCTCTATGCATCAGTAAGAGAAAAAGTCATAAGCCAGGGGAGATGGACAAATTATTTGAAAAACTACCACAACATAGGAGAGGATTAAACATGTTCACTGGCAAGTTGTATTTCCATGTTGTCCTTCTACAACAATGTACCCAAGCACACATTGCTGCCCTGTGAACACCAAGGACATCCGCCAGAGGTCGGGGTCACCAGGACGCTGACATTCTGGAAGTAAACAACGTTAATGGACAGTAAGTAAATCATTTTATTTTCCAAACCTTTAATTGTTTTTTATGATTGTGAATGTATTTTTATGCTTTAAGACTTCCTTATATAAAGCACTGTAGGAAAATTTTAAATGACAGATAAATGAAAAAAGTTTTGTTACCTTTATCTGCAGGGAGTTGGAGGTGTCACAAGTTATAAACATTGGAACATTTGTGAAATAAATATTTTGAAACAATTAAAATGTTACAGACTTTTCAGATCATATATCAGGAGTATATGCAGAAAAACATGAGAAGTACATTCCCCATATTTCACAGTAAAAATGGAGATGCATATATTTTTCCAATACAGAATAGTTTTATGTTCACCCTCACCAAACAACTCTTGACCAAATATTTAATGAATATGAGTTTTAGGGTCACATTATCATTAGTTCTCTTATGTCTCTGTCCTACCCAAACATAGAAATGTCCACCCTAGGGTCTCACTCCTATTCAGGCATCCAGCTGGACCTATCCATCCACAAAGCCTTCTCTGGGCTCCTGGCCAGGGCAGGAATAGAGCCTGGGATGGTATGTCTTTCAGAGTCACTGAAATATGTCAGAGGTTACCACGTGCTCCCTCAGGATTTCTGGGGGTTAGGAATAGAGCACGAGAATGTTTATTTGTGGTTTGTTAAGTTTCTTACAGAAGTCTGAATTGGAAACAGTGTCCTCTGACCCTCCTCAGGAGAGAGCGTGGTGTAAAGGGAGATAAAGTGTCTCTTCCTGTGGTCACAGAGCCTTCACTTTCGAGCCTGCTTTTAAGGGGTTTCCGTTCCTATCCCTCCAACCAAAGACTCTTGCCTAGTCCTCTGCTTTCCTTCATGTTGTGGAATCTAAGGGACACGTGTCACTGCTCATCTGAGTTGACCATACAGCAACCCTTGACTGCCAGCAGACCCTCTCCTGCCCACATCTCTGCATGCTCCTGGGCTTCAAGAAAACACTAGCCAGGACTTTTCTGCCTCTTTTTCCTGCACTCTCAAGGCTCTGCTGTCCTTGAATGAAGTCATACTCCCGCTTTTGAGCTCATCATTCACTTCTTGTGAAATCCCAGCTTCATGTTTGTTCCTGACTGCAAACCTTCACCTATTTGAGTCCTCCCTGCACCAAGGGCAGGGGCCCAGCAAGATTTGAAGGGGTGGGAGTGGTGGAGGGAGAGAGTACTCTCCTTCTCTGATCCCCTTGGCAACTCTTTTCTGGATGCCTGGTGTGAGCTTTGCTGAAGGGGCAGGGAGTCTGCAGGAAAGCGGCTCTGAAAGCCACAGACTTCCTCAACAGATGCAATTAGCACGTCCTGGATTATACTAGACTAGACTAGAGTGTGATGCCCCCAGCACAGGCCCTCCCTCCTCCCCTCACCCCAGGTCCATGTCCCAGCCAATGGGGGCCTCTGGTGGTCACAGAGGAATGGAGATGACCAGGTGCACATACCGATTTTTTTTTTCTGCTGAGCTGTTTATTCAGCCTTTCAGAATCTTCTTGTCACCCACCTTTAAATAACTCCCTTATGAAAAGCAGCTGCCCTTCCTTTCCATGGTTATCTGGGTGCATTTTTTACCCTCTGTGAATCCCATATCTCTTCCAGGTTTGCTTGATTGGGGTATTCACTTAATAGCTAGCGACTGACTCCTCTTTGTCTTTGGCTACTACAGTCTGTCTCTCCTAGTGGCACACATCCATATACTTTATGGCAGGACAGGGCATGATCTGGGGAGGGACTTCAAGGAGAGAACACAAGGGGCCTCTGGGCTGCTGGGGATGCTGTTTTTCTGGATCTGGGTGTTGGATACACAAGCGTGTTCACCTTGTGAAAATTCACTGTGTTTACCCTTAGAGTATTCAATTTTATGTAGTTTTCTTAAAAGAAAGCCAACAAGCAAATGAATTAGCAAAAAATAATAAACCAAAATATGAAACAGAAACAAAAAATTACTTAGGGGCTTAAGCAGAGAAACAATCCAGCAAAAACACACACACACACAGAGACACACACACACCACCCCCCACACATACACACAGATACCCTGACCCCCAACACACACACACTGATAACAACTAGTGCCCCAGCTCCACATATAAGGAGGCAGCCCAGGAAAGGGTGCAAGTAAGAACCTCAGAGTTCCATCAAGAAATACATGCCTGCCTGCCCACGATCCCTCCGAGCCCAGAAAGCTTGCTTTGTACCCCCTGCTGACCATGTGCCCTTCCTTCTCCTTATCACCAGGTACAGGCATGGATGTTATTTATTTATTTATTTTTTTGACAGGCTCAATTTAAAACATTCTCGTTTCTACCTGGTCACTTTATGCAGTACTATGTTTTAAGCATCTCATCAGAGACACCAGCTGGGTAAGGCTTTTAGAAATTGAAAGCCTTGTATGAAAATTGAGGCTAATGGCAGCAAAACTCACACTTCTGCACTCCAAACCTTCATACCTGAGGTCACGCTTTGTCTTTCAGGTGGCCTGAAGCCAGTCTTTAAGCCTTTTGGTTACTACTTTTGAAATCAGCCTCCTAGTCATTCTAAAGGTCATATCCTCAGTCAAGGTTTGCTGTGTCTCTGTTTATTGTCTTTGCTTTTGAGTGTGCATCACATTTTCCTGTTTCTTCATATGTTGCATCATTTTGGATGACTTCCTAGACAGTGTGAATGAAATTTTATAAACAATCTTGATTATGACATGTTCTTCTAACTGTGATATGTTCTTATGTATGTATGCATGCATATATTATATATATAAACAGTCAGCTAGCCTGGCTGAACAAAAACTGCAAACTTGGTCTCCCCTGCACTGGTGGAAACTGAAGTCTCTGTTCAATCTCAGGTGAATTGCTTACAGTCTTCCCTGTGTGCATATTTCAGGGACAGTCAGAGTTGGGCAGCGTATATAGACAGGATTTAGGGCGCCCCCAACCATGACGCTCTTCTTTCTGAGACTGCACTCTCCCCTCATTTTCTAACTCATGTGACTGCCCCAAACTCCATCCTCTGGTTTTTCATGCCAGTGAAGCTGCAGGTTTTTCCATTGGAATTTAAGCTGTCCTTCATGGCAGGGACTTGGAACTTCCCCCAGGCTGAAAACCATAAAACAATGAGAAACTCACCCAGTCCCATTCCCCTATAACCAAGTGTCTGCCTGTTTCTGACTGCCCCCTAATGTCTTCAGAGAGTTGCTGTTATAGTTTATCTTATATTTCTATTTAAAATTATGCATATTATTACCATTAAATAATATATTTAAAACATTTCAAATATTTGCATTGCTATATCAATTATATGGATATTAATATGAAATAATACATCAATATGCTATTAATGTAAAATAGTTACAACATTCATATTTAAGCATTTACATATATAAAACTCAACCTGTATTTAGTGGGTGTTACCTGCAGGAGGATTGCTCCAACAGGATATACTTGGCCTGAAGCAGATCCCCAAGTTGGTTGACTTGAAGCACACATGGAGAAGCCCATGAACGGCTCCAAAGCTCCAAGCATAATTAATTGTGAAGAGACAGTAGAGGAACATTTCTATAAATGCATGTCAGAGCATCCCTCTACATAGAAATGGCAGAAAATTGTGTTTTCACATCCACAAGCATTGATGTGGGGTATAGGGAGATGGGTTGGTGGGGAAGTGCAAAGGCTGATACAATGTAAATAGTCCCTTTCCATGCAGCCACCCAAAAGAAGGACATAGGAGAAAGGAATACCCTGGAGAGGTCCATGAAGCAGGTGTGGGCCTAGGATAGAGTGCCCCACGGAGGCCTGCCTGCTCACCCCACCCCATCACACCTCCTCGGTCATCCCTAGTGCTGAGGAATGAAACCTCAGAGTCATATGACTGTTCACCCTTGTCAAGAGCATGAAATACTGTTCTTTGTTTTAATAAAACAGAACAAAACAAAACAGCTCATCCTCCAAATTCTATCCTAGGCTTTAGTCCCCTTCAGGGAGTTGGGGACCTGGATGAAGGAGAGCAGCACACAGGAAACACAGCTCTGTTTTTCTTTTTCTTTCTTTCTTTTTCTTTCTTTCTTCTTTCTTTCTTTCCTTCCTTCCTTCTTTCATCTTTCTTTCTTTCATTTTATTTTCCTTCCTTCCTTCTTTCCTTCCCTCCTTCTTTTTCTTTCTTTCCTTTCTTTCTCTCTCTCTCTTTCTTTCTTTTCCCCCCTTTAGAGATTGCTGTTCTTTCCATTTAGCCTTCCTAAAGCATCTGGGCTCTCCAAATGCTGACCTCACCCCTCAGGAAAATTTAATATCAATTCTCGAGGCTTAAATTGTGGAAAACTTTTTTTTGTTTGTTTCATTTAGTATAGATTTTCTTTCCACAATACCGTATGGGCTTGTTTCATCCCCCCTTTCATTAACCACCCTTCATCACAATGCACAATGTGTTTTGCATTCCACTGGCACCTACCCTAAGGACGCCATCGGTCACTGGGGCTCTCAGTAGCCAATTGGCACCAAAGGACTGTCAAGAGAGTGGAAAGAATATGGCAGCTTGACATGAAGCCATGCTCATTTTTTTATCAAAGAGTGATTAGACAGATGGAGGCTCAAGATCAGTGAATGGGGAGGGTTCTATGTCATGAGGGGCAAGGAGGTGGTCTCACAAAGGTCGCCAGGAGAGCACTGGAACAGCAGAAGACCCCTTGGTGCACAAGCCTATGTGCAGACTCTAGAGGCATCCTGGGAACATACCAGACCCCCTCACGCCCTACATCACATAAAGCCACAATGTAATGATTTCCCCAAAATGGCAACTTCAAATCTACTCTCATTGCTCACCTCAAATCCTGAATTAATATTTGAGGATCTGGAGCACACTCTCTAGTTAGTAATAATATCTGGGTTTAGAAGCCTGAAAAGAGGAATGTAGCCAGCAAGGTACACAGCTCATAGCAGTATAATTCTACTTCCCTGCCTCCAAAGTCATCCTAAAAAGCCTGAGAAACTTCAAGTGTCATCTCAATCAACACCTTATAGCATGAGTTGTTGATCACTCAATATCTGCTTCAGGATCCCCCAAAGCCCATGTCCAACCCTAAGGTCCCAGAGGTTCATGTGGCCAGAGGTGCTGACGGTTGAGCAGGATGGTTTCTGCAGAGTCCTGTTAATTCCTACAGCGACAGACCGTAACCCAGCAGAAAAGCAGTCGAGAGGGAGCACTGCTCATATTTCTCAGATCTGGGCAAAGCTTCCTAGGATACATCTGTTTTCTTAATTCAGTCTTTATGAAGCCATTACTCACCTCCGAGATCTTAACTCTTTGCCAAATTCCAGACTCCTTTTCTTCCACTTCTCAAGCCGTAAAATACTGGGGTTAACTTCAGACCCAAATCAAGGAAATCTTCTCCCCAATAAAATAATAGTACCACATAATTAAATGTGTGAAAAGTAAAATAATTTTTGTGTAAAATGGGCCACATATATGAAACTATGCTAACTCTCATCTTGTACTTTTATATGGGAAATATGGTGAATTAGAAACGATCAATTTGTATGGAGGAATAAGCTGGGAGGAAGGGAATGGTAGTGGAACTCCTCCACACTTCTCAGTTCGTCTCTCTCTCCAACTGCCTGATGCAGCTTCCATCAACAGAGAAGTGCTGGCACTGAGAAGGTGCCCCTCCTGCTCCATGAAGATGCACTTGATCCAGAAAGATCCATCCCAACTTATCTACCACCTTTGTACTTGCTCCCCTTCCCAAATGCCTGACAACAGCTTTGGCCTCAGGAACTCAAAGCTGCAGGCTTGAGTTGCACATTTCTGCTGAAAGTCCCCAAACCAAAAATTCTATGCATCCTACGGTCAATCATACTCTTATACTCAGCACAAGAAACCACCCCTGGATCTGAACTGACAAGGCTTGTGGGGATCAGAGACTTACATCTAGAAATGCAATTAGAAGGGAACACAAAATATGCATCCCATGCCTGAACGGTGCCAGGAAATCCAGGCACTGTCTTTTCCTTCATGCATTCCTGGTGAATCCAATTTGTTTCACCCATCTTGGTCTGAGCTCAAATTCAACCTTGCACTTTTAGTTTTATAGCATGGAATATCAATTAAATCTGAGATTACCATATTCCATTCTGGCACATAATACTTTTATATAGACATGGTGGCAGATAGGCAGAGCAAGGAAGTTTACTCTTTGTGGAGATATTTCTAAGCTAGCAAGTGTTTTTTTTCTAATTTCTGGTTAAGAAACCTAGGTATTTGTATGTGTTTAGTTTCCACGTATATGCCATTAGCAAACCGTCTGGAAAAGAACTGAAGCAAGCAATACTATTTACAATACCTACCAAAAAATTAAAATACCTAGAAATATATTGAATGAAGGAGGTGAAAGATCTTTACAATGAAAATTATAAAACATTTATAAAAGAAGATGAAGAGGACACAAATAAATGAAAATATATTAAACTTTCTTGGAACCACAAAAGACTCTGGATAGCCAAAGCAATCTTGAGAAAAAAACAAACAAACAAAAAACAAACAAAACAAAAACAAACAGAGCTGGAGGCACCATACTACCTGATTTCAAAATGTACTACAAAGCTACAATAGCCAAAACAGCACAGTACTGGCATAAAAACACATACACCAGTGGAACAATACAGAAAGCCCAGAAACAAACCCACATATTATAGCCAACTGTTTTTGACAAGGTGCCAAGAAGACAATGGAGAAAAAAACTGTCTCTTCAACAAACAGTGTTAGGGAAAACTGGATATCCACATGCGAAATAACGAAATTTGATACCTATCTCTCACCGTATGCAAAATTCACCTCAAAACAGAGTAAAGTCTTCATGCAATACCTGAAACTATGAAACTACAGAAGAAAGCATGGAGGAAACACTCATAGAGGAAATCAAACATAGAGGAAAGACCTCAAGAGCATGAACAAAACCAAAAATAAACAAACTGACTATATCAAACCAAAAAAGCTTCTGCACAGCAATGGGAACAATAAACAGAGTGAAGACACAAGTTATGTAATGGGATAAAATATTTGCAAACTGTACATCTGACAAGGGATTATCTAAAACGTGTAAGGAACTCAAATAATTCAAAAGCAAAAATCAAAATATTTAGGTAAAAAATGGGCAAGTGACTTAGATAGACAAGACATACAAATAACCAACAGGTATATGAAAAAATGTTCACGATCACTAATCATCAGGGAAATGCAAATAAAAATCACAATGAGATATCACCTCACCCAAGTTAGGATGGCTATTATCAAAATGACAAAAAAATAAACAAATGCTGGCAAGGATGTGTAGAAAAAGGAAATTTTACACACTGTTGGTGGTAGTGTAAATTTGTATAGCCATTACAGAAAACACTACGGAGGCCGCTCCAAAAAAATTAAAAATAAATCTAACCAGATGATCCCATTACTGGGTATATACCCATGAAAACATGTCAAAGAGACATCTGCATTCTCATGTTTATTGCAGCATGATTCACAATAGCCAGGATATGGAATCAACCTAAGTGTCCATAAAGAGATGAACAGACAAATAAAATATGGTATGTATACACAATGGAATACTATTCAGCCATAAAAAATCCTGCCATTTGAGACAAGAATGAACCTGGAGGACATTATACTAAGTGAAATAAGCCAGACACAGAATGACAAATATTGCATGATCTTATTTCTATGTCAAATTTAAAAAATAATCTTATAAAAGTTGAGAATATAATAGTGATTATCAGAGACTGGGGAGAATAGGAGGGAGAAAGAAATGAGACAAGGTTGGTCAATGAGAAAATTGTTACAGTTCAATAGGAGGACTAAGTTCTGGTACTATATTTGATGGTAGGGTGACGACAGCCAACAATAATGCATTTTATATTTCAAATAGCTGGAAGAGAGGATTTTTAATGTTCTCACAATACAGAAGTGATCAATGTTAAGGTGATGCATATACTAATTACCATTGATAATTACACAATGTACACATATATCTAAACATAACATTGTACCTCATAAATGTACAATTACTAAATGTCAATAAAAATCTAATTTAATTTAATTTAAAAAGAAACCTAGGTACATAGGGTGGGCATATTCATCAACTTTTTAAAAAATCATTAACCTTATTATTATAACTTACATACAACAAAGGTCACCCATTTTAAGTGTACAGTTCAATGAATCTTAAAAATTGATTTCATCTGTGTGACCACAATAACAATCAAGATATAGAAATTCTGATCATCCCCCCAAAATTTCATCCTCCCCTTTGCATTCAATTTCCAAGTTCCAGCCCTACGCAAGCAAATGATAGGATTTTTGTTACAAAAGATCAGTTTTAGAAATTCATGTAAACTGATACTACAGTATGCAGTCTCACTTCTTTTACTTAGCAAATATTTTTGAGGTTCATTCATGTTGTGTGTTTTGGTAGTTTGTTCCTTTT
Organism: Homo sapiens; assembly: GCF_000001405.40. NCBI lineage: Eukaryota > Metazoa > Chordata > Mammalia > Primates > Hominidae > Homo > Homo sapiens. The sequence continues at coordinate 23,847,629 of NC_000015.10, read as the reverse complement.
CATAACTTAGAAGTGTTCCATTTTATGGATATAACATGATTATTTGCCCACTCAATTGTTGCTAGAAATTTTGGTTGTTCTCTGTTTGGGGCTATAACTTATTCATATGGTAACTCTATGTTTACCTCTATAATAAATTCCCAAACTGTGTGCTAAAAAAAGTTGTATAATTTTATGATCTCAACAGCAGTATATAATAATTCCATTTGTTTCACATTAGTGCCAACAATCAGTATTGCCAACCTCTTAAATTTTAGCCATTCTACTGGTTGTGTAATACCATTTCACTGTGGTTTTTAAAAATTTGCATTTCTCTCATGACTACTTATGTTGTGAATCTTTGTAGAGTGTATTGGCCATTCACTTATCTTCTAGGGTCTGGTTAGGTATTTTTTTCATGTTTCATTGAATTGCTTGCCTTATAACTTAATTTTAAGATTTGTTTCCATATTGTAGATACAATTCCCTTGCCAGATATATGTATTATAAATACTTTCTCACAGTTTGTGTCTTGTCATTTTATTTCCTTAAAAACATCTTTCAAGGAACACAATTTTTGGATCAAGTTCAGACTATTAAGTTTTCATTTATGGTTCAAAGTATCTCTCACTTAAAATCATGAATATTTTTAATGACTGGGTTTTGAAATAATCTGTACAACAAACCCTCATGACACAAGTTTACCTGTGTAACAAACCTGTACTTGTACTGCTGAACATAAAAGTTAAAAATAAATAAAAAAAATGTAGAAAATGAAACAATGTATTTTGTTGTTATTTTCTCCTAGATGGTTTATAACTTTCGCTTTTATGTTTAGTCCTATGGTCTACATCAAGTTAATTTTGTGTTTGATGTGAGATAAAGATCGAGGTTAGTTTTTCACCAAATGGATAATCAATTGTTCTAATACTTGTTAAAAAGACTATCTGTTCTTGATTGAACTACCTTGGAAATGTCAGAAAACAATTGACCCATATACGTATAAGTCTATTTCTGCACTCTCCATACTGTTCCATGAAGCTGCATGTTTAGACCAATAATGCACTGTCATGATCAATGTAGCATTATAGTAACTTAAAATCAGACATTGTGAATACTCCAATTTTGACCCTCTTTTTCAAAATTGTTTTGGTCATTCGAGGTCTTTTGCATTTCCAAATTAATTTTTGAATTAGAACATCATTTTATTTAAAAATCATGCTGTTATTTTGATGAGTTTGCACATTATACATCTACTTGATATCTTAACAATATTGAGCCCGTATGGCCATGACCATGCTATATATTTCCATTTATTTAGATCTTTAAATTCTCCTGGTGACTGTTGTAGTTTTCAGTGCAGAGGTCTTGAAAATATTTTGTTAAATATATCCTGATTTTGTGTTTGTTGGTCGCTATAAGTGGTAATGTTTTATTTATCATTTTCAAATTGTTTGCTAGTGGTAAACAGAGATACAATGAATTTTTGTGTTTTGACTCTGTGCCCTACAATCTTGTCAAATCCACTGCTCACTTTTACTGTATGTTTTGTAGACTCCTTAGAATTTTAAAATATATATTAACATGCCATTTATAAATAAAGAGTTATTTAAAGTAAAGTATATACACTATACATTCTAAATTCTGTCCGCTAATCCCACCACATCTGAGTCTATTTCAATTGACAGATTTTTCTCCTAGTTATGGGTCATATTTTCCTGCTTTTCACATGTTTAGTGATTTTTGAGTGAATGCTGAATATTGTGAATGTTTCAGTGTTGATTATCTGGATTCTGTTGGGCTTTGTTCACACAGAGAATTAAGAAACTTGCAAATCAGCTCAATCATTTTGAGGCTTGTTTTGAGGCATTATTAAGGCAGGCCTGGTGTTACTTTACTGAAAGTTTGGCTCCGTTACTAATGAGTCATTTTTTCTGGATTTCCCCTGAATGTCTTGGTTGTTCTTTTTTTTTTTTTTTTTTTTTCTTTAGACGGAGTTTCGCTCTTGTTGCCCAAACTGGAGTGCAATGGTGCGATCCCGGCTCACTGCCACCTCTGCCTCCCGGATTCAAGTGATTCTCCTGCCTCAGCCTCCTGAGTAGCTGGGATTACAGGCATGCACCACCACACCTGGCTAATTTTTTTGTATTTTTAGTAGAGACGGGGTTTCTCTATCTTGGTCAGGCTGGTCTTGAACTCCCAACCTCAGGTGATCTGCCTGCCTCGGCATCCCAGAGTGCTGGGATTACAGGCGTGAGCCACCACGCCCAGCCGTTTTGCCTGATCTGTAATGGGATGTTCTTCGGATCTGCATAATGTTTAGAACACGCTCAGCTCACAGCTCTGTGGTTGCTTTTGCCCAGCCTCCTGGTGTGTTCTCCCGCATATGCATGGCTTGATAGCAGACTCAATGGGAATCTAGGCAGATTGTTGGAACTTTTTATTTCTGCGTATTTTTCTTTCCTTTGTAACTATGTCCCATAAATCCCAGCCATCTCAACCTCCCTGAGCCCTGGCCTTTGTTTCCTCATATCAGAACAGTTACTACTGTTTCTTAGTATCCCGCTTCCTCCATTAGAAGTTGAAAGGGGCTTCAGGGACAAGAGTGGAGCAATTGTCTGTTTCTTTTCTCTCAAAGATGTAGTTCTATGCTGCCTCCTGTTAATGTTTAAAAGCAATTGTTTCACATATTTCTCCCAGTTTTCTAGTTGTTTATGGCAGGAGGAAAAGTCCAGTCTAAGCTCTTCTTAATGGTAAGAAACAGAAGTTCTACCACCCTTTTAATTCACCTCTTCAATATACCTGAGCTAAAATTAACAGCACCTGATGTTTGCTATAAACATGGCACAGAATCTGAGAAGACCCCTCAAAGCTCAGAGGGTGACAAAATTTCTTGCTATTCCACTATACACACCATACCATGGCTTTTACCAATTCAAGAACAAATCTCCAATTCAGCCTTAATTTTAATATTCTGTATTCTCTTGTTGTATCATCTAGCATGTTCCAAGCAGTCTGCTTTGAATTTAGCAGACTATTAGAGTTCTAGAATAAATAACAGGAGTAGCAGAGAGAAAAAATTCGTATTTTTTCTGCTCTGGGTAGTGATAAACTTAGATACTGTTTCCCTTAGTATTTCCAAATTATGTTCACTCTTCAAAGTGCTCAATAAGCGCAAGTAGATCTGCAGTCCTCTGTCTATTTAAAGATAACATAATGGATCAACACAATGTGGCATGTTTATATAATGGAATATTATTTGGCCATACAAAGGAATGAAGCACTGACATAGGGTGCAACACTGATGAGCCTTGGAAACATCACACTAAGTGAAAGAAGCCCATCACAAAAGACCACATATTAGATTATTCCATTCATACGGACTGTCCAAAATAAGCAGACTATAGGCCTATAAAGTATATTGGTAGTTGCTGGCCGGGCACGGTGGCTCACACCTGTAATCCCAGCACTCTGGGAGGCCGAGGTGGGTGGAAAACCTGATCTCAAGGGTTCGAGACCAGCCTGGGCAACATGGTAAAACCCCTGTCTCTACCAAAAATACACACACAGAGACAAACACACACACACACACACACACACACACACACACACAAATTAGCCAGGCGTGGTGGTGGGCATCTGTGGTTGCAGCTACTCAGGATGCTGAGGTGAGAGGATTGCTAGAGCCTTGGAGGCAGAGGTTGCAGTGATCTGAGATGATGCCACCGCATTCCAACCTGGGTGACAGAGTGAGACCGCGTCTCAAACAAAAAAAGTATATTAGACGTTAGTTAGTGTTGGTGGTGATAGCTAAAGCAAATGATAATTTGTGTAATTAAAATGTTCTGTAATTACCTGTGATGATGTTTGCACATATCTGCAGCTATTATAAAACCAATAGAATCGTACACTTAATTTTTTATGTGCATAAATTTAAGGAGTGCAACCGAATTTTGTTACATGGATATGTTGCACAGTGCCGAAGTCTGGGATTTTAGTGTAATCATCACCTGAATAATGTGCACTATGTCCATTAAGAAATTTTTCATTCCTGACATCCGTACACCCTCCCATACATTTGAGTGTCCAGTGTCTCTTATTCCACAACCTATGGCCATGTGTGCACATTATTTAGCTCCCGCTTACAAACTGCAATTACAACATGTTGCATTTGACTTTCTGTTTAAGAGCTGTTTTACTTAAGCTAATGGACTCCAGCTCCATTCATGTTGCTGCAAAAGATATGATTTTATTATTTTCTATGGTTGAGAAGTATTCCATCATGTGTGTCTATTCCACATTTTATTTATCAGTTTATCAGCTGATGGGCATTTAAATGATTCCACATCCTTGCTGTTGTGAATAGTGCTATAATAAACATCTGAGTACAGGTATCTTTTTTACCTAATGACTTCTTCTCCTTTGGGTAGATACCAGCAGTAGGATTGCTGGACTGTATGGTAGTTCTACTTTTAGTTCTTTGAGAAATCTCCATACTGTTTTCCACATAGATTGTACTAATTTACATCCCCACCAACAGTGTATAAGTGTTCCTTTTTTTCTGCATCCTTTGCCAACATCTGTTATTTTTGACTTTTTAGTAATAGCCATTGTGACTGGTGTAAGATGATATCTCAGTTTGCTTTTAATTTACAATTCTCAGAAACAGCATTAGAAACAATTCAGCATCGCTTTTATTATGATTATTATTTTTATAATAGTAAAAATCCTCAACAAACTATACATAGAAGCAACACACCTCAAAATAAAGAGCATATATGATCAACTTATGGCTAAAATCATACCCAATGGAGAAAAATTGAAAACAATGCCCCTAAGAACTTTAACAAGACAAGGATTCCACTTTTACCACTCCTATCCAACATAGTACTGAAAGTCCTAGTCAGAACAATCAGGCAAGAAAAAGAAAAAACAAAGGCACCGAGACTGGAAAATAGGAAGTTGAATTATCTCTATATGCTGACAATATGATCTTATGTATAGAAAACCCCAATGACAAAGCTGGAGGCATCATGCTACCTGACTTCAAACTATGTTATAAGGCTACAGTAACCAAAACAGCATGGTACTGGTACCAAAACAGACATATAGACCAAGGGAACAGCATAGGGACATCAGAAATAAGGCCACACATCTATAACCATCTGATTTTCGACAAACCTGACAAAAACAAGCAATGGGGAAAGGATTCCCTATTTAATAAATGATGCTGGGAAAACTGGCTAACCATATGCAGAAAACTGAAACGGGACCCCTTCCTTACACCTTATACAAAAATTAACTCAAGGCAGACTCAAGACTTAAATGTAAAACCCAAAACCATAAAAACCCTAGAAGAAAATTTAGGCAATACCATTCAGGACATAGGCACCAGCAAAAATTTTATGATGAAATCACCAGAAGCAACTGCATCAAAAGCTAAAATTGGCAAATGGGATCTAATTAAACTAAACAGCTTCTGCACAGAAAAAAAAATCATCAGAACTAACAGGCAATCTACAGAATGGGAGAAAATTTTTTGCAATCTACCTATCTGACAAAGGTCTAATATGCAGAATATACAAGAAACTTTAAATTAAATATTAGAAGAAGACCTAGAGAAAACTTTTCTGGACATTGCTCTCTGCAAAGAATTCATGACTAAGACCTCAGAAAGCACAAGCAGCAAAAGCAAAAATAGACAAATGGGACTTATTAAACTAAAATACTTTTCCATAGAAAAAGAAATAATCAACAGAGGGAACAGACAACCTGCAGAATGGGAGAAAATATTTGCAAAACATGTATCTAACAAGACACTGCTATTCAGAACTTACAAGAAACACAAAGAACTCAACAACAACAAAACAAATTCATAAAAAGTGAGCAAAGGGCATGAACAGACAGTTTGCTTTGTGAATTTGTTTTTTAATTTTAGATTCAAGGGGTACATATGCCTGTTTGTTACATGGGTATTACATGTGTAATGATGGGGGTTGGGCTTCTGTGTGTCTGTCACCCAAATACTGAACATTGTGATAAATAATTTATCAATCCTCACCCCCACCTCCAATTTCCCCTCTTTGGGAGTCCATTTTAGTCTATTATTTCCATCTTTATGTCCATATGTACCCACTGTTTTGCTCCCACTTACAAGCGAGATAATATGCCATATTTGATTTTCTGGTTTTGAGTTAGCTTGCTTAGGATAATGGCCTCTGGTTGATCCATGTAGCTGCAAAGGAGATTATTGCATTCATTTTTATGGCTGCATAGTATTCCATGGTGTACATTTAACACATTTTCTTTATCCAGTCTACCAGTGATGGACACTTAGGTTGGTTCCAGGACTTTGCTATTGTAAATGGTGCCATGATAAAGATACTAGTGCAGGTGTCCGTTTTATACAATGATTTATTTTCCTTTGGGTATATACCCAGCAGTGGGATTGCTCAAAAGAATACAGACACTCAAAGGAAGAAGGGGTCAAAGAAAATAAAAAGAAGACATACATTTAAATGCCGACAATCGTAGGAACTGTACACTTTAAATGAGTAAATTACATGTTTTTGTTTTTGTTTTTGTTTTTGTTTTAGAAAAAAAGGCTGAGGATGGTGACTCACACCTGTAATCCCAATACTTTGGGAGGCCAAGGCAGGTGGATCACCTGAGGTCAGTTCGAAAACAGCCTGGCCAACATGGTGAAACGCTATCTTTACTAAAAATACAAAAATTAGCTGGGCGTGGTGGCTGGTGTCTGTATTCCCAGCTACTCAGGGGAGGGGAGGCAGAGTTTGCAGTGAGCTGAGACTGCCCCACTGCACTCCAGCCTGGGCAACAGACCGAGACTCTGTCTCAAGAAAAAAACAAACAAACAAGCCAAAAAAACAAAGAAAGAAAGAAAAAAGGAACATAATGATCCATCAAGATCCAATGCCAGAGCCCAGAACCCAAACTTCAACTCCACAGATACACAGATTTGACATTTGACATGAACAGAGGTAAATTGGTGGATTAAGCATGCAATTTTAAAAGACTTTTGCTTAGGGGTGTGTGTGTGTGTGTGTGTGTGTGTGTGTGTGTGTGTGTGTGTGTGTCAAAAAAATAGCGCTTTCGAAGCAAGTGTTTTCCATGGTGGGGTGTGTGTGGTATTTGGGGTAAATATGCCAAGAACAAATATAGAAGGTGGAGGTATATATCAGGTTGTTGGAAAAGATAGACCTTTAATCCTATCCAGTGATCTTAGAGGGCAAAATGTGAGTAAAGACTCCTGAAAAAAAAAAAAAACGCTAAGAAAGGACTTTCTGGCAGGGAGTGAGTCTCCTCATTCAATTCACTCATGCCTGTTCCCCTCCTCAGCCCATGTAAAAACGTTGTGTAACTTTGTATAACAATGGGATAGTCCCAGATATTTCACTGGAATCTATGACTTCTTGAGCATTTTTCCTGTCACCATAGTTTCTGAGTTTGTCTTTTCTGCAGTTTCACAGAAGTGGAATCACAGAGTAAACATCCTGATTCTCTCTCCATTCCCTGAGCACAGAGCTTGAATAGTCATCTGTGCTATGGCACGTGTCAGCAGCACCTCCTTCCTACTGCCCAGCAGCACTTGGTTGTGTGAATACACGCCATGCATGTGTTTATCTATTCACCTGGTAAATGGCATTCGGTTGTATCTGGATTGCAGCTATGAGGAATAAAATGGCTCTGAATATTTGCGAACAAGTATTTTTGCAGACATATTTTCATTTGTATTGGATCAATAACTAGAATTAGATTATTGATTCTTATTGTAATTGCATGTTTATAAGAAACTAACAGACTATTTTTCAAAATGATTGTATCCATTGGTTAAGACATAGTCCTTAACTCTCTTTTTTTTTTTTTTTTTTTTTTTTTGAGATGGAGTCTCGCTCTGTCGCCCAGGCTGGAGTGCAATAGTGCGATCTCGGCTCACTGCAAGCTCCACCTCCCGGGTTCACACCATTCTCTTGCCTCAGCCTCCCAAGTAGCTGGGACTACAGGCACCTGCCACCACGCTTGGCTAATTTTTTGTATTTTTAGTAGAGACGGGGTTTCACTGTGTTAGCCAGGATGGTCTCGATCTCCTGACCTTGTGATCCACCCGTCTCGGCCTCCCATAGTGCTGGGATTACAGGCGTGAGCCACCACGCCCGGCCAGTCCTTAACTCTCTTAAATCTAAGTAGACTTCCGATCTATGTGCATCTAATCAGATCCTAGTATGAGCAGCCATGCCCACAATTACTTTTGAGAATTTGCCAATTTTCTATTTATTTGTGTTCTCATTTCCATGCCTTTCTGTTTCAATTTAAAAGTGGGGAAAGAGGTACCTTTAATATATTGGGAACTGAAAGAGGAAAACTACAATGTTTTGAGATTTTTATGAAAGTATGTTAATAAATTGCTGGATTTTAATGAGTATGTTATTTTAAAAGTTTTTTTTTTTTTTAGGTGGAGTCTCACTCTGTCACACAGGCTGGAGTGCAGTGGCACTATCTCAGCTCACTGCAACCCTTGCTTTCCAGGTTCAAGTGATTCTTGTCTCAGCCTCCCAAGTAGCTGGGACTACAGGTGCACACCACCACGCCCGGCTAATTTTTGTATTTTTAGTAGAGATGGGGTTGTGCCATGTTGGCCAGGCTGGTCTTGAACTCCTGACCTCAGGTGATCCACCTGCCTCGGCCTCCCAAAGTGCTGGGATTACAGGCATGAGCCACCGTGCCCAGCCTAAAAAGTCATTTAAAATCTAATTTTTCTGTTCTTACTTCTTCTTTTTACTTGCAAACTGGTCCCTTCTTTAGTTCTCTAATTTCATTCTTGTGATACTTGACTGCTGCAGACAACAGCAACCAACTTCATGACCGAGTCTCTTTCCCAAAGTCTTTTTAAGCTGCTGGCTCAGAAAACATGTGGTTCACAATGTAGTGAAGGCAGCAGCATAACCCTATATTTCACCACTGTGAAAGACAGATGGCCGGCTGGGTGCAGTGGCTCACGCCTGTAATCCCAGCACTTTGGGAGGCCGAGGCCGGGGCCGGGCAGATCATAAGGTCAGGAGTTTGAGACCAGTCTGGCCACGCTAGTGAAAACCCGTCTCTACTAAAATACAAAAAAATTAGCCGGGCATGGTGGTGTGTGCCTGGAATCGCAGCTACTCGCAAGGCTGAGGCAGGAGAATCACATGAACCTGGGAGGCGGAGGTTGCAGTGAGCCAAGATCACGCCATTGCACTGCCACCCTGGCGACAGCATGAGATTTTGTCTCAAAAAAAAAAAAAAAAGAAAGAAAAAAGAGAAAGAGAGAGAGAAAGAAAGAGAGGCAGAGAAAGAAAGAAAGAAAGAAAGAAAGAAAGAAAGAAAGAAAGAAAGAAAGAAAGAGAAAGAGAAAGAAAGAAAGAAAGAAAGAAAGAAAGAAAGAAAGAAAGAAAGAAAGAAAGAAAGAGAGAAAGGGAGGGAGGGAGGGAAAGAGGGAGGGAGGGAGGGAGGGAAAGCAAGCCATCCATTTAGGCTCACATTATCAGTGTCTCTGTTGCCAGCCCCACTGCTGCTAATGTCACACATTTTTGTTTTCATGTAATTGTAGCATGCTAATTCTGCAGTGATTTCTGCATTAGATTAGACTAGGTTATATTGTGGTAACAACTTAACCCAAAGGCTCTGTGGCTTAACACAACATTAGTTCATTTCTTTCTCACATTTCACAACATCCTACACATATTGGTAGAGGCTTCTCTGCTATACGGTTTCTCAGAGACCCAGACTGCTAAAGTTATGACCTTCCTAATAAACTTTTTGTTGTTTTTATCCCCCCCTCAACATTATTCTACTAGAACCTTTGATCAACAAGTAGTCTATCTTTTTAAACAAATTCTATCTAATATTATTTCAAACCATGGGGATAGTTGCACAGTGAAAGTGAATGTACATATGGCCTAGAGCCATCATTTTTAAAAATTATAACAAAAAAGTCAGAGAATGAGGTCAACAAGCTCAGAAGCCTTCATGTCAAGAGTTAGAAAGTTCTCCCAACGATGGGATGACAAGAGGTTACAATCACGAAAGTCACGCAGTGCACCAAGCACAGAATACAGGCCACAAGGAAACCCAGCTGAGCATGGATGACCAGTTTTGATCTGCTCACAGAAAGGTTGACCCAAACTACAGTATTCTCAAAACAAACAAGTTTTAAAATATCAAACATTCTTGTATCATTTAGACCAAACAATAAAGCAAACTCCCCAGCTCCTGTCTCTATCTTCCACAAGAAATGTCTTGTAGAAAATCCATAATCACATGAGGTACAGTGGATACCACCAAAATAAGGGTTATTATATTAACTGTAGCATCCTGAACCTGCCCCCTTCTTCCAAATTCTCATTTAAATAATTTATGCAAAAGTCCATTTTTCACAAAGATGCCAAGAATACTCATTGGGGAAAGGATCATTTCTTCAATAAATGGTGCTGGGAAAACCAATAGCCACATGCAGAATAAGAAAACTAGACCCCTGCCTTTCACTACATGCAAAAATCAACTCAAAATGGGCTAAAGACTTAACTTATAACCTGAAACTATGAAACTACTAGATAAAAACATAGAGGAAAAAAACTACACAACATTGGTTTGGGAGATTATTTTTTTATTTGACCCCAAAACACCCAGGAAACAAAAGCAAAAAGAGACAAATGGGATTACATCAAACTAAAAAGCTTCTCCTCAGCAAAGGAAACAATCAACAGAGTGAAAAGACAACCTACAGACTGGTAGAAAATGTTTGCAAACTATACATATGATGTCAAGGGGTCACTATCCAAAATATTTAAGGAACTCAACTCAATAGCAAACCCAAACAAATAAAAAGCCAGCTTAAAAACTGACCAACAACATGAATAGACATTCCTCAAAAGAAGACATACAAATAGCCGACATGTACATTAAAATGCTGAATATCAATAATAATCAGGGAAATGCAAATCAAAACCACAATGAGATATCACCTCACCCCAGTTAGAATGGCTATTAACAAAATGACAAGAAATAACAAATGCTGGTAAGTATGTGTAGAAAAAAGAACTCTTACACACTGTTGGTGGTAATGTAAATTAGAACAGCCATTATGGAAAGCACTATGATGGTTCCTCCAAAAATAAAAATTGAACTACCCTATGATCCAGCAATCTCATTACAGGGTATATATATCCAAAGGAAATGAAATCACTATGTCTAAGAGGCATCAGAATTCTCATATTTATTGCAGCACTATTTACAATAACCAAGAAATGGAATAGACCTAAGTGTCCATCAGTGGATGAATGGATAAAGATATGTGGTTCATATACACAGTGCGATAATATTCAGCAGTAAAAAAGATGAAATCCTGCCATTTGTGACAGCAAGGATGAACCTAGAGGAAACTATGTTAAGTGAACTATGACTCACACAGAAAGACAAATACTTCATGATCTCACTCATATCTGGAATCCAGTTGATCTCATAGAAGTGAGATTAGAGTGGTGCTTACAGAGGCGGAAGGGGAGAATGGAGACAGGATGCTCAGGGGAGGGGAGAATGGGGAGATATTGGCCAAAGGATACATAATTACATTTAGATGGAAGGAATAAATTTCAAGACATCTATTGAACAGCAAGGTGACTATAGCTAATGATAATATATTGTATGCTTAAAAAATGTAAAGAAAGTGGATGTTATGTGCTTTGACCACAAAGTAACTATGAGAGGTAATGCATTTGTTAGTTGTCCATATTTGACCATTCCACAAGATACATATACTTAAAAGCAGAATGTTGTACACAATAAAAAACATAGAATATGATATGTCAGTTAAAAATGCACAATCATAGACAATATATTAAATGGTGAATTAGCAGGTTTTCCCCTCCATTTAATACTTCCACTAAGGGAAATTTAGCTCTTTTGAAACTTGTGGTGGTTGTAAAAAAATGGGCCACAAATGCTTTGACACTACTTCCGTCTAGAGGTGGAGGTGGAGGTGGAGTCTATGCCCCTCTTCTTGAAACCAGGTGGACTTATGACTGCTCCACAGGATGACTGGGATGCTGGGTGGCATCTGAATCAAGGTCACAAAAGGTATTCTGCTCTGCCTTGCTCACAAGGACACTCACTCTATAAATCTAAGCCACCATGTGCAACATCCCACCTGAATTCCACTCTGTGGGGAATCCCAAGCCACATGAATAGAGAGGACTCCTGGTGACAGTTTGAATCTTTGGATCATCCCTGCTCAGGCATAAGACATAAAAGAGAAGGGAATTCTAGATGATTTCAGCCCCCAACTATTTGACTTACTCTCAGCCATTGATGTCTTCCCAGTTGAAGCTCCAGACATTACGAAGCACAGAAAAGTCTTTTTTACATGGGTTCATACCCACTGTGTCCATGAGCATAACAAGGTGGTTGCTCTTTCGGGATAGCTTGTTACACAGCAATCAATAATTGGAACACACCTCATAATTGAGAGCTTCATGTGGCCAAGGTGTCATGGAGTTGAGTGGGATATTTTATACATTAAAGTTCTCTTTGCAAATGGCCCAGGAAAAGAGAAAAAATGTTTTCATGATGATACGGTTTGGCTGTGTCTCCACACAAATCTTATCTTGAATTGTAGTTCCCACAATCCCACATGTGGGAGGGATGTGGTGGGAGGTAACTGAATCATGTGGGTGCATTTTTCCCATGTTGTTCTGGCGATAGTGAATAAGTCTCATGAGATCTGATTGTTTTATAAAGGGCAGTTCCCCTGCACATGCTCTTTTGCCTGCCACCATGTAAGACACGCCTTTGCTCCTCCTTTGCCTTCTGCCATGATTGTGAGCCCTCCCTAGCCATGTGGAACTGTGAGTCCACTAAACTTCTTTTTCTTTATAAATTACCAAGTCTTGGGTACTTCTTCATAGCAGTATGAGAATGGACTAATACAAATGTGATATACTGCACAGGGAGAATTACTCAGTTTTCTCAGGTCAGAGAAGCTCTTCTTAAGATGCAACTTTTCCTTATTGTGGGTTGTAGGGTGCTTATATTTTCTAGGCTCTTGACTTGCTTCTTGAAAAACTCAGGCTTCCTATTTACCTTACTTCTTAAATAATAGAAAATTAGATTTCTATTTCCTCATTTAATTTAAATTGGCCCAATAAAACTGAAGCCCACGCCGGGCGCAGTGGCTCACGCCTGTAATCCCAGCACTTTGGGAGGCTGAGGCTGGCAGATCACAAGGTCAGGAGATCGAGACCATCCTGGCTAACACGGTGAAACCCCATCTCTACTAAAAATACAAAAAATGTGCTGGGCGTGGTGGCGGGCACCTGTAGTCCCAGCTACTCCGGAGGCCGAGGCAGGAAAATGGCGTGAACCCGGGAGGCGGAGCTTGCAGAGAGCTGAGATCGTACCACTGCACTCCAGCCTGGGCAACAGTGCACAAAAAGCTGAAGCCCACTAGTTATTTGGTGGTGGATGGAGGATGGAACAATGTTTACATTGACCACTAAGGTACTGATCAAGTAAGACTTACAAAGCTTAGATGGAGAACATATGCAGCAAGATGCTGTTATGGGAAAATCTTCCCTTACTCTATAAACTTAACCACTATAACCCACCTACCCCCAAATTCCTTAAGAGTGTTCTTCGTCACAGAGAGACAGACCCTAGAAAGATCCCTGCAGTGCTTAAGGAACACTGCCCGAACTTTGCAAAGGCCTTCCAAACAGAAAGGGTGGTCTGAGGTCTCCCAATCTCTGCACTCCCTCTTCACTTGACTACTACCAGATTTGTTGCAGTGTGGGAGGGTGAAATGCAGAAATACAAGTCTGGATAAAAATTTTCTTGCCAAGGATGTAGCTAAAATACTCTTGCTTGGAGCATTCCATAGTGTTGAGCAGTCTTGGTCCCCATCTTTGCCTCCAAAAATCTTTGAAAGAAGAAAGAATCCATCAAGTAGTGAAGCTCAGATTTAGGTAATCACGGAAACTGTAGTTGTTATATTTATCATGATTCACATTTCCTTACATCTTCTCACCTCCATAGGTCTTTAATCATTCCCTTGAAATTTGAGCTGCAACTAATTGCCCACATTGATTCAGACATTTCTAGGACCTTATCCTTTACGCTGTATCTACACAATGGACTGTATCTACACTATTATTTCAATTCTTTGGGAGTATATATCCATCTTTGGGGAGATGTCTATTCAGCTCCTTTGTCCATTTTCAATGTGTTTTGTTTGTGTACTTATTTTGTCCCACGGCTGTTCAATGGCTGCTCATATAACTCTCATTTCAGATAATTTTTCAGCAAACCTTCACAGGTGTGGCTATTCTTAGAATAAAATAACCACAGAAACAAAACACATTGAAAATGGACAAAGGACCCAAAGATAATATAAAAGGACCCAAATGTGACATTAAAATGGTCAATAAGTACATGGAAAAGATGCTCAGCGCCACTAATTATTAGGGAAATGCAAATGAAAACCATAATGAGATATCATCTCATACCAATTACAGAAAATAACGAGTGTTGGTGAGGATGTAGAGAAATTGTAAATTTTGTACATTGTTGGTGAGAATGTAAAACGAAGAAGCCACTCTAAAAATCGGTCTAGTGATTCTTCAAAATATTAAAACTAGAATTATCATATGATCCAGGAATTCCACTTCTGGATATATATCCCCAAATAATTGAAATAATGGTGTCAGTGTTATATTTGTATAGTCATGATCATAGCAGCATTACTCACAATAGCCAAAAGGTAGGAGTAACCCAAATCTCCATTGATGAATTCACAGGTAAACCAAAGTATCCAGCTGTATAATGGAAGAAAATACTGACACATGTTACAACATGGATGAGTTCTAAAGACATGTTGCTAAGTGAAATAAGCCCATCACAAAAAGATAAATATTGTATGATTTCACTTATACAAGGTGCCTAAAGTAGTCAGATTTATAGATGTAAAAGTAGGATGGTGGAGGCGGGGTGCTGTGGCTCAGGTCTATAATCCCAGCACTTTGGGAGGCCAAAGCGGGAGGATCACTTGAGCCCAGGAGTTGGAGACCAGACTGGGCAATATAGTGAGACTTCACCTCTACCGAAAAAATAAAAAATAAATTATCTGGGTGTGGTAGTGTGTGCCTATAGTCTCAGTGACTCTGGAGGTTGAGGTAGGAGGATCACTTAAGCCCAGGAGATTAAGGCAGCAATGAGCTATGACCAGGCCATTGCACTCCAGCCTGGGTGACAGAGTGAGACCCTGCCAAAAAAAAAAAAGGTAGGATGGCAGTTGCCAGGGGCTGGACAAAAGGGATTAGAGTTATTGTTTAATGGATACAGAGTTTCAGTTTTGAAAGATGAAAAGAGTTCTGGAAATGGATGGCAGTGATGGTTGTATAATAAATTGTGAAATTAAAAATGGTTAAGATGGTAAATTTTATGTTATGAGTATTTTACCACAATTTTAAAAAATAATTTAAAAAACAACAGCAGGCACAGCATGGGCAAATAAATCAAGCTAGGAATAAACACGATGTATCATGGGAACCGTAAGGAGCCAACTTCTCAAAACATGTGAATGTGCTTCAGAACGAGGGGAGATATTGTAGACAGGTAAAGAAAAGTCACGGAGAAACAGGCTACATTTCATATAAATAAGGTAAGAAATTAGATAGGAACTAGTGTTGGTGAGAATGTGGAGAAATTGGAATTCTTGTACATTGGTGGGCTGTAAAATTGTGCAGCCATTTTGGAAAACAGTTTGGCAGTTCCACAAGAAGTTAAATATTGAATTACCATCTGACTCAGCAATTCCACTCTTATATATAGACCCAAGAGAAATGAAAACATAACCACATCAAAACTTGTATATAAATTTTCACAGCTGGCCAGGCGCAGTGGCTTACGCCTATAATCCCAGCACTTTGGGAGGCCGAGGTGGGCAGATCACGAGGTCAGGAGATCAAGACCATCCTGTCTAACACGGTGAAACCCTGTCTCCACTAAAAATACAAAAAAAGTAGCCGGGTGTGGTGGCGGGCGCCTGTAGTCCCAGCTACTCGGGAGGCCGAGGCAGGAGAATGGCGTGAACCCCGGAGGCAGAGATTGCAGTGAGCCGAGATCGTGCCACTGCACTCCAGCCTGGGCGACAGAGCAAGACTCTGTCTCAAAAAAAAAAAATAATTTCACAGCTATATTATATATTTATGATAATCAAAAGGTGGAAAAAACTTAGATATCAAGAAATTGGATGAACAAATAAGTAGAATGTGGTATATACATATCACAGAACATTATTTGGCTATAAAAAGAATGAAGACTGGGTGCAGTGGTTGACGCCTGTAATCCCAACACTTTAGGAGACCAAGGTGTGAGGTGCTTGAGCCCAGGAGTTCAAGACCAGCCTGGCCAGCATAGTGAAATCTTGTTTCCACCAAAATGATGTTTTTTAATTAGCTGGACATGGTGACACACACCTGTATAGACTATAGGTGTGTGGAGGCTCAGTTACTGAGAAGGCTGAGGTGGAAAAATCACTTGAGCCCAAGAGGTAGAGGATGCAGTGAGCTGTGATCACACCCCTGCACTCCAGCCTGGGCAATAGAGTGAGACCCTGTATAAAAAGGAAAAAAAAAAAGTATTGACATGTTATACACCATGGATGAACCTTAAAAACACATTTTTTTTTTTGAGATGGAGTCTTGCTCTATCACCCAGGCTAGAGTGCAGTGGCGCCATCTCAGCTCACTGAACCTCCGCCTGCCAGGTTCAAGCGATTCTCCTGCCTCAGCCTCCCAAGTAGCTGGGACTACAGGCACCTGCCACCAGGCCCAGCTAATTTTTGTATTTTTGGTAGAGACGGGGTTTCACCATCTTGGCCATGCTGATCTTGAACTCCTGACCTTGTGATCCACCTGCCTTGGCCTCCCAAAGTGCTGGGATTACAGGCGTGAGCCACCACGCCAGGCCAAAAACACATTTTTGAGTGGAAGAAGACACTCGAGATCAGATATTTTATGATTCCATTTACAGGAAATATTCTGAATAGGCAAATCTATAGAAAGGTAAAAGTAGACTTGTTGCTTAGGGCTAGGAAGGATGGGGGATTAGGGAATAATATTAAAGGGTAGTGGGGTTCTTTTTATTCTAAATGTTCTAAATTTGTTTTAAATTTGATTCTAACTTGATTGTTTTGATTACTGCATAGTGCTGTGTATATACTCAAAATCACTAGGTTTAAATGGCTAATTATATGGTATGTGAATTTAAATGGTTAATTGTATGATGTGAAAATTTAAATAGTTAATTGTATGATATGTAAATTTAAGTGGTTAATTGTATAGCATGTGAATTTAAATGGTTAATTGTATGGTATGTGGATTTAAATGGTTAATTGCATGTTATGTGAATTATATGTCAATAAAGCTATTACAAAAAAAAAGGAAAGAAAAAAGGCCATGGGCTTAGACAAATGGAGGGGCAGGCAGAGGGAGAAAGCCCAGTGACAGCCTTCTGCAGCCTGCAGGCACAAAGAGGATTACTTGGTTTTCCCCCCAAAATATGTGCAGGCTTCATGCAGACTTTTCCAAGCCCAGCCATAAATGTATTCCCCTTCCTCTCCAAACCCCTGTCATGCTATCTTCTATCAACTACTACTTGTTACCGAGCTTATTCTCAGTAGCAAAAATTAGACTTGAAAGTGAGTTTTCACCAGAGACACTGATTTCTTTGATGACCACCGCATGTTGAAAGTTAATCCTGTATTATGATAAATCACACAGCATGTCTTCAGCAGCTTGCCTCAGCCCTTAGCATAAAGAGGCCTCCAGCAAACACCAGCCAATCCTTGAGGGTGAGGCTGTCCGGGTGCAACTCAGACCTCAGGGCCCATAATAGCGCCTCATGGGCTCCAGCTGTCCTATTCATGAGCCATCGTCGGGTATCATTGCTTGCCAGTGCCCATCTCTACTTCAGGGTACACGTGAGGTCATTCATTATTAAGCATGTATGCTCATGCCACTGTCACATCTACAGGGGAACCCAGTGCCCCTCAACCAGAAGGAAAATGTGGAAATAGAAAGAAGTGGACATGGTACATGGTTTTGTGTCAGGCTACGTGCTGTTCATTCCCAAAGCAACCAAGAGAAACCAGCCTAGGAAGAAGCATGAGTTCAGTGGGAGGATGAGGAGGAAAGCCAGGAGGGTCAGTTACCTGCATGAGTCCACCCTGAGGGGATGCATACCATGAGGTCACAAAGGCCCACAAAGCCTTTCCAAGTTGTCATCCCACTCGATGACTGTTTCCACTTTTGTTCTCAGAAAGGAAATCTACATGGATTGGATGCTACATTTCCCCAGAAAGTTCAGTTTCAACACTTACAAAATAGATGCCCCAATATGCATGCACTAGCATTTGCCTGAGTTCCACCACAACAATATTCCTGGGGTCAGAGGCTCAGACCATGAAAGTCACCACAAACATACCTGAGAATGGACCAAACAACCTCTGTCCTGCTGCTTAGATATTTGAGGCTTCTTGGAGTGTGTTTGTTCCTTTAAGCTCTCAACTCACTCTTTGCCAAGTTCCAATCTGCTTTTAATTTTATATCTATAAACAGATGATCAAGTCTGATGTTTCCTACAACCTTGTCCAACAACCCAGTATTCCAACCCAAGTCACAGTGGTGAAAAGCTAGACAGCAGTGGAAGATAAATGAAGGTGGATTTAAATGAGTCTTTATGTACAGAAAAAAAAATGACAAAAATCTTGAGCTCAGGAGTAGTTTTGTCATCGTCAAAGAAAGAAGTTATCAAGGTGAAAGTCTAGAATGAATTCAGTCCTGAACTAGAGTGTAGATATTAGCATAAATATGTTTATGTTTTAATCTATATGTGTACATAAATTTAGACATAGATAGATACAGATATAAATACAGATATACAGGCTTACATAAGTACATACATACATTTCCCAGATTTTTTTGCTGAGAGGTCCAAGAAACACTACAGTGTCAACAAGCACATCTAGTTTTGAAATACCATTCTCTAATTAAAAACAAACAAGAACAAAAGACAGAGCTACTTGGAGAAATACTTCATTCTAGGGCTAAGGCAGAAAAAAATGCAATATACTGCTGAAGCATCTTTGCAGTGTCTGTAAGTAAGGAAGTACTAAACCGACAAAAACAAAAAAGCAAGCAAACCTCAATGAGTCCATAGTGATATAAATAAGCAACTGAATAATCAAATAAATAAATAAATAAGACACATAATAGATGTCCCAGAAATAAATCCACATATATACAGTCAAAATCTTCAACAAGGGTCCCAAGAATACGCAATGGGAAAAATATATAGTCTCTTCAACAAACGGTGTTGAGAAAATGTAATATCTACATGCGAAAAAGTAAAAAATAAAATTGGATTCTTATTTTACACTATATACAAAAATCAACTCAGAAGAGAATAAATATTTGGACATAAGACCTGAAACTATAAAACACTTAGAAGTAAAAGGAGGGGGAAAGCTTCATGACATTGGTCTAGATCTAGACAAAGATTTCTAAAATATGACACTATAAACACAGAAAACAGAAACAAAAATAATGTGGGGCTGCATCAAACTAAACTCCTGCATAGCGAAGGAAACAGGATGAAAAATCTATGGAAGAGGAGACAATATTTGCAAACCATATATTGAATAAGGGGCTGATATCGAAATATACAACATATTCCTACAACTTAAGAGAAAAAAGAATTCCCCAATCCCAAATAATCTAATTTTTAAACGGCAAGGGATTTGAATATACATTTCTCCAAAGAATACATGCAAATGGCCAACAGGTGTATAAAAAGTTGCACAGCATTATAAATCATCAATTAATTGTACATCAAAACCACAATGAGACATCACCTTGTATCTGTTACAATGGCTAGCATCAAAAAAAGGCAAAAAAAAAAGGAGAAATCACAACCTTCATACACTGTTGGTGGGAATGAGAAACAATGTAGCCACAATGGAAAACAGTACGCAGGTTCCTCAAAGAATTAAAAATATGAGTACCATATAATCCAGCAATCCTACTTCTGGGTATACATACATAAAATGGAATATTACTCAGCCTTATAAAAAAAGAAATTATACTATTAATGACAACATGGATAAACCCTGAGGACACTATGTAAAGTTACATGAGATAATCACAGAAGGATAAACTCTGCATGATTGCACTTTTATGAGGTATCTGAAATGATCAAACTCATAGCAGCAGAGAGTATGACTGACAGTGATTGCTGCGGGGTAGGTGAGGGGAAAATGGGGAGTTACTGTTCAATGAGTATAAAGTTTCAGTTATGCAAGATCAGTAAGTTCCAGAGATCTACTGTTCAACACTAAGCCTACAGATAACAATACTATATTGTGCAATTAAAAATTGTTAAGACAGGCCAGGTGCGGTGGCTCACGCTGGTAATTACAGCACTTTGGGAGCCCCAGGCGGCCAGACCACTTGAGATCAGGAGTTCAAGACCAGCCTGGCCAACATGGTGAAACCCCATCTCTACTAAAAATACAGTAAACAGCTGGGCATTGTGGCGGGCGCCTGTAATCCCAGCTACTAGGGAGGCTGAGACAGAAGAATTGCTTGAACCCGGGAGGCAGAGATTGCAGTGAGCCAAGGTTGTGCCATGGTACTCCAATCTGGGCAACAAGAGTGAAACTGCGTCTCAAAGAAAAAAAAAATTGTTAAGAGTGTAGATCTCAAGTTAAATGTGGATATGACAATACATATACAGATAAGTAGGAGCAAATCTTTTTTAGAAAAGAATTCCAAATAATAAATAAAAAAGAAAAGGAATTAGGAAATTACCATGATAACACCATAACACAAATCACCAAAGACAAGATTCATTGATGAATGTTGAAATTAATTGGCAATGCATTAGGGATAAACAAGGTGTTTATAAGACTAGAAATATCTTCCCCCAGATATTATTTATTGGGGTGGTTTTAACATATTCTTGCTAAATTACTTGACAGTCTTTCTTCCAGAAAATGAAGCCTAATTCCTCCCTTCTGTTTGTGTATAGGATGGGCTTGCTTCTAACATGCAGAGGATGGACAAATAAAGCATTAGCTTTGCAGAGAAAAAATCTGGCAGTCACCATCTCAACCAAGTGATCAAGTTCAACATCACCAGTGAACATCATGTTGACACCATGTATCCTTGACATAGCACAATGAGAAAGACACTTCACTTCTATGAGTTTCTTCCCAAACTCCATATCCCACACTTCTGCTTTCAACTCCGACATGTAAATAGCTTGAAAGTTGTCACTCCTATTCTGGTAACAGTAAAAAGCTGGAGGAACTGAAAATAAATGACTTTTATTGGACCCATCGGGGAACCAGGGTCATAGCACAAGTATGCACCCAAAATATGGAGAGACAGGCAGGCCCAAAGAGATACAGCTACTAAGATCTCGTGATCAGGAGCAGAAGGTGATGGAGCCCTAAATGGGCAGGAACACTTAATAATAGTTTTTACAGTAGCTGGAAGCTGAGTATGGACTGGCATGACAGTGGAGAATCCTGAGACCACGGTCTTGGAAGGGACTTTCACTTTCAGGAACTCTCCTTCCAATGCTCAGATCCTTCTTTACAAAAAGTCATTTGGAGGTGGGAGTACCTTGCCAGGGACAATTTAGAAAACTCATCCTAGCTGATAGGGGCAATTTTTCCTTATCACAGTATCCCTCACCCGTTCTGTGTCACTTAAGAGGGAAAAACCCATAGTAAATAGAAGAAAGGGATTAAAAAATATGGATTCAGAACTTTGCAGGTAGTGAACAGCACAGGGAACTCGCAGGGGGACAGAGTTACACCACTGGGAGGGCAGTAAAGTTACCAACCTCCCGTGAATAAAACCAGAATATAAGGGAGTACTGGGAACAATCGTATGCCAACAGCTTAGATGACCCAGATGAAATAGACAAATTCCCAGAAAGACAAAAAATACTTGACTGGATTAAAAAGAAACAAAAAACCTGAATGGAGCTATGACAAGTAAAGAAACTCAAATAGTAAATGACAAACTTACCACAAAGAAAGTCCAAGGCCAAGATAACTGTACTAATGAATTATACCAACCTTTAAAATATTAATACTAATCCTTCAGAAATTCTTAAGCAGGCAAGCAAATAAACACATAAACCAACAAAAACAGAAGATAAGATCACACTTTCCAACTTAATCTATGAGGCCAATGTACCCTGATACCACAACTAGAAGACATTAAGGAAACAAAATGTATAGGCCAATATACCTTTTGCACATAGAGACAAAAATCATCAATAAAATACTAGCCTACCAAACCCAGGCAACACGTACAGAGGATTATACACCATGATCAAAAGAATTTATCACAGGAATGCAAGTTGAGTTCAATGTACAAAAACAGTGTGACACATTATTTTAATAAAATGAAGGAAGAAAACCACATGATCATCTAAAAATGCAAAAAAGCATTTGCAAAATCCAAAACCAATTTTTGATTAAAAAAAGACACCCAATAAATTAGAAATAGAGGTGGGAGGATTGCTTGGGCCTGGGAGGTCGAGGCTACAGTGAGCAGAGATCATATCACTGCACTCCACTGTGGATGACAGAGTAAGACCCCATCTCAAAACAAAACAAAACATATGAAAACAAAAAGCAACAAACAAAAATAATTAGAAAGAGATGTAAACTTTCTCATCCCAAAATAGGCATCCAGAAAAAAACGCACATGATATCATGAAAAGCTCAATACTTACCCCAAGATGTCCACTATTGCCACTTATATTCAACATTGTACTGGAAGTTGCAGCCAGGGCAATTGGTCTAGAAAAACAAATAAAAGTCACTGAGAAGGGGAAGGAAAAAGTCAAACTATCTCTGTCTGCCAGTGAGGTGATGTGTGTACAAAATCCTAAAGAATCCCCTAAAATACTATTAGAACTAAAAATGAGTCCAGAAACTTTTCAGTACACAAACTCAACAACTAAAAACAATTATATTTTTCATATACTAGCAATTAACAATCTGATAATAAAACAACAAAAACAATTTCATTTAAAATAGCATGAACAGAAGGCAGAGCAAGATGGCAGACTAGATCTCCTGTGATAATTTTCTTAAAGTATAATAATAACAAAATTTAAAATAAAATAAAATAAATAAAGAAAGAAAGAAAGAAAGAAAGAAAGAAAGAAAGAAAGAAAGAAAGAAAGAAAGAAAGAAACATCAATTCTAACAAGTACCCTCACGGTATAAAAATACCGTTACAAAAGCTAAGGAAAACAGATGAAAGATCATAGTACATGGTTATAGCATGATATTAAGAAAAGATGCATCAAAGAGAGTAGGAAATTAAGTTTTATATTACCCAAATCACCCCTTCCCCAACATCAGTCAGCACAGTACAGAAAGAGATATCGTTCACTCTGGGTAAAGAGAGGGAAGCAACTGTAGGACATTACCTTGGATCTGAGTACTGAGTCAGCCACAGTAAAAATCAGCATACAGCAGACTCCCATGGTCCTGTCTCCAGGCTGGTACCCACAAATGGAACCTCTAGATCTACCCTGGGGCCAGACAGAAATATGTAGCCCCTGCAACATGGATTCAAGTTCCCAACCATTTCACTGCTGACTGACCACAGTGACCTTGGGCTCCAAATAGTCTATGGCAACAGGCAGGCCTCAGCAGCCGCAGGCCCCAAGCACACCCCAGTACTGTGCTAGCTCAGTGGCTATGGGCATTAGGTGCACCTCAATACTGCACTAGCCTTAATGGCCATGGGATTCCTGCTCAGTGCTGCACCAGAGTCAGAGGCCATGGGACTCCAGCTTGTGGCACTCCTGGGCTTAGGGCGCCCCCTAGCACTGCAATGGCTGCAGCCCTCATGGGCTTAGGCACTACACCAAATGACGTGTCCACAATCTCTGGACTGGCTTACTGTTGAAGAATGTTACCAGACAAAGCCAGACTGTAAAGACCTATATATATGTTGCCCACAAAAAACTCACATCCGGCTGGGCGCGGTGGCTCACGCCTGTAATCCCAGCACTTTGGGAGGCCGAGGCAGGTGGATCACGAGGTCAGGAGATCGAGACCATCCTGGCTAACACGGTGAAACCCCGTCTCTACTAAAAATATAAAAAATTAGCCGGGCTTGGTGGCGGGCGCCTGTAGTCCCAGCTACTTGGGAGGCTGAGGCAGGAGAATGGCGTGAAGCCAGGAGGCGGAGCTTGCAGTGAGCCGAGACGGCGCCACTGTACTCCAGCCTGGGCTACAGAGCGAGACTCCATCTCAAAAAAAAAAACAAAAAAACTCACATACCCTGTAATGACACACATAGTCTGAAAGTGAGGGGTTGAAAGAAAGATATTCCAAATAGTTTAGAAACAGGAGCGGTTATATTTATACCAGAAAAAAATAGACTTGAAGTCAAAAACTTTTAAAAAACAAAGAAGGTCATTATATAATAAGTGGTTCAATTCAGCAAAATAAGTGTTTATGAATCAGAAGAATTCATGTTGTTAAAGTGTCCATACTACTGAAAACAACTGACAAATTCAATGTAATCCTTATCAAAATATCACTTACATTCTTAACAGAAATAGAAAAAAGTTCCCAAATTTGCATGGAACTGTGAAAAACTCCAAAACCCCTAAGAAATATTGAGCAAAAAGGACAAAGATGGATAAATCTGTGGTGACTTTCAAATATACTACAAAGCTATAGTAACCAAAACAGCATGATACTGACATAAAAACAGACACACAGGCTGGGCACAGTGGCTCACACCTGTAATCCCAGCACTTTGGGAGGCCGAGGTGGGCGGATCACCTGAGGTCAGGAATTCGAGACCAGCCTGATCAACATGGTGAAACCCCGCCTCTACTAAAACCTACAAAATTGGCCAGGTGTGCTGGTGCATGCCTGTAATCCCAGCTACTTAGGAGGCTGAGGCAGGAGAATCACTTGAACCTGGGAGGCAGAGATTGTGGTGAGCTGAGATTACACCATTGCACTCCAGCCTGGGCAACAAGAGTGAAACTCCGTCCCAAAAAAGAAAACAAAACAAAAACGGACACATAGATCAAGGAAACAGAATATACAGACCATAAATAAATACATGCATTTATAAACAAGTGATTTCTAACAAAGGTGCATGAACACACATTGGGGAAATATGGGCACTTCAATAAACGATGTTGGAAAAATTGAATCTCAGAATAATTAAATTAGACCCTTATATCTCACTATATCTAACTATAAATTCAAAGTGGATGAAAGACTTAAATGTATGACCTGAAGCTATGAAACTACTAGAATAAAAACATAAAGAAAAAGTTCCGTGACAAGGATGACAGTTAATTTTTCTTTTCAAAAACCCAGGCAACAAAAGCAAAAATGCATAAATGAGACTACGTCAAATCAAGCTTTTGCACAACAAAGGAAACAATCAACAGAGTGAAGAGATGGCCCACAGACTGGGAGAAAATATTTGCACACTATATGTCTGAGAAGAAGTTAATATCCAAAATATATAAGGAATTCAAAACAGTCAATAGAATAAAAAGAAAACAAAATTAAAAATGGACAAAATATCTGAGTAGGTATTTCTCAAAAGAAGACATACAAATGACAAAACACGTATATGAAAAAAACGCTCAACATTCCTAATCACAAAAATTCAAATCAAAATCACAATAAGACATCACCTCACCCCCATGAGAACAACTATTATGAAAAAAGACAAAAGATAACAAGTGTTAGTGAGGATATAAACAAAAGGAACCCTGCTATACTGTTGGTGGGAATATAAATTAGTACAACCACTATGGAATACAGTATACAGGTTCTTTAAAAAATTAGAAATAGAACTATCATTTGACCCAGCAATCTTACTACTGTGTTTACAGGCATACCACATTTTATTATGCTTCAATTTATTGTCATTTGCAGATACTCTGATTTTTACAAATTGAAGGTTTGTAACAACCCTGTGATGAGCAAGTCTATTGGCATCATTTTTCCACCAGTATGTGCTCACTTTTTGTCTCTGTATTATATTTTGGTAATAAAATATTTTAAATTTTATCATTATTAATGTTACAGTGATCTGTGCTCAGTGATCTTTGATGTTACCATTGTATTGTGGTCCTTGAATGGAACCCATATAAGACAGTGAATTTAGCCTGGTGTGGTGACTTACGCCTGTACTCCCAGCACTTCGGGAGGCCAAGGAGGGTGGATTGCTTGGGCTCAGGAGTTCAAGACCAGCCTGTGCAACATGGCAAAACCCCATCTCCAACAAAAATACAAAATATTAGGCCAGGCATGGTGGCCCATGTCTGTATAGTTCCAGTTACTCAGGAGGCTGAGGTAGAAGAATCGCTTGAGCTCAGGAGGCGGAGGTTGCAGTGAGCCAAGATCATACCACTGCACTCCAGCCTGGGTGACAGAAAGAAATCCCATCTCAAAACAAATGAACAAACAAAAAACAGATAGTGAACTTAGTCTATAGATCTTGTGTGTGTTCTGTACCAAATGACCTTTTCCCTGTCTCTCTTCTTCTCCTTGGGCTCTTATTCCTGGAGACACAACAATATTAAAGTTTGGTCAATTAATAACCTCACAATTGTCTCTAAATATTCAAGTGAAAGGAAGAGTTGCACATCTCTCATTTTAAATTAAAAATGATGAGCCATTTGCACATCTTCTTTTGACAAATATCTATTTAGATATTTTGCCCATATATAAATCAGATTATTAGATTTTTTCCTATAGAGTTTTTTGTAGTCCTAATACATTCTGGAGCTCTTGTCAGATGAAGAGTTTGCACAAATTAATCCCTTTTCAGATAGATAGTTTGCAAACATGTTTTTCCATTTGTGGGTTGTCTCTTCACTTTGTTGATTGATTCCTTGGCTGTGCAGAAGCTTTTTAACTTGGCATCTTCTCATTTGTTCTTTTTTGCTTTGCTTGACTGTGCTTGGTCAAGAAATCTTTAGGCAGTCCAATGTCCTGAAGAGTTTCCCCAATGTAGTTTCATAGTTTGAGATCTTAAATTTAAGTCTTTAATACATTTTTTACTTTTGCATATGGTGAGAGCTATGGCTCTAGTTTCATTCTTCTGCATATGGATTTCCAGTTTTCCCAGCACCATTTATTGAAGAGACTGACCTTTCTCCAATGTATGTTCTTGGCCCAAAAGAAAGGAAGTCAGTATATTAAAGAGGTACCTGTACCCCTGTGTCTATTGCAGCACCATTCACAATAGCCAAAATTCGAAAACAACCGAAATGTCCCTCAACAGATGAATGCATAAAGCAAATGTGGTACATACACACAATGGAGTGCTAATCAGCTATCAAAAGCAATGAGATCCTGTCATTTGCAACAACAGGGTTGGAACCGGAGGTCATTATGTTAAGTGAAATAAGCCATGCACAGATATAGGGAGACCCCCTGAAACTATTGCTACGGAATAAAAGATGAAATGCTCCTGATTATTGTAAATACAAAATTGCATGCAGGATTGTGTAAAGACAATCCCAGGTTGGGCTGCCAGAATGACTCAACAGCACCAATCCAATTGTGATCAAGATTCCTATCTCAGAAAAGCAGATGTTCATAGCTCTGGGAATGGAATGAGACCCTTGTGGAGAGCCTATAAATGGACTAATGAGGGGCGCCTGTTCATATGGATAAGATAGGGTTATAAACGCCCTTATCTTGCCACGGGTCTTCTAGGTCTCTTTAGGATTAAGGCATACTCCCTTCTGAGAATTTTTGGTCTAACCGGTTGTCTAGCTTCACGTCCTCTTTCTATTGATTGTTTGCAACCAGCTTTTGCTGCAACTGTTACTGCTGATTAATATCTTGCTAATCATAGGTTATGGATAGACTGTGTTTCTGTTTTAAGGCTCTGTTAGAAATTGCTGATGCACACACTATGTTGTAAATTCTTATCTCTGTATACTGTACTTCTGCATACCGATGTTATGTTAAAGAATTGCTTCATTCCCATGTGACCGTCTCACCTCATAATCAAACGACCCTAAATCCCTCACTAACCTACCCCTGCCCTCACTAAACTCAATAATAAATGCTGGTATATCCAGTGCATTGGCAGCATCACAGGACCAGAAGGTAGTGACACCCCTGGACCCAGCTTTCACTATCTTGTGTGTATCTCTTATTTCTTGACCTGCCTATCCACTTGAGAACAAAGAAAGAGCCCCATTGCATTGTGGGCTGCTGGCCAGATCCCGCAATACACAGAAAGACAAACTTTGTATGTTTTTACTTATTTGTGGGAGCTAAAAATGAAAGCAATTGAACTCATGAAGATAGAGAGTAGAATGATGGTTACCAGAGGCTGGGAGGAGTAGATGGAGGGTTGCGGGGAGCTTGGGTTGGTTAATGGGGACAAAAAATAGAAGGAATGAATCAGATCTAGTATTTGATAGCACAGCAGAGTGACTACAGTCAATACTAATTTAATTATATATTTAACAATAACAAAAATATAACTGGATTGTTTGTATTTTTTTTTTGTTTTTTTTTTTTTTTTGGAAACACAGTCTCACTCTGTTGCCAGGCTGGAGTGCAGTGGTGCAGTCTCAGCTCACTGCAACCTCCACCTCCTGCCTCAGCCTCCCAAGTAGCTGGAACTACAGCTGCACGCCACTATGCCCAGCTAATTTTTTGTATTTTTAGTAGAAACAGGTTTTCACTATGCTGCCCAGGGTGGTCTCAATCTCTTGACCTCATGATCTGCCTGCCTCGGCCTCCCAGATTGTTGGGATTACAGGAATATACTTAACAAAATAATCCTAAGATGTGTACACAGAAAACTTCAAAACATTATTGAAAAAATTAAAGAAGAGCTAATAGAAAAAAAATATCCCATGCTCATTGATCAGGAGGCTTAATATAGTTAAGATGGCAATATTTTCCAAATGGACCCATAATTCAATGCAATCCTTATCAAATTCCA
Organism: Homo sapiens; assembly: GCF_000001405.40. Lineage (NCBI taxonomy): Eukaryota > Metazoa > Chordata > Mammalia > Primates > Hominidae > Homo > Homo sapiens. The sequence goes on along the minus strand of NC_000015.10, from coordinate 23,818,551 downwards.
GCTGCTTTTCTTTGCATTAATTGACAAGCTGATTTTTAAATTCATATGGAAATATAAGGGATCCAGAACAGCCAAGACAATCTAGAAAAAAAAGTTGGAGTACTCAACTCACACTTCCGGATTCTGAAACTTACTTGAAAATAATGGTAATCAAGACATTATGGTACTTATATAGGGATAGACATATAGATCAGTGAATAAAATTTAGCATCTAAAAATTAACCCTAACATTTATGGTAAATTGATTTCACAAGGTAGTCAAGACAATTCAGTGTGGATTTTTTTTTTTTGTCAAAGATAATGCGGGACAAATTAATACCCTGGTGCAAGCTGGAGTCTTCCCTCATGCCATACACATAATATGGCCTAACTATTGTTTACTTCCATTTATATGACATTCTGAAAAAGGAGAAACTATGGAGATAGTAAACACATTAGTGGTTACTAGTGGCTGGAGGGAGAGAAATATTTAATAGATGATGTGTAAATTTCTTTAGGGCAGTGAAAATATTCTCTACAATATTGTAATGTGGGTACATGAAACTATTTTTTAAATACAGCAGAATGTTGTAGAACAGTGAGCAAATATGCATGCAAATTTAAAAAATACTTAGTAGGTTAGGGGATCATAGGGTGTAACACATACAAAATAATATAACCATGTTACAAATATATGAAATAACCTCTCTGAAGAGAGTGAGAGGGAAGAAAGGAGGCTGACCTGAGTAACATAATTTTATAAGTGGAAATTCCAAGTTTAAAGGCTAAAAAATGTGTATGTAAGCACTGTACCTTTTTTGATAAAGTTGTGTCCCGTGGGGGTGTTGATGAACAATTCTGAAACCAATATCCATGTATTTTGGGATAAAGTAAGTTAATGGAGCCAACTGTTTATGGTTAGAGTGGGAGGTTACGTACAAGCAGTAGGAATGGACACAGTGATTTGTGCAATACTGGATTAGATCATGTGGTGTTAGGGGCATTAGTAAGAATTCATGTGGCTATCCAGTTTTCCCAGTACCATTTAGTAAACAGGGTGCCCTTTCCCCCCAGTTTATGTTTTTGTGTGCTTTATTGAATATCAGTTGGTTGTAAGTATTTGGCTTTATTTCTTGGTTCTCTATTCTGTTCCATTGGTCTGTGTCTACTTTTATAACAATACCATGCTGTTTTGGTAACTACAGCTTTGAAGAATAATTTGAAGTTCAGCTTTCCTTATCTTTAATCTTGGATGAATATGTCAAAATTAATCCATATTTTTAGTCTAATCATGAGAAACCATCAGACAAATCCATATTGTGGGACACTGCAAAACAACTGGCCAGTACTTTTCAAAAGGTTCAAAGTCATGAAAACTAAGTAAAGATTGTAGATTGGAGAATAGCTGATACAGAAGGTAAATGATTCCCATATCTTGGTATGACACAACCTTGAATACTAATTCCTCATGAATGTGGCCAGAAGCTGAGTTGAATACTGAACAAGAGAATACTGCAAAGGTGATGAGATGACACTTAGGTGATCATTTTACATAAGATTGTGATTTTTCTGTCTTGCTGCAAACTCTGTCCCTCAATGGCTTTGATGGAGGCTTCTGGCATGTAGGAGAAGCCAACACCTGGAGGGACTAAATGCAGGCTTTGACCAACAGCCTGCAATGAACTGAGTTCAAACAGCAATAATGTGAGCTAAGAAGTAACTTCTTCACCAGCTGAGATTTTAGTTGAGACCTCAGCCTTGGCTATCATCTATGTCTCAATTCTTGACCCAGAGAACTATGAGACAATACGTTTTGCAGTTTTAGGCCAGTAAATTTGTGGTAATTTACAAGGCAGCAATAAATAAGTAATGCACTTAAGAACTAAACGTCATGTGCTATCCTGGATTGGATCCTGGAACAGACAAATGACATTAGTGGAAATCCTGGTAAAATATAAAGAAAGTCTTTAATTCAGTTAATAGCTATTTTTACCATCAGTGTCTCAGCTTTCATAAATATACTATGGCTATGTCAGATATTAACATTACAGGAAGCTGAAGAGCATATGAAACTCACTGAATCCTTTTTGCAGCTTTCTATAAATCTAACATTATAAAAATGAAAATACTATTTTAAAGGTATTACTGTGATAGAAAAGAACTTGCAAACAAACACCAGAATGAACACAAACACAAACTTGGGCTCCGCGAATGAACAGGCACATAGAAAGAATGCAAAGCTGCTTCCTTTATCTAGTCAGCATTCCAAATCCAGGGGCACCTTCTTCAGGTAGACATCATCAAGTTCCAGGGCTCTCCTACTCTTTTCTTCTTCCCCCTCATGCTCCTCATTACCCAGTTGCCTGTGTGAGTGTCAGTAACCACTTCTTTAAAGATAGATGCCTGTGCCTCACAGAAAGACCCATTTCAGACAACGTCTAGTCCTGTATCTGCGGAATCCCACCAAAGACTCTTTGGAAGACATGACTCTGGACAGTAGAAGTGAATATGGAGAAACGGGAGTAATAGGGAAAATAAATCATATTTAGGCACTTAAGATATTTTTTTTCTTGTTTGGTTACAGATTTTCCTTCCTTAAGATTTAAAAACACATCTGTACCTTCAAGCCTTTGAAAAATCCTGTGATAATTAAGCTCTTTTCATTTTAGAGACTCCATGAGGAATTATTTGGGACCACGTATTCTGTTAACAGCCACATCATGAAATTACATTAACCAGCACCAAGCCCTAAAACCACAAAAAAGTATAGTCTTGGTAGCAGGTGGGCTGTCTTGGTGTAAAAAAAGAGAAGTATTTGCAATCATGTTCATTTAAGCCAGTCCCTGCTTACTCATATCTGAAAATGAAGCTTTAGACACAAGGTTTTTATCAGGTTTAGGAAAGTGAGTGATTCAGATTGTGTTGTGCACAGGTAAAGAAATCCTGGTGAAATAAACAAAAGAGCAACATGGTACAACATATTCTCAAACCTCCATGCGCGGGTCTAAGAGATGGACATAGGATAAATGGTGACTCTGCATATGTGCTAGCTAAGCAATCTCACAGCAAGCAGGGCTGCCCACCCACTCACCACACAGCTCCTTGTTCACAGACCACAGCACTCTTCTGGGGAGCACCGGGCTGTTTCTGGCAACCATGCCTACAAAGCCTACAAAGTCGGGGGACTGCATGGCCACAATCCCATGGACATCTACAAAGCCAAGACTCTTGCTTTTATGATCTGTAATCATAGGTTATATTCTCCATACTAGATCTATAGCTTCAGTGGGAAAATGAGCTCCTGTAGTGTTTAGACCTACAGTGAGAGATGCACCTGACCTGGACCAGAGTTCTCATTTCTGAGATCAGGATAGCAGTTATTTAGTCGCTGTTATTGTGGGCATTTCTAATTCAAGAAACCTCACTCCTCCAAGCTCATATTTCACTCCTTGAGACAGGCAGGCACACTTAAATGTTTCGTCTTAAAACATGGAAGGTTACTCAGATTATTTAATTTTAACTGTACTTTCTATAATGCCAAATAGCTTGTCAAATCCCCTTTTCCTATTTATTCCAATGCATACACTAAAATCCATAATAATGTACACTGTGATTATCCCCTGACACACTTTTCACCAAAAAGAGGCATAGCAAAATGCCATAAACAGGCTGCAAGTAGAACTGGACAAGAAAAGACCCATCTCCATTTAGCAAATGAGGGTCAATGAGCTCTGGTCAGTGAGTGCTCAGGATGAAGACAGAGCAGGTGACAGACATAAGACTGTGCTAACATTGATGTCACAGGACACAGTGTTGGGCACCAAGTCCCCAGACATTACTCTCTGATAGCCTGGAATATATGATTTCCCACAACCGACTGCTGTACCTCTGACCTGATTTTACAGATGCTGGCCTGACCACCCAAATTCTAAGAAATCTGTCATCGCAAACATCCCAAAGTCTTACACCATATCATGTAGTAAGGCCCCACTACCCTGTCTGCCCACGGTAGCCTGAATAGAGAATGGTTCCCAGTGGATTCATGGGTCATATATTTGAGATCAGGACACACTGTAAAGTTAATTGAGCCTTCCTGAAGCCTGCAACTCTAGGTGCAATTTCAGTCAACATCCTAAATTACGAACGATATGAATTTCTTCTTAAGTATATTCATCAGGGAACAGCTAAGCCCGTTCCAATCTCCAAGTGCCCAGAAGTAGAGTTTGTCAGTGTTGCAAGTGGGCAGAGCAAAGCATTCTATGGAGACCAAATGCAACTACTTTTGCAATAACTGATCATAATATGATTTGTATGATAAATATCCAAATGATTAAGGGTGAAAGAACAATAGGAAAATATAACCAAGTTTTATGGATTTAAGAATTGATTTTGGCATGCAGCTTATAGGGAACATTGATCATATTTGTAAGATTAGAGCAGAAATTTGCAAAATATAACTTTCTGAAAGTTTTTAGAAAGCTATCACCCCTGTGCATACTTTCAAGTAACTTTTTGCCATTTCTATCTCCCTATTCCATGGACTTCTTGAATCACAGTTTATAAAAGCAACTCTCCTCAGGTAAATTATGATATTTGGTAGCCCACTAATAATTTTACTGTCTCTAATAGCTAGTCAGAAACAATATTTAAGCATGTTTCCTCAATGATAGAGCAGAATACAGCAAATGAGCTGCAATGACTATACACTGAGAATGAGCAATTGCTGAGAAAGTAGTGCATTCCATTGATGTTACTGCATACATCCCACCTATCTCAAACACAGATTCATGTGAAAATTAACAGTGTCAAACACTACTGGTGGGAAGACAGTTGTAATGTGATTGTCTTTGCATGCACATACACAAACATGGTCTGAAAAGCTTCTATGAATACCTTTGGGTGAGATAACGAAAAACAAAACCTGCAGAGTCTGTCAGTAGATTGGAAAAATACATTCACAAAAGAGTAGCACAGGACTTGCTCAAGAAATGTGGCATTGCCAAATCTTCTAATTAGCATAGATGATGAAACTGTGGGGAAAGTTACAGACAAGATGAGTTGAAAAGTGATTCAGAAGAGTTTAATCCGAAAGGTATAAATTTTGGAAAATACTTTGGTAATGTATTTTCTTATATTTTCCATCTCATGTAATCATAGAAGTGATTTATGACAAATGCTCACATTAATATAAGTTGCACAAAGTTTCTGTGTTATTATAAGATAAAAATTCTAAGTGATAGGAAATATTTGTGTCATAGTTTGTCCTTTTATTCTGTCACGGTAACAGAATATAGTGATGCATCTAATAATTGATGCATATAATACATCTTGCAATTACTTAGATAATGCTGTCAATATCAGCACTAACTTAGTGGTTAACACAGACCTGGTACCAGTCTACATGCTCTATGTATTATTATTTCATTAAATCTTCACAGCAACTCAAGAGGTAGCCACTATTATCTCTCCCATGGTCTAGCTCTGAATCTAAGCAGAAAGCCCTGCAGTAAAGGAATAGAATAATCTGAGCTTGACTCAATCTGTCTCCATTTCCTTGCTCACATCAACTACATTAGAATATCTTTTATATTATACAAAAAGTACTTTCTAGGTTTGGTTTAAGCCATCTTACCTTACATCATGGTCAGGAAATTATTTTCTAAATTACATTCTGAATATTCTATTCACTTGTTTTTATAGTTAGGTCTATGATCAACCTGACATTGATTTTACGCGTAATATGAAGTCAAAGGCCATATTCTATTTACCCTCCTATAGAAATACAAAATTTCTAGAATATTTATTGAAGAATTAATCTTTATTTCATTGATCTTTCTTATAAATATTTGCTTATATATATACATGTATATATTTGTGAGCTTTCTTCTTTTATTTTTTTTTAACTGGTTTATTTCTCTATCTTTGTGCAAATACCACACTGTCTGAGTTAGAAAGATTCTTCATTTAAGACAAGAATTTTCTCTCCATAGCTTTCTCTTAACCACTGTGATGTTCTATCACAAAGAAAGTGAAGAGTGAAAACTGTATACTTTGTACCTACACCAATATTCTCAGCTGTACCTTGAATAAAAAGGAGGTTTAGAACCAGTGAAGTTCCATTTAGTACCCACTTCTGGTCACTTGGAGAAGACCCATCTCAGCACAGGAGATGGACTATTTCTTTTTACAATCTCTTCCCCTCCTCTCCCCACGCACAAACACCCTTCACGCATTCAGATATAAACACTGACACACACATTAACATAAGCACATATACATTGACAAACATTCATAGAAATAGAAATACACACTGGCCAACACATTCAGCAGAAACACACACCAACATACAGATTCTGAAACAAACATTGACAGAAACACAAAAACTGACACACCATCAACTTAAACATACATCAGCACACTGACACTGAGACACTTTTTGATACAAACACACAAACTGAAACACACACATAACATGAACACACATTTAAACATAGAAGTAGTATTATGAGTATCAGTTTGCTTCAGAAAATTAAAATAAGACATTCCTCCTCCTCCTCCTCCTCCTCCTCCTCTTCCTCCTCCTCCTCCTCCTCCCTCCCACCATCCTCCTCCTTCTTCATTTTTGAGACAGAGTCTTGTTCTATTGCCCAGGCTGGAAGGCAGTGGTGCAATCTCGGCTCACTGCAGCCTTAACTTCCCAGTCTTAAGCAATCCTCCCACCTCAGCCTCCCAAGTAGCTGGGACTACCGGTTGGCACCAGCACGCCTGGCTAATTTTTTTTTGTTTTTTTGTAGAAATGGTGTCTCACTATGTTGCCCAGGCTAGTCTTGAACTCTTGGGTTCAAGGGATCCTCCCACCTCAGCCTCCCTAAGTGCTGGGATTACACATGTGAGCCACAATGCCTGGCCCATTCCCTCTTTCATTAGGCAAAATCTAGGAGTTCTCTTTCCTGCCTAGGCCCCTTTCCTGATCCTAGCAGGCAGGACTTCTCTGGAGGAATGGGTCTTGCATAGCTCAGATTTCTGAGATCCTGGTGATGTGAAATGCCATTTTTCATCTTCACTGACATTGTTAACATCTCCCCACTTTTGCAGGGTGAAACTGCACATCTGAAATGCAGGAATATCAATGGTGTGGACACCAGAGGCTGTTTTATTCCTCATTGGTCTTTGCAGGAGTGGATAGTGCAGAAGATGGGAAGGAAGAGGCAAGTGATATGGAAGTATTTACTCAAAGCATCCATGTAGGAACCATGAGCTAAGACAGAGGGAGGAACAGGAAGAGAAAAACCAGTCCATGTTCCTCACCTCATCCTCTCTGTCTTGTGGAGGGAGCCCAGCTTGGGTGTGGCACGAAGAATTCCTCCTAGGGCAAAGAAAGGTGCACACCATTCCTCCCTCCTTCCTCTGCCGCCTGCTGCTGGGCTCTATTCTCATGAGGAAAACTTGCACATACAGACCTGAAAACCAGTTTTCATCACAGACAGCAATTTCAAAGCCTCTGAGGTGTGTGTGCAGGCTCTGGTGTGGACAAAGCTCAATTGTGCAGTGTTGCTTCCAGCACCTGTCCTATGCCCATCACTGGAAAAGGATTTAGGAAACTGCAGCCTGAAATGAAGAATGGTGTTTCCAGGGCACACTCATCCCCACAAACCTGCATGAGGATTCCACAGCCCAGTGTTGCTGAATACACGTGGAGGGACGGTCTAGGGTCCAAGCTCACGTGCATTTAAGTTGGACCACATATTGTTCAGATTCCACAGAGGTAAGATAGAAAATAGTGTCCAAAAAGTCACAAGCTTAAGGGAGGGGAAGAGGCCAGAAAAGGAAAGGCAACTAGAAGTTCCTTATTTTTGATACCCTCCCAGACTTATCTCTATGCAATGGAAGTTAGGGTGCAGGTGAGGAACCCCCTACCGCATGCCAACAGAAGTACTCATACTCCATGAAGGCCCTTCCAAGTACCAAAGTCAGAAGTGGGTCCCCTTTCCTGCCTCTCACTTAGCCTTCAGCAGCTGTGTCCTAGAAAGAGGTTCTACACTGTTAAGAGCCCGGATATTTCATATTAACATTTACAGAAAATTCAATTATACACGGCTTCCACATGGTATGGTCAAATCTCATGCTCATCCAAGTGCATTAACCCTGAGTCTTGCCCTTTTGGTTACTTGAGGTGCAGACTGAGGGCACCACCCCAGACCCCAGTTACATCTTTCAGCAAAGAGGGCTACCTGAGGTACTGTTGGTGTCCACTGTGTAAGGCCATCTTCCCAAGAGCATAAGAACTTGAACTTCATCTTTTTCTCAGATTCCTTTTTTATTCCATTTCTTAATTCACCAAGGTTCAGAATTTGTCTTTTATTCCCCATATCACAACCAGGTACCCTTATATTCCATAATGAAATACGTATTTCATTACATTGAAGAGGGCATTCACTTCAAATGCACCACTTTTATGTAACACTAAAAAAAACAAAAGCGTAGCTAACTACATAATGACAGTATTCCAAGATGCCATTGGTTTAAAAATGTTAAAATGTGGGAAATATGCATATTAAAAAGAACAAGTATTTTTGAGTAAGGCCAGGATTTGGTGAAGAAGAAATTAGAAATATATTTATGTGAGTTATGCTAATAAAGGAGTTAAAATTGCTGATTAGAAAACATATGGGATGAAGGAATTTATGAGAATAAAATGGCCAATCACTTTCCTGAGACCCAGCCAACCTTTTCTATTTTATGGAGATCTGCCATTTTGCAAAGAAATGTGTGCAGGCCCCAGGAACATGCCTCTTAGCCAAGAGAGAGACAGGGTGGGAATGAGCTGTTGGTCGCTTTTCAATTCTGGACCAGAAACCACCGAGCAAAAAATGGAGAATGAAGGTAACCAAGTGTGAAGGGCCTGCATGTCCACAGATCAGAGCATCCTCTGAGCTACATGGCAGCCTGCGCCCAATAGGTGGGATTCTATGTCAATCCACTGTGTTTTCACAGTGATGGGCCATAGGATCCCTGAGCTCATTTGGAGCTATTCAGGCTAGTGAGGAGAAGGAACAGGTGGACATCAGTCTTTCCTGGCCTCTCTCCCCAAATCCCTGGTCCCTGCCCTCAACTGCTAACGAGCGTCAAGAATAGCACAGAGACGGCTGATCTTGTTCTTCTCCTGCCAATTCCCTGGAGGCCATCATCAGGTCTACTTGGGAGAAATTAAAGCAAAACAAACAAACAAAACAAAACAAACAAAACCATCCCTGAGTTTTTATGCCACATTTCTGAAAAACACCGAAATTCCTAACCTAAGTCATTAAATGCCCCAATCACAATCACATTCAAATTGCCATCACCCCGTCCTGACACCCAACCTGATGGGTCTGAAAACTGGAGGCCTGTCATGCAGATGAGACAAAGAGGAGCACAGCATAAGTATTGAGAACAAAGCAATGTTCCTCATCTCATTGCTGCCTCCTTTCCATTCCACATCCAACATCACTCTGTACATAAAGGTAGAGGCTGGTATCAGCACTTCCTAGAGCACCTGGTTGGTGGAGAGGAACAGATCAAATGGAGCCACACGTCTCTGCCTCAGTGCCCAGAACGTCGCACGTCAGCACTGTGGGCTCAGAGGGGACACTGTGCAGGTGAGCACTGAAGGGAAACTGACATGCCCACTCCTCCCAAACTCCTAAGTCACGAGCTTTCTCCTTTTCTGTGAAAAACGATGAGGTTGTAGACTTCATGAAGAGTCACAAGAACCCCCATGAGCACCACACAGACACCAGGGAGAGCCCGTCAGCAGAAAGGACTGCAGAATCTTCTCCATGCCCCACCTCCCTCCACTTGCCTCCTACCGGCTTCCCCCCATGGGAAACATAACAAGATGATGAGTCTATAACAGATTTCCCCAGCAGGGTCCATTCCACAGCATGACTTCAGCCCCATAGCGGCCCCTACACTGTGGAAAATTGTGGAGATCAGAGCCTGGACATGAAGACCCAGGCCCACAGGACATCTCAACTTTCAGAGATCAGGCTCCTCAGGCACAGTTGTTCTCTTCAGAAATCCTCTGGTCTCTCCTCTGTCCTCTGAAGCCTTTACCACACATCTGCTGAAGCTGTTTCATTTGCACATACAAAGTCATGTGTTTTTAGGGTATCTTCTCTAATCTGCATCTTAGAAGAACCTCCAGAACCCTTCCCTAGTAGTTCCAAGTTACATGTGGAGGGGATGCAGATGGGCTGAAAAGGGAAACTTCTGGGAAGTTATCTTGGTAATTGTTTTTACAATAAAAGGTCAAAACAGATCCTGACGAACCCTGAGCTCAAGACAATAGGAGAAGTAGGTATGGAGAGAAAAATTAAGCCTACCACACCCAACATCCCTCCTTTGTGAGTAGAGCTAAGGTTAGGGTGCAGACATGAAGGAGGTATCATAGAGAACCGAGAAAAAAATCTTCCTAGGGTCTGTGCCAGCCAAGAGAACCACAGGAGTGCCCTGGAGCCACCCACAATGCCCCAAGCTGGATGTCTCCAACTCTGATCAGCAACATGTTCTATACAGAGACATGTGGACACAAGCCACATCCTAAGGCTCCAATACAGAACAAATCTGGCTCTGGTTTTGAACATTCTTCTCTGTACTACCTCAACATCCACAACATCTTGTCCAGACTCTGTAACCAAAAATCGCTTCAAGGAAAAAGCAGCCTGGAATAAGGAATGAGGCTGGATAGGTCAGAAGAGCTCCTGGCAAGGAAGAGATGATCTGTCCACACAGCCATCTGGAAACCACCTCACCACTCACCGACATCAGCTCCCTTGCAACTTCCCATCTCAACATGTTCAACATGTGTCTATCAGAATTTAGTTTTTTGCTCTCCATATACTTTCTTTTTTATATTTATTTATTTTCAAACTAATAGATAAAAATTGATGCATGTATTATGCACAATACAATGTATGCTTTTTTTTCCCTCTTTTTTAAGATTCCAAGGGTAGATGTGAAGGTTTTTTACGAGGGTATATTGCACGATACAGAGGCCTGGAGTACAACTGAACCTTCACATAGGGAGTGAGAACAGTGGATAGTTTTTCAACTCTTGCCTCCCTCTCTCCTTCCCCTCCTTGTATTCCTCAGTGTTTGTTGTTCCCATCTTTATGTCCATGCGTAACCAGTGTTTAGCTCTCTCAAGTGAGACCACGTGGCATTTGTTGTTCTGTTTCTGCATTAGTTTGTTTAGAATAGTGGCCTCCAGTTGCATCCATGTTACTGCCAATAACATGATTTCATTTTTATGGCTGTGTAGTATTCCATGGCATATGTGGAGCACATTTTCTTCATTCAATCCACTGTAGATGGGCAACTGGGTTGATTCCGTGTCTTTGATATTGTGCAATATGATGTTTTGAAGTATAAGTACATTGTTGAATGGCCAAATCTAGCTGATTAATGTGCATTTTCACTCATACATTCTTCACTTTGTGGTGAGAACACTTAGCATCTACTCTCTTAGCAATTTTTAAGAATACAATATGCTGTCATTAACGGTAGTCACCATGCTGCACTCTAGACTTCTTGAACTGATTTCTCCTAACTGTAAGTTTTTATCTTTTGACTAATATATCTACCCCCCACCAACCAGTCCAGTCCCTCGTAACCTCCATTCTACTTTCTACTTCTAAATCACTTTCAATATGAGGCCCTCACAAGCCTACTGAGAACAATGCTGGACAAGTACCTGTGGGCAGAGAAGCAGCAATTTGGCACAGGGTCCTGGCCGTCCCCACTTGTTTTCTTTCCATAGTGAGGGGAAAGAAACTGAAGGGAGGATCTTGAGGAGGAAAGGCAGAGCAGCAGCCTCCCCACTCCCTTCTGACAATTTAGCCCCTGAGGGTACAAACAGCTGGACAGACGGGTGCAAAGTAGTCTCTCCAAAACACTGGAGCAAGACCTTGGCCAGCACAAATGATGACTAGTTCTTGCTTTCCCCTTTCAACTGCCTGCCTCTGCCTCTGTTCTCAGAAAATGAGTCTGTAGAATTATGAGATTCATTTGTACAAAAAGCCCAATTTCAAAGGATCTGGATATTCTGGAAATTACAAATATGCCTTGGTACCTCCTACGCCTCACAAATGATGCTTCTGGGGTTCAAAGACCCAGAAAACTCAGACATAAAAAGGAATTAATTAATGTCATTTGCAATGACCTGGATGAGATTGGAAGCTATTATTCTAAGTGAAGTTACCAGGAATGGAAAACCAAACATTGTACGTTCTCACTCTTAAGTGGGAGCTAAGCTATGAGGATGCAAAGGCATAAGAATGGCACAATAGATTTTGGGGATCCAAACCAGGAAACACTGGGAAGGGAGGTGAGGGATAAAGACTACAAATAGGGTGCAGTGTACACTGCTCAGGTTATGGGTGAACCAAAATCCCACAAATCACCACTAAAGAACTTACCCATATAACCAAACACGACCTGTTTTCCCAATAACCTATGGAAATACATATATATATATTTTTTGAGATGGAGTTTCACTCTTGTTGCCCGGGCTGGAGTGCAATGACATGATCTCGGCTCACCGCAACCTCTGCCTCTCGGGTTCAAGCGATTCTCCTGCCTCAGCCTCCCGAGCAGGTGGGATTACAGACATGCACCACCACACCTGGCTAATTTTGTATTTTCAGTAGAGACGGGGTTTCTCCATGTTGGTCAGGCTAGTCTCGAACTCCTGACCTCAGGTGATCCACCCGCCTCGGCCTCCCAAAGTGTTGGGATTACAGGCATGAGCCATCACGCTCAGTCAAAAAAAAATGAGTTCATGTCCTTTGTAGGGACATGGATGAAATTGGAAATCATCATTCTCAGTAAACTATCGCAAGAACAAAAAACCAAACACCGCATATTCTCATTCATAGGTGGGAATTGAACAATGAGATCACATGGACACAGGAAGGGGAATATCACACCCTGGGGACTGTTGTGGGGTGGGGGGAGGGGGGAGGGATAGCATTGGGAGATATACCTAATGCTAGATGACGAGTTAGTGGGTGCAGTGCACCAGCATGGCACATGTATACATATGTAACTAACCTGCACAATGTGCACATGTACCCTAAAACTTAAAGTATAATAATAATAATAATAAATGTTTTAAAAAAAATGCACACAGCCTGGGCACCAGATAGTGGCCAAGAAGTGAAGGATTCCAGTCAAGTTTCTGTTCTTATTCATTCGGTGCTGGGGAAATACATTGGCTGCATCAACTCTTAACTCTTCACTTTTTAACCAGTGTCTTGAATTGCTATCAGAAATTTCCCCATTCCCTACCAGGGACTTAGATATCTGTCCCATGAGCCAAGCACCCCCAGATACAGAGGGAGAGTTGCAGTAGTCGTCTGCTGCTGTGTCACATAAAAGCTTGGATTTCAGTGCTTTCATAAAGAAAAGGCTCTTTGACACATATGTGCTATAATGTGAGCATAATGGGTCTTTCTCAGCAAATATTCAGGTACAACCCTTGCCCAGCCTACCTTCCAATGATGAGGCCATGATATGAACTCTGACCAATGATAAACGATGTGTGTCACTTCCAGGCATAATCAGTCAAGGGCTGTGTGCTGCCTGCAACTCCTCTCTTGCTGTGGTGGCCTTGGAAGCCTAGAATCCCAGAAGACATGGCTAAAACATATGGGAGGTGTGCCTGACCAATATCAATCCTTGTATGATTAGTAAATTAAATTTTATTCTTATAAGTCCATCTGACCATGGAGACTTCTTTATTACTACAGTAGCCTCTAGCCTATCTTGGGTTGCAAATGGTTTAAGAGTTCAGTAGAGTCTGGGCACTTCCATGGATACCAAATTCAACGAGGCTGTGGAATCACAGTACTGTGTATGAAACGGCCTGCCGTCTACATTGATAAAGAGGGATGAATGGCAAGGCAAGGGGAGAACAGAAAAGAAAAAACAAAAAGCAAACCTACCTGGCTTCTCTCTGTCTCCCCAATCTCTTCACATCGGGTCTAAACACGGACACAGGAACCCTAGGGATTCACTGGGGGCAAGACTCAGCTTTGCACTCAAAACAGAACGCCTCTTCCCCCCATTAAATAAGAGCCCCTCTCCAGTAAGCCTTAGAGAGCTGTGCTTTTCATTTGCTTCTTCTTGAAGTTTAGATCCACCCATAGCCTAGTTCAATGCACTAGACAATGCATCAGAACCACTAGGTGACCTTGGGAATATGGATTGCTGCGCCTCATCCTTGGATTTTCCCATTCAGCCGGTCAGGGTTGGGGGTCCAACAACCTGTTTTAATGCCGGGGTTAGCTACTGTTCAAATCCCATTCTTTTTTCCCTCTAGTTTTTCTTATTAGTTCTTTGATGATCAATGAAGGGACACCATTCCTCCTAGTGTGTGCGGAATTGGTGGGTTCTTGGTCTCACTGACTTCAAGAATGGAGCAGGGGACCCTCGCGGTGAGTGTTACAGCTCTTAAGGTGGCGCATCTGGAGTTTGTTCCTTCTGATGTTCAGATGTGTTTGGAGTTTCTTCCTTCTGGTGGGTTCGTGGTCTCGCTGGCTCAGGAGTGAAGCTGCAGACCGTCGCAGTGAGTGTTACAGCTCTTAAGGCAGCGCGTCTGGAGTTGTTCCTTCCTCCTGCTGGGCTCCTGGTCTCGCTGGCTTCAGGAGTGAAGGGGCAGACCTTCGTGGTGAGTGTTACAGCTCATAAAAGCACTGTGGACCCAAAAGGTGAGCAGTAGCAAGATTTATTACAAAAAGCGAAAAAACAAAGCTTCCACAGTGTGGAAGGGGACCCCAGCCCATTGCCACTGCTGGTTCAGGCAGCCTGCTTTTATTCTCTTATCTGGCCCCACCCACATCCTGCTGGTTGGTAGAGCCGAGTGGTCTGTTTTGACAGGGCGCTGATTGGTGTGTTTACAATCCCTGAGCTAGACACAAAGGTTCTCCACCTCCCCACCAGATTAGCTAGATACAGAGTGTCACACAAAGGCTCTCCAAGGCCCCACCAGAGTAGCTAGATACAGAGTGTCGATTGGTGCATTCACAAACCCTGAGTTAGACACAGGGTGCTGATTGGTGTGTTTACAAACCTTGAGCTAGATACAGAGTGCCGATTGGTGTATTTACAACCCCTGAGCTAGACATAAAGGTTCTCCACGTCCCCACCAGACTCAGAAGCCCAGCTGGCTTCACCCAGCGGATCCCGCACCTGGGCTGCAGATGGAGCTGCCTGCCAGTCCCTCGCCGTGTGCCAGCACTCCTCAGCCCTTGGGTGGTCGATGGGACTGGGCGCCCTGGAGCAGGCGGCGGCGCTCATCTGGGAGACTCGGGCCCCACAGGAGCCCACGGAGCGGGTGGGAGGCTCGGGCATGGCGGGCTGCAGGTCCCGAGCCCTGTCCCGCGGGAAGGCAGCTAAGGCCCGGTGAGAAATCGAGAGCAGCGCCGGTGGGCTGGCACTGCTGGGGGACCCAGTACACCCTCCACAGTCGCTGGCCTGGGTGCTAAGCCCCTCATTGCCTGGGGCCCGCACCGCCGGCCGGCTGCTCCAAGTGCGGGGCCCGCCAAGCCCATGCCCACCCGGAACTCCAGCTGGCCCGCAAGCGCCGCCCGCACCCCGGTTCCCGCTCGTGCCTCTCCCTCCACACCTCCCTGCAAGCTGAGGGAGCCGGCTCTGACCTTGGTCAGCCCAGAAGGGGGGCTCCCACAGTGCAGCAGTGGACTGAAGGGCTCCTCAAGTGCCCCTAAAGTGGGAGCCCAGGCAGAGGAGGCGCCGAGAGCGAGCGAGGGCTGTGAAGACTGCCAGCACGCTGTCACCTCTCACTAGGCTTCCCCAGAGTCTCTGAGCAGCACAGTCACTAGGGCAGAAGTGACAGTTACAGGAAGGGATGATAGGTGTTGGAGCCTGATATACTTTGATTCTGTGTCCCCGCCCAAGTCTCATGTCGAATTTTAATCCTCAGTGTGGGATGGGAAGCTTGGTGGAGGTGATTGCATCAAGGGGGCAGTTTCTCATCAACTGTTCAGCACCATTGCCCTTGGTATTGTCATTGCGATAGTGAACGCGTTCATAGGAGATTTGGTTGTTAAAAGTGTGTGGCACCTCCTGCTTTGCTGTCTTGCTCCTGCTCCACCATGTAAGATGCGCCTGCTTTCCCTTCACCCTCCACCATGATTGGAAGCTTCCTGAGGCCTCCCCAGAAGCAGAAGCTACCATGCTTCCAGTACAGCCTGCAGAACCATGAGCCAATTAAACCTCTTTTCTTTATAAATTACCCAGTCCAGGTATTTCTTTATAAAAGCACGAGAATGGACTAACATAGAGCCACACTGAGATTTGGCCAAGGAGCTACTCCACACAGAATGGCAAAGCAGCACAGAATGAGATCGGGGCTGTGTTTACAAGGGGAGGAGGTTCTCCAAGCAGCATGCCACAGTGTTCCACTGTGCACCAAGCTCCAAATAAGGTGATCAGGTGCCACTAGACTTCTAGAAGGAGGAGGAGTGTCCTACTTTCTGGCATACTCCTGAGCCACTTGTTGCCATTTTATAGTGTTGCTGGCCTGGCCAACAATTCTCAGAAAACAGCCAACTCAAACATGCACACATGCATTCAATGGATACTTGAAGCCATATCTCAAGGTCATGTTCCCACCCTGATATAAGAAAGGGATTCTGGGAATTAGAAACCTGAAAGGGGGAATGTAGCTGATCAGGCACACGGCTCATATCTCTACATCCAGGATTGTTAGTACTCTCTACTCAGACTTCACAAAGCCTCCTTTGCCCTGCACTATCTCATGAAATTCCCAGCACAGGTTCATCACAATAATTAAACAGGAATCCTGAAAACTATTCATGTTTCTTCTTTACCAGACATTTGCCACACGGATTCCACAGCTCATTCCAAACCATGACACCTCAGACTCAGATGTAGCCAGGGCTGCTAAGGGTAGAGCAGCAGCACATTTCATGCTGAAAAAAAGTATTGCTGCCATGAAAGACAGTGTGGCATTGTTGATGGCTGCTCTCAACCCAGAGGCACAGACGAATACGCTGCAGGAAGATGCACACAGAACTCTTCTTTCCGATGGACATGAGGGAATAGCAACACACTGGAGATGAAACATTGCCCATTATTTCTCAGAACTGGGCAAAAGTTCCTAAGATTCAACTTCCTCTGTTTAAATATCTAGAAAACCAGCACCCACCCCAAAACTCAATTCATTCCAATCCCAGCCTCCTATTTTATTTTAATTGACAAATAATGATTGTAAATATTTGTGGAGTAAAATGTGATGTTTGATATTTATTTACCATTATGTAATGATTAAATCAAGTTAATTAACATATTCATCACCTCAAATATTTATAATTTTTGTGGTGAGGAAAATTGAATAGTAGAGTTAATAGAAATTAACTCTTGTTAATTGCTCATTTCAATGAACTCTATTAACAATTTCAAGATATATAATACATTAACTATGGTCACCATGCTATGCGATATATATTAAAATATCTTAATGAATATTTATATTTAATAAATATTTTGATAAATATTAAAAATGTATTTCTTCTGTCAAATAAAATGTTGTACCCTTTGACCAATAGCTCCTCATTCCCCATCTCTCACCCTCACCCCGCTCCTGGTAACCACCATAATACTCTTTATTTCTGTGATTTTGGCTTTTTTTACAGAATATATTATATATAAATGAGATAATGGAATATTCATCTTTCTCTTGGTGGCTTATTTCCCTTAGTATCTTCTAAGTTCATCTATGTTGTTGAGAATAACAGAATTTTCTTTTTTTCAAAGGTCGAATAATATTCCATTGTGTATATGTATCACATTTTCTTCATTCATGTGATAGTGGACATATAAGGTGATTTCATATCTCGGCTCTTGTGAATAATGCTGCAATGAACATGGGAGTGCAGACATCACTTTGACATACTGATTTCATTTCTTTTAAACATATACCCATTAGGATTGCTGGATCATGTGGTTGCTCTGTTTTTAATGTTTTGAGAAACCTCCATGTTGTTTTCTGTATTGCTGTACCAACCTTACATTCCCATCAAGAGTGTGCAAGGTTTCCCTTTCTCCGCCCCTTTGGCAACTCTCATCTTTCATTCTTTTGATAAGTTATCCCAATAGATACAAAGTGGTATTTCATTGTGGTTCTGATTTGCACTTCACAGATGATCAGTTATGCAGAACATGTTTTTCATATACCTGCTTGCTGTTTCTATGTCTTATTTTTGAGATATGTCTTTTCATGTCCTTTGCCCATTTTTCAATTGGTTTACTTTTTTTCATGCAATCGAGTGGAGCTCCTCATGTATTGTGGGTATTAATCTCTTATCAAATGTATGGTTTGCAAACCGTTTTCTCAATCTGTATATGCTGTCTCTTTACTCTGTTGTTTTAATTGTTGTGCAGAAGTTTTAGTTTGATGCAATATCATTTGTCTTTTTTTTTTTTTTTTTTGAGATTGAGTCTCGCTCTGTCGCCCAGGCTTGAGTGCAGTGGCGCTATCTCGGCTCACTGCAACCTCTGTGTCCCAGGTTCCAGCGATTCTCCTGCCTCAGCCTACTGAGTAGCTGGGACTACAGGCACGCGCCACCACACCCAGCTAATTTTTGTATTTTTAGTAGAGATGGGGTTTCACCATATCGGTCAGGCTGGTCCAACTCCTGACCTCATGATCCGCCCGCCTCAGCCTCCCAAAGTGCTGGCATTACAGGCCTGAGCCACCATGCCAGGCCCTATTTTTGTTTTTGTTGCCTGTGCTTTTGAGGTCAAACCCAAAAACATCATTGCCAAGACCAATATCACAGAGCTGTTTCCCCTGTTTTCTTATAGTATGTTTACAGTTTGCATCTTACATTTAAGTCTTTAATCCCCCTTTTTTTTTTGAGACAGAGTCTTACTCTGTCGCACAGGCTGGAGTGGGCGTGATCTTGGCTCACTGATCTCCGCCTCCCGGGTTCAAGCAATTCTAGTGCCTCAGCCCTCCGAATAGCTGGGATTACAGACATGCACCACCACACTTGGCTAATTTTTTTTATTTTTAGCAGACAGGGTTTCACCATGTTGGTCAGGCTGGTCATGAACTCCTGGCCTTAAGTGATCCACTGCCTTGGCCTCTCAAAGCGCTAGGATAACAGGTGTGAGCCACTGTGCCCGGCCTAATCCATTTTTAATTAAATTTTGTGTATGTTGTGAGATAGGGGTCTAATTTCATTCTTCTGTATGTGTATATCCACTTTCCCAACACCATTTATTAAAAAGACTTTCCTTTTCCCATTGTGCTTTCTTGATACCTTTGTCAAAAACCAATTGACCATAAGAAGCATGCATGTGGGTCCATTTCTAAGCTCTCTATTCTGTTCCATTGATTGATGTTTCTGTTTTTTTGGCCAGTGCCATGTTGTTTTGATTACTAAAGCTTTGTACATATTTTGAAATCCGGTTGTATGATGTCTCCAGCCTTGTTCTTTTTGCTCAACATTGCTTTGGGTATTTGAGGTCATTTGTGGTTCCATACAAATTTTAGATATTTTGTCTATTTTTGTGAAAAATAACATTGGAATTTTGATATGGATTGCATTGAATGTGTAGATTGTTTTAGATAGTATGATCATTCTATTTCTTAAGCCATGGACTCTTAGGGTCACCCTTGTCTAAACGAGGAGCCCCTCCAGGTTTCAGAAATCACAGAAGCCTGTCCAGTTGTGGGATGCCACCACCAAACGGTGAATACAACACCATGGGCCACTGACAGAGATAGGCAGGCCAAACAACAGCAAAGAAGAGTCTCTCTCCTGCTCTCCCACACCTGCAACCCCCATGTGCTCCTTAAACTACAGAAGTGTCAGAGACACTGTGATAATCCTCATATGCCAGGAGACTCCCAGAAAATTCCTCTCAGTATTGTGGGCTGCCTTCCAAGGTACCCTATCTACCTTTCCCCACCCTCTTGGTCAAACCCTTTGAGGAAGCCTGGCGCCAATTTTATCCTCAGCATTTGAGAAGCAGCACAAGCTCAGAGGCCCTCCTTGTGCTAAGCTGTGCTACTCTTGGTGAAGCTCTTCCTCAGCACAGACTCCCCACTCCAGCTCATGGGGTCACCTTGACCTGTTCTCAGGAACCAAATCTGCAGCTAGGAGCCATAAAATGTTTCTACTTAGGGCCTCCACTTAGAAATTCCGGGAAGTGCTGCCCTGGAGTGGGCTGCCTCAGCACACACTGTCCTCGGAAGGACAGCATGCTGCTCCCAGCCCCAGCCTTGAAAATAGTTCCAAGTGTTCCTAGCCTGGCCTGAGGAAGGAAGCTGATGGCAACTCTTTTCTCACCAATCCCTTAAAGACGTCCTGCCACCCCCACCGTTGCCTCATTACACCCCTCCCAGTAGCCCCTAGTTAATCACACGCCCTCGCACAGACACCTTCCGCAGGGACCTCGTCCCACGGCAGAGGCCCAGCAGGTACGTGGGGACTAGGCCTTCAGCGAGCAAACTGCGTAAATCTGAGCAGAGTCACGTTTTTTGCCGGTTTCCATGGTGACAGAAAGCAGAAAACAGGCAATCAAGGATAATAAGCCCCGTGGGCGGCCGGAATCGGTGAGAGCAAATTAAGCCCCCATTTTTCTTCCTCTCACTTCCCCGCCTCCATAGCCTCTCGGGAATATAAACAAGCGTCAAGCTCCAGCAAAGGGGGCCCTTTAGGGCTCCATGGCAACTGCCTCATTCTCCTTCCTCCCTCCATCCTGCCTTTCCCGCTTTGCCTGGATACACCACCTCTCTGCATAAAGCCTCCATTTCAAACAATCTGGTGACAATGTGGCCACTTCACAACAACCAATCCCGAGCCTGCCCAGAAGAGGCTTTGGGGGCCAGTGACCTGGACAGGGAGGAGTGGGGCAAGGATGGAGCAGAGGCTGCACAGCCAGGAACAGAACAACACTGCTGTTTTCAAGCTATGTCCCCCTTCTCTCTAATTATTTATTATGAAAAGTTTCAAACCCACAAAAAAGTTGAAAGGATTGTAGACCTCTATAATATCTTCACCTAAATTCACCCATTGTTAATAGTTTGACATATTAGCAGTCTATTTGCCCCTCCATCCATCCATCCACCACCTACCTATCATCTAACTTCACTTATTTACTTTCCTACTACAGAACTATGATGCTATCACATCTGAGAACATTAAGATCAATTCAGTATTTAACATGAAGCCCATATTTAAACTTTCCCTATCAGCCCCAAGATGTCCTTTAGAGCTTATTTTATTTTTTGGATCCAGAAGCCAAGCAAGGTTTATGCATTTTATTTGGCTGTTTTGCCTCTTTAGTGTCTTTTAATCTATAGGGATCATCCTCACCTGTGCCCAACCCACAGAGGTCTTTTTCAAAAATGACATTGTTTTCCAAGAGGCCAGGACAGTCTTGTAGGATGTTCCACATTTTGGATTATTACTTCCGGATTAGATTCAGGTTTAACATGTATGGTTATGTTGGGCTCTTTTTCCATCATATCGGGAAACATGTAATGCTAAGGTTTCCATTCCATCAGTTTGATCCATCAGTTTCCATTCCATTTGATCACCACCCCATTGTACAGGTCCATTTTCCCTTCTGGGATGGATAAGTTATCTGTAGAGTGGTGTTTTGAGACCATGTGAATATTCTGGTACCAAAGGACTTTTCACCAGATGGTTGTAGCTTCAACCAATGATCCAACCTGAGTCAGTTATTATACTGGGGTTGGAAAATAATACTTTTCTACTTTTGTTAAAAATAGACTCTTTCTGTAGTTATTATATAGCAATAAAAAAAACCCTCACTAATTCCATGTGTCTCTGTGTCTATCATCTATCTACTCATCTATCTATCTACCCATCCATCAATCTATTTATCTATATTGTATTCAGGTAAAATTAACACACTGCATATGTTTAAATGGTACAATTTGATGAGTATTCACATGTGTATACACCCATGAAATCATCACCACAAACAGAATAACAGTTGTTTCGATACCTGCCCCCTAAATTTTTGTGTCCCTTTGTAATCCCACCCAAAATCCCACCAACAGGCAACCACTTACATACTTTCGTTCACTGTAAATTGGTATTCATTTTTTGGAAGCTTATGTACATAGAATAACATAGTATGTATTTTTTGGTCTTGTTTCTTTACTCAGCATAATGTTTTTGAGATTCACCTATAATGTATATATCAAGTTTGTTCCATTTTTATTGCTAAGTAGTATTCCATTACCTCTTTTTAAATTTTTTGATTTGAAATAATTTTAGACTTACAGAGAAATGGTAAACCTAGTAAAGAGAGTTCCTATATACTCTTCTTCCATCTTCCCCTATTGTTAGCATCTTAACCATGGTACGTTTATCAAAAACAACACAATAAAATTGGTACAAAATCTTAAACTAGAGTCTTTATTCAGACTTCATGAGATTTCCACTGATGTCCTATTTTCTGTTCCAGTAGCCAAATCTGTATACCATGCTGAATTTAGTCACCTTTGTCTCTTTGAATCTTTGACAATTTCTCAGTCTTTCTTTGCTTTTCTTGACATTGACACTTCTGAAGATTACTGGTCAGGTATTTTGTAGAATGTTCCTACATTTGGGTCTTTCTGATATTCTTTTATTAAACAAAGATGATGGATTTGAGAGAATATCAAGAAGTAAAGTTTGCTTCACCTCACATACAATTAGGGGTTATGTGATATCCACATGACGTGTCTGTCACTGGTGATGTTAACCTTGACCGCTTGGTTAAGATTGTGTCTGCCAGGTTTCTCCACTGTTGAGTGTCTATTTTTCTCTTTCCATGCTTCTAAAATGAAGTTACTAAGCCCACATTCAAATGAAGGGCACCAGCCATATAAGAGAAGGGAACTCTAGAAGATTGCAGCCCCCAACTGTTTGACTCACTCTCAGCCAGTGATGTCTTCCCAGTTGAGGCCCCAGACATTATGAAGCAGAGAAAAGTCCTTTCTACGTGGGTTCATATTCACTAAGTCCATGAGCATTGGGAAGTCTCTACATTTAATTTTTGAATTTTTCTAAAAAAATATTTGCTCCTTATCTCCCATTTATTTATGTATGCAATCATATTTTATATCATTATGAACTCATGGGTATTTATTTTATTATATTATTTGTGTTATAATCTCAAAACTAGCCTTAATTATTTTGCTGCTCAAGTTGTTGCAGCTTTTTTTTTTTTTTTTTTTTGGCCCTTGGGAACTCTTCTGTGTCTACTTCTGGGTCCTTACAACATGCCTCCATCTTTTTTTTAAACTTCCTTACTTTCTGGCAGTCCAAGATGTTTTAGCCTCACCTTGTATTTTTTTCTTGACCTAGCCCTAGAATTAGCCAATTATTTGAGAAGCCTGTTTTTTTGTTTGTTTGTGTGTTTGTTTGTTTGTTTGTTGACGAAATTTCGCTCCTGTTGCCCAGGCTGGAGTGCAATGGCATGATCTCGGCTCACTGCAACTCCCGCCTCCTGGGTTCAAGCAAGTCTCCTGCTTCAGCCTCCCAACCGTCTCCTTTTATTGGAGGATATTATTTAGCTTCAGCCTCCCAACCGTCTCCTTTTATTGGAGGATATTATTTAGAAGCCAAGATCTTGGTGCTGTATGTGCTCAGGGCAGCTGGGGTGTTGCTGCCTCCATGTCTCCTCAACGGATGGAGTCAGAACACACAACATATCTTCACTCTTCACTCAGTCTTATGAGGGTTCCACCAGGCCCACAGAACTCTTAGCATCCCTTCATGAAACTCCATCCACTTGGTTATTTCATATCTTAAACCCGAGACCAACAGAGTTTAATTTCCCCCTCACACCTTAACCAGATACAGTGGCACCTCAAAACTAAATCTTTGTGGTTGCATATTGATAGGCTAAAAAGTTACTGGAATTGGGCAACTTACATGGAATCAAATAAGAGAGTCTGCATTGTGGAAAAAACAAACAAACAAAACAAAACAAACAAAAATACACATGATTGCTGCCCCAAAAGAGATGAAAGGTCAGGCAAGTCCTCCAGCTTTTCCAGCCCCCTGCCCTTCTCCCCACATCTGCTGAGAGCTGTGGAAACAGCATAGCTACAATGAAGACCCACTACAGGACACATAGAGTACAGAGCAGAGGCTCCAGGAAAACCTGCTGGCCCATCTTAAGCCCAGAGGAGTTTCCTGATCACCCCTATTACTCTCAGGAAAAAAAAAATGTGAAAAATTAGGGATGCCAATCCCAAATGTGTGTAGACAGGAAGTGTTGAACCCTTTAATGTTCCTGGTGCACAGCATGTCCTCGCCATCCCATGTTTGCTGGTCAATCCCCATGGTTTGTGAGACTTGAAGGCCAGAAGGCAGGAATGCTCCTAACAGAGAACACAGGGCATGAGCTGGGATTTATTAAGCAATCCTGTTTTCTTTACTTGGTTGTCCTGAAGTGCAAGTATTAGCCCTTTAGGCTGCCCCTCTGAAACTGCTTCTTCAGGTCACAGCTCACATCCTGGAATATTAGAGATTTTGTTCACTTTATACTTATGTCCGTACATCCCCACCCAAAGTCCTGGACCAAGGAGCTGTATGTCGAGAGAGCTATGGATAGGTATATCAACCTCAAAAAGCATATGCACAGCAGAAAGCTCCCCAGTAATCATGAGCTTTGGGTGTGCATAGGGAGAGAAGGGCCAACCTAGGTGGGGAGAAAAATAGACAAACAACCTCCCTCTCCACTCCTGTACAGTGATATGTGAGAAAAGCATGGGCTGAAATGACGAAGCTGATGGATTGAGGAAGAATCTTTGATGGATGATCTCTCCTGGCAGCATGGGCTGCCACCTGCCTTGTCCCAGCATGTGCCCTGTCCTGGTTAGACATCGCTACCTCTGTCCCCTGAGGGCTCAACCTGCTTAGATTTTCACTGGACACTACATCTCTCCAGGTATCTAGTTTCCAACTGTGGGTCTAACCCAATCACATCAGGCAGCCACGGCTTCCCCTCTGGCTCCTTGGCCTGGGGTGAGGAGAGCAGCTGGTGAGCGCCTGGCTCAGGTTTCTGAGATCAGGAAGGCCATTCCTTAGGTGCCGCTATTCTGGCCATTTGGTCAACAGGAGCCCCTCTGGCTCTCTGAGCTCTTACTTCGCCCCTGGTCAACTTTCACAGGATTTTCCATTCCTTGTCTTAAATAGATCATGGGCAGCTGTTCTTGTCATTTTATTCTACATCTTGCTTAACCCCTTGCCAGGCCTCATTCTCATTGTGACTTTAGATTCTATGAGAAACTGCAGAACATGGCCGATAGGAACACAGAGTCTGCCTCATTGACACCCCGGTGCAAATCCTGATTCTGCCTCTCAGGAGAGTGACTTTACGTAAATCATTTAACCCCTCTGTGCCACTGTCTCATCTGCAGCAGGAACATAATATTACTGATATCATGGGGTTCTAACGATGTTTAAATGAGTTAATTGTACAAAAGCCTCAGAACAGCACCTTGCAGCTCAGAAGTGCCATGGAAGTGTTGGCACCTACAAAGTACTGTTAATGCTCACACGTCTTTCCAAAATCTCAGCACTGCCCAGGTACAAGACAGGTAGGAGGTCTGATATTGTAGGTTAATGTTTTCAGGCCCAGTAGATGCTAAACACAGAATGCTAAAGACCAGAAGATGCCATTCAAAAAGGCAAGAAAGTTTTCACAGGTCTGCAAATATGAGGGCAAGTGCGTATTTTGAAGGTCCCGATTTTTCTGTAAAATCTCGCTAATAATCAAGAGAAGCTACAGGAAGCTTACATCTAGTACCTTAAATCACGTATTGTTAGAATGTGATTGATATTTCCATCACTCAACAACCCCAAAGTGAGCTCTAATTCCCAGCTCCCAAGAACAACTTTGGTCACAAAGAGCATGCTCAGAAAGAGAAGAGTGTGGGCCGGAAGAGATGGAGATGAAGATATCTGGAAATGAAGCTGACGTGGATCACTTTCAGCTTCTTATTCACGGTTCCATAATAACTTCACCTCCAGAACTCCATCTGGTAATGGGCTAAACAGGAGTCACAGAGGCAGTGGAGAATGCTGTGCTGAGCTGTGAACGTTTTTCTGTTCCCAATGAGACCCCTTGCACCTACTGGCTTCCTCTCCACCCAACATCCTACACTGCTGCTTGTAGTTACTTGACTCTCATATTTACTCTAAAGACACAAACAAATGAGCCAAATAAGAGATGAAAAACTATAAGCAGATCCTCAATGGCATTTCCTGTATTAAAATATTACATATTTTGGCCCCAATATTTATTAAAGGTACTATCATTTTTGCCTCAAAGTATCTTTCACAAAAAAATACTTTTAATGGAAAAACATTAACAAATAAGTTGTCCTTCTTTATTATCATTTTGACTGTATTACCAAATAAGGTTTTCCAATTTTATTCCATGGCAGTACAGAATATATATTCAGCTAAAGTAGGATAAGATTTTTTTAAAAAAAAAAAATCCACGTTGTGTGTTGTGAAAGTCCAAAGAGCAAATATCAAAAATTTAATTGCATATAACACTTGACCCTAGATATGTAATTTAATCCCCTTTCTTTTTCCCATTTAGTAATGAAAGTTTCAAACGAAGTTTAAAGAATCGTGTAGCTACCACCTAGATTCCACAGTTGACATTTTATTATACGTTTTCTACCAAGTATTTATCCCCATATCCATCCCTCCATTCAACTCATCCTATTCTTTGATACATTTTGAAGAAAATTGGAGATAGGCATACACATCACCCTTACATGTATCATTAATGAGATCATAATATTTGTTTACTTTTAAGATAACTTTCACCTATCATGAAATGTGCAACTATTAAGTGATGAGTTTTGACACATGGATGCAACCGTGGAACTCAAAACCCTTCAAAATATGAAAAATTCCCATCAACTCAGAAAATACTCTCAAACTCTTCCCATTTAATTCACAGCAACCACTGTTCTGATTTTTTCCTAACAATAGATTAGTTTTGCCTGTTCTCAAAACTCATATAAATGTAATTTAATTGTATGTACTATTTTGTGTTAGATTACTACTCAGAATGTTTTTGAAGCTTTTTCATATTGTTGTATGTATCAGTAGTTCCTTTTTGTTGCTGAGTAGTATTCCATTGTATACAAAAATCTGGGCACGTTGGCTCTTTCCAGGTGTTTGTAATAAGAAGCATGAATGGAAAAACGAGGCTCGTCTGCAGATTCACAGACCTGAACTCAAAAAGGGGAATGGAGTTTTGTCACCAAAATTCCTCATCATGGCATCTCTCACTTTGGTGATTTTGACATATTGGGTGATGAATAAATCTTGTGTAATTTAGACAGAGAGAAGTCAGTGTGTCTGAAACTGGGACTGTTTGTGGAAATGAGGTGAGGGCCTTTTTTCTCATATTTTGTTCCTGATACTAAAGCTGGTGATCCCCGCCAAGGAATGGAATACGTGTCAAGCGTCCTGTTGAAGAAATCATGAAGTTATTCTTCTGTTGTATTTTGCAAAAGCTTTCTTGCTTTACCATTAATATTTAGATCTGAATGACTTCGGTAGTAAGTTATTTTGTATTGTATATAGTAGAGCATATGAGGTATTTTTCCATGTTGATTCAGGCACATTGTTGAAAAGACAATTATTTCCCCTCTGCTTTACAGGATACTTGTGTGATAATGCAGGAGGCCATATATGTGTAGACCATTGCCTGTACTCTGTTCAATGATCTTGTACCACTACTGCACTGTATACGGTATTGAATCAAGCCTTGATATCTGGTAGTATAAGCTATCCAGCTTGGTGCTTTTTCTTCAAATTGCTTTGGTTTTTCTTCAGCCTTTATATTTCTGTATAAATTCTAGAATCAACCTGTGAATTTCTGAAACGTAATGCCAGAAGTTTGACTAGGATCGTACTGGATGTGTAGTCAATTCTTTAAATATGAATTGATATATTCATAATATTGATTCTTCCAATTCATGACCATGGTATTTATTTCCGCTTATTTATGTTTTTATATAAATAAAATTTTAAGTTTCCATTGAGAGGTCTTGCACATTTGAGTATGAATTATTACTAGGTATTTGATTTTTTAATACTATTATAAATGGCTGTACAAATGTATCAGGATTCTAACTGGATTATTTTTACTGACATCTGGTTACATTTACTCTAGATCAACATGTTTACATCTAGTATCTTTCTTTAGGCACTGTTTTTCCTTAGATCTTTGGCTAGTTTCCTTTGCAAACTTAGAATGCCAATGCGTTCCAAAAAAGTTATGAATGTGAAGTAAGTCTCTTTCTTATTTCCAGCGTGGGACTGATGTGAGTTCTGTACATCCTCAGGTGGAAACATAAAATTGGTTTTCAATCTTTGTGGGTTTTTTTTAAGTAGTCCATTTAATGTAATTAGTGTTATATCTGAGTTTCACTTGATTTATTTCTTCTCTTATGTCTTAAACACTTTAAAATTAATCAAATATTTTAATCATTTATTTTTTACTCTAAAATTTCTATTTAATATTATTTTATTTTATTGTTCTTATTGGCTATACAATGGATTACAATATGCTCTTTTAACTTCATAAAGCCTAATTTGAATAGCTACTTTTATCATCTTCCCAATAATGATAAAAATATGGAATACTTCAACTCCACTCTTCTGCCTTTTGCATTATTGTTGTTTTACATTTTAATTCTACTCATATTGTGAATCCTACTAGATCTTAGTATCATTGTTTTGAACATCAATATCCATTTATGTTTACCTACATATGTAGTCTTTTGTCTTTCATGCCTTCCTACATTTCCAGTGTTTCTCTTGGGGATTATCCTTACGGAAGAAATTTGTATTAGTCAGTTTGTGTTTCTGTAACAGTGTATTATGCAGCAGGTGACTTCTAAACAATAGAAATATTTTTTCACAGTTCTGGAGGCTTGGAAATCTAAGATCAGGGTACCAGCATGGTTGGTTCTGCCGAGAGCCCTTTTCTGGGTTGCAAAAGTACTCACTCACTAGTTAGCTCTCTGGCCTCTTATAAGGGTTCTAATGCCATTCATGAGGGCTCCAGCCCCATGGTCTAATTATCGCCCAGAGGTCCCATTTCCAAATACCATCTTACTGGGATTAGGTTTTCAACCTACAAATTTTGAGGTAGACATAGTCAGACTAATGTCTTCTGCCCCTGACCTGCCCCAAAATTCATATCCTTCTCACATGAAAAATACATTCATTTCATCCCAACAGCTCTGAAAGGCTTAATGCATTCCAGTATTAACTTTAAAGTCTGAAGTCTCATCTAAATGTCTAAATCGGATATAGGCAAACCATGAGGTATAATTCACCCTGAGGAAGAAATCCTCTCCAGCTGTGAACCTGCGTAATCAAACAAGTTATACAAAATACAGTGGTCATACAGGTATAGGATACTCTCCCATTTTACAAAGGAGTAACAGGAAAGAAGGAAGGGATGAATGGATCCCCATCAAGTCCAAAATCTAGCAATGTAAGCTCCATGGAATCTTAAGGCTCCAGAATTTAACTGTTTGAGGTCTTCATCAATTTTGAAAAATCCTCAGGCATTATTTCCTCAGATACTGCTTTCGTCCCATTTATCTCTCTTTCTTCTACTTTGCAGATTCTAATTCCAAATATGTTCAAATCTTTACTGTTTCCTAAATGTCTCAAATATAGATTTTCAATAATTTATCTCTGTAATTACTTTAATATATTAGCTGTTGACCTTTCTATGTATTATTCACTCTATTATTCACTCATACGAAGTTCTTAATTTTAGCTACTGTGTTTTTATTTTTATAATTTGAGCATTTTATGCATTACTCACCTTCAGAAACTTTTCATATTTCCATCTCCTTTTATAATAGTTTTGCCCTTTTAAGCAAAGTTATTATTTAAAATTAAAAATGGGAGTGTCAGCTTACCAACTTCCTCAGTACCTGTAGAGAAAATTAGCTTGCCAGTTAGAAATAATATGTAAAGTGTCAACTTAAGGTGTCAATCATTTAAAAAACATTAACCTAAAGCACAACTATCAATAATATTCAAAATAATTTTATGGGAAAATGACATTAAATTTCAGTTCCATAAAAATACCAGTGAACGGTATTTGAGACCAGTATCACTGAGAAATAGACTGTGGTATATGGATGAATGCCAAGAGCAATGTGCTTATACAGTTTTTCTAGCGTTCAGAAAAATTATAAATAAATGGGTTAATTCAAGCTATATAAAGTTTTCTCCAAATTGCCTGGTTAAAAAAACTTTTCAGACTCAGAGAAAATAACCAGCTAACACTGTCCTGGAGACAATCCCACCTATCTTTCTGAAGAGAGTCAAGACTGACTGTAGACAGAAAGAATGTTCTTACTGCAAGCAAAAAACTGTGCATTCCCCATCAGAGACATAGGCTTTCCCTGCTTACCCACCTGCATCCTCCCATGTGCTGGCTCCTAAACTTTGTAGTCAGTAGCCAAATATGGACAATAAGACCTGAATATTGCTTGTACTAAAGAACCACTTTAAAAAACCTTGGCCCCTGTTTTACACGTTCTGGCTTGTAACAGTGTGAATCACATAGCATGTCCTCAGCAGCTGTGCCCATTCTGAAGCCAGAAAATGGTTCTAGGAATGAGCACAGAGGATGAGGATAGAGACTCACAGGACACAGCTTTCACTACATGGCCAGAAATGCTTTTTGTAAGGCCCAGCCCTTTTGTTCATGAGAAGGTGCTTCTTTGTTTGTCTCATCCATTCACTTGCTTCTTTAATTTCACATTTTATGAATTGTTTAAAATAGCTGATTATCTGAGTATTCTTATACAACTACAGGCACCTTCATCAGGGATTGCCTTAATCCATTTCAAAGCCCAGTGACTACAGTGCATGTCAGCAGGGAAACAGGTGGTTAACAGTGAGTAAATGTTGAGCCATGTTTTGTTCTGTCTCCCTAGCAACAGGATAGAAAAGGGTCTATTTGGATACATTGGTTCCAGCAAGGAGAGAAAAAGGCAAGAAGATGCTTCCTCCTTTTTTCCATGTATCTCTAGCCTCGTATCTACTACTTAGCTCTAGAAAAAAAAAAAAGTGGAGAACACAGGTACAAAAAGTATATTTACTACACAAATAACTCATGAAGGCTCTACGATGATATCTCAAGATCGGGACACTTCCTCGTCTCCTTCTCATGTGGCAGTAGATTGCATTATTGGTACCAGTTATTGACTCCCACTTTCTTATAAGAAGATTTTCTTATCCCATCCAATGCATAGGCATGTGCTATGCTTTAGAGGTAATGGAATTTGAGAAGAAATTATGAATGCCACAACCAAGCATAACCCTAAGAGCCATCACGTACTTCTGTGATTGCTTCTGTTCCTGCTGTCATAAGAATGGCATGTCTTTCAATCTGGATCCCAGAACCCAAAAGACATGCAAAAAACTGCAACTGACCCCCACCAGACCCACAGCTAACATGTATATAAACAAGAAATTAATTAATTATGAGTATCTGAGTTTTGGGGGTCATTTCTTACCATAGCGATAACCTAGTGAAAATGAATGAATAAAGAAATCAGTACCAGTTATGAGGTGTCACCAGAATGAAAAGCTAAAACATTTATCTCCAGTCCAGGAGATAGGCAGTTGCAAAGCTCTTATTAACTCCTGGAAAATAAGAGTGACTCGTGTTTTTATTGATAAGGCATTTTGCTACAATGTGTGTATGATAAGTTGGAATGAGCTTATGAATTTAGCCAAAGAGTCTGGGAGACTGAAGGCAACTAGCATGTTTTAGCTGCTGTTGGCTACTTTAGAAAAGGTATTACAAGAACAAGATAATTTCGGATAATAAATTGTGTATCTGACAGCAAGGTCAAAAGATGGAATTGACTGTTCTCTCCAAATGATGCGAGCTGAAATTGAGGAACAAGGATCAAAACTCAGTGTTACAGTAAAGACCAAATCATTGGCCTCATGCCCTTTGTTATGACCTCTGAATTGAATGAAGGGAAATCAAGTCAACACTTTTTATGCGGAATGTCTCAGAGAACAAAAAAGCCAAAGGGTGTGACTCTTTCTTGGAAGTCTGCTACCTCAATTTACTTCATCTTACCTCAAGCTAAGGTAGAACAGGTCATGAAAAGAATTGTGGATATAACTGTCGGCACACTGGAATTTTGCAGAACAAAAACTAATTAGGCTTTGAGAGAGTTGTACTGCCAAAATAGCCTGTAGCTGTTTGAGAAGTAAAATTACCTTTGAGCCAACAATATTCTGTTCTTTTCCCAAAGAGAGAATATTCTTTTATGCCCAATTCTCATGTGGCCAAGGAAATGGATGGGGAAGGATGGACTTCCCGGGGTGTGGAGCCAAGAATCTCAGAGTATGACCGACTAGAGACCTGCTCCAAGGCAGCAGACACTGGGATGGTTGAAATAAGGTTGTCTACCAACTAGCTGGGGGTCCTCACAATGTTTGTCCGAACAGATTTCAGAATTTTTGTTACGCACTGATGGCTGAGTGCCGCCTTCCTTCCCCTTTCTGAAAGCGAGTATTTATCGAGATTACCCTGCCCCAATATTACATGTGGATTGTGTGATTGTGTGTGGAGCCGCCAACATATCTTTCAAATCTCTAGATACCAAAGACCCTATACAGTAAAGTTAAAGTGCCATATGAGATCCAAGACTTGAAGTCTGATGGTGTGATTAGATGACACACTGGGGGTTCACTTAAAGGAGGGAGTGGCTTCTGCATACTTAAGGGAAATGAAGCAATATTTGTAACCAGGTTTGTACTGTGAGTGGTCTCAAGTACCATTCTCTGGTATTTTTATGAAAGTGAAATTTAATGTCATTTTCCCATAAAATTATCTTGAATATTATTGATAGCTGTGCTTTAGGTTAATGTTTTTTTAAATGATTGACACCTTAAATTGACACTTTACTGTACATCTTATTATTTCTAACTGGCAAGCTAATTTTTCTACAGGTACTGAGGAAGTTGGTAAGTGGATACTCCCACTTCTATTTTTAAGTAACATCTTTGCTTAAAAAGACAAAACCTTTTTGCTTTGTCTTTTTTTTTTGTTTGCTTAAAAAGACAAAATTTTTATAAAAAAGATATAAAAAGATGAAAATATGAAAAGTTTCCAAAGGTGAGTAACACATAAAATACTCAAATTATAAAAATAAAAATTCAGTAGCTAAAATTAAGAACTTTGTATGAGTGAATAATAGAGTGAATAATACATAGAAAGATCAACAGCTAATATATTAAAGTAATTACAGAGATAAATTATTGAAAATCTATATTTGAGACATTTAGGAAACAGTAAAGATTTGAACATTATTTGGAATTAGAATCTGCAAAGTAGAAGAAAGAGAGATAAATGGGACCAAAGCAGTATCTGAGGAAATAATGCCTGAGGATTTTCCAAAATTGATGAAGACCTCAAACAGTTAAATTCTGGAGCCTTAAGATTTCATGGAGCTTACCTTGCTAGATTTTGGACTTGATTGGGACCCATTCACCCCTTCCTTCTTTCCTGTTACTCCTTTTTGAAATGGGAGTGACTACCCTATACCATGACGGTTGTATTTTGTATAACTTGTTCGATTACACAGGTTCACAGCTAGAGAGGAATTCTGCCTCAGGATGAATTGTTCTTTCCATTGTTGTTTTTCATTGTTCCCTCACCCTTCCCTATAAAAAGGATATACTCTATGTCTCACAGACATTCTGCTTGGGCCTACAACTGCCTTTGAGAATGTGAGCTGAAGTGATGGTTGCCACGACCACGTAGATACTTGAAGATATGCATCCAAAGATGTGTGATTACTTTTCCTTCTGCTGTAATGTGGTGTGTTTGCCACCTAGATCCCAGAAGATACATGAAACAAAGCAGTAGTCAACCATTGTTATTTTTATACATGAAGAAGAAATAGGTGTTCGTGATTGCAAATCAACGTAATTCTGAGGGGTCTTTGATACTGCAGTACAACTTATTAAAGTTGATTAGCATGTCTGCCATAAGTTCAATTTATTCAGGGAATCATGAGTTTTGTTTACAAGAACAAAAATCTGAGAAAAACAGGCCTTTTCTCAGATTTTAAACATTAACACCTCATTTTGTCATATAGCCCAAGTTTCAGACCCCCTGACCTCTCTCTGTCCAGATCACACAAAGGGAAGCATTGGGTAGTGGGAAATTCTGTGTGATTCTTCCCCATGAGCGTGGAGGCCCTACATGGGGTATTAGAGCCAGAAAGCTGTGAGGACAGAATGCAGCTGTTGGGGGCCAGTGGGGTGGGGAGTCTGAGCAAGGTGGGGAGGTACAGGGAGAAGACAGCAGCCACTATGGGAGAGTGATCACACATTGTAGAAGCATTAAGTCAGCACATGGGTGAAGGATAATGAAAACCAGAACTTCACTCTTGGAGAATGGACTTCCACACAGCCCTCCTCAATCCCAGTGCTGGGCCCTGTCCTTGGACACTTTCCTTATCTTGTTAGGGTCCAGCACCTTGTACTGCCCTGTCATGCGTCCTTTTTTTTTGAGACAGAGTCTTGCTCTGTTGCCCAGGCTGGAGTGCAATTGTGTGATCTTGGTTCACTGCAACCTCCACCTCCTGGGTTCAACTGATTCTCCTGCCTCAGCCTCCTGAGTAGCTGGGGTTACAGGCACCTGTCACCACGCCCAGCTAATTTTTTCATTTTTAGTAGAGACCAGGTTTCACCATATTGTCCAGGCTGGTCTTAAACTCCTGACCTCAGGTGATCCGCCAGCCTCGGCCTCCCACAGTGCTGGGATTACGGGTGTGAGCCACTGCACCCGGCCCCTCATGGCTACTTCTAATGTCCCTTTTCCCCAGAAACCAAACATATATACATCTTCCCTTTCACAATATTCCTTGTCCCCTTCCATGTTGCAAGGGAAACATTCAGGAACTTGGGGTAACCAAGCCACTGCCCACAGTTCATGCGTGGGCTCTGGAAGAAGCCCATTCCACCTCCATTCTCTAAACACCCTCCCAGAGCACCACCTGGTCCTTACCTTAGGAAGAAAAAAATATCACACTTTCAACAAATCTAAGACTGGCTACCAGGTTATACAAGAGATGTCCAATTAAACATCTTGATTTTTCTTACCTCACACTCAGCCCACCGCTTTTAAGCATTCAAAATTCTAAGATTCAGAGGGTGAAAAAGAGGCCTGCTTGCAGAATTCCAAATAATATATGCAGATACTCCGCCATCAGGGAGGGGAGCATAATCCCTGAAGTGGGGACTGCACACAGTGACTTTCTGTCAATAACTACAGTATGGAAAGGGGAAAAAGAGCTTTTACCATGGAGAAACCTGGAAAACACTACCTCATCCATGTGATTTAAGTCAACATCAACAGCGATCAGTCATGATGACAGCATGCACTCCTGATACCATATTATGAAAACAATGATGACCTCTGTGGTCTTCCCTTGCTAACCCAAAAACTCCAGTCTAATCATGAGAAAAACAGCACTGAATTTCCAATAGATTCCCGGTGGTGGTGGCTCACACGTGTAATCCCAGCACTTTGGGAGACTGAGGCAGGCAGATCACTTGAGGTCAGGGGTTCGAGACCAGCCTGGCCAACATGGTGAAACACTGTCTCTACTAAAAATACATAAGTCATCAGGGGTGTGGTGGTGTACACCTGTTATTCCAGCTACTTGAGAGGCTGAGGCAGGATAATCATTTGAACCCGGGAGGAAGGGGTTGCAGTGAGCCAAGATCGAGCTACTGAACACACAGCCTGGGTGACACAGCAAGACTCTATCTCAAAAATAAATAAATAAATAAATTTCCAGTAGAGGGGCAGTCTACAAAATATCTGACCAGGACTCCCCAAAACTATCAAGGTCATCAAAACTGGAGTCCCTGTGACAACCAGGAGTCGTCTAAGGAAGCATGACAAATAGATATAAATGTGGTATCCTGGATGGGATCCTGAAGCAGATAAAGGACATTAGGGTACTAGGTAAAAACTAAAGGAATAGCAATAAAGCATGGACTTTAGTTAACAATCATGTCAGTATTGGTCGCTTAGTAGTGATAAATATGCCACTAATGCAAGATGTTAGTAATGGGGAAAACTGGGTGTAGGGCATACAGGAACTCTCTGTATCACCACTGCAACTTTTATTTAAATCTAAAGCAAGCCCCCTTCCTCACCCTGCTTGCTACTACCCACAAGTTGTGCGGGTAGGAACAATTCCCTCTTTTCTCCTTCTGTGAGTCAAGGTAGACTTAGAAAAACAAAGAGGGGTATCCGGGAAGACCCCAGCATGGAAAGTCACCCCTTTTTCACCCCTCCACCCCCCACCCTCATAAAACTGCAAAGGCAGGAAGAAATCTCTCCAGTGCGCCAGAAAGAACGGACCAGTATCAAGAGGACGCCTCCCAGAAAGGACAAAACCAATGTGCCTGTCTTTTACACAAACAAATTTCCCATTGAACATGTTCAGAATCACGACTCTGCAGTTTCCCTGAAAAGAATTATTATATCTAAGGACACCGATTCACCAGTTTCACAGTAACTCTGTACTGGCCTGACTTTGTAGCCAGCAGTTAGCACTTCTTCCCCCTCCCCGCCTGCCAGGGGGTGATGCTATGAATTCGCAGTAGGAATAAGGAGCTGGAGCAAGATTCCTACTCGACGGTGGATAGCTGGACTTCCTCAGGCACGACTGGCCTGCAAACCATATAGGTCAGGAAGCAGGTGTCCAGGCTGCCAGAGCATCTCCTGATCCTATGAAAAATGGGCATTTTCCCAGTTTGGAATATTGTGGACCCAATTTCAAACATCCTGCCTTCCACTAGGATGAGCCACACACACCCGACCCCTTAGCCCTTCAACTCTGTTCCTGCTTAGCACAAATGTGTGGGTAGTAGCAAGCAGGGTCAGGAAGGGGGGCAGGAAACAGAGCACAGATTTTATAGATGAGCTTTAGTTCTCCCACAAGGGCTGCCTCCAGTCAGTCCTCCTGAAATGTTATCCACACAGGCCTTGAAGCAACCTTTATGAAAGTGCAGTTGCCTCATGGCCCACATCGTGTTTCATAGATGATCAAGGTGGGCTCTTTTATCCTATGTCTAAGTTTTATGTTTTGTGTGTGGATGAATATGTGAAAGTTGATGGAGTAGATTAATCTGCAGTCACACTTAGGAGTCAGTCCATGAGGAGAAACATCCTACTACAAATGTGAGCTCAAAAAGAAAAGGAGAAAAATGAACAGGCAGCACTCGTCCCTCCTCTTCTTACCTTGTACAGGTCAAAGGGAGGCACAGCTGTGGCCCAGAGAGACCTCTCTGATCCATACCACATGCTCATCTCTCCTGGCATTCTCCACACTACACCCTCCCTCCACCAGCCCTCTTCACCTTAACTCTCAGAAACACAGTTGGTGCCTCAGTAGGTCTGATGCCACCAGCCTTTACTCAGAATGTGCTTAATCCAATTAGAGCATTCTATCACATTAGAGAGTTCACATTGATTCTCTCCCTCTGAAGTCGGGCCGCATACACAGAGAAACCATCTGGGACTCAGCCATGTTCAGTGAAGAATGTGGATGGCATGGGCATCCTTCCCATTTGGGGATCAAGCCTTCTCTTCTTCAGCTGCAGCTCCTCCAGTGTAATACATGTCCATTTATCAAACTCCTATCTCCTTTCACTTCCGGTCTCTATCACATATTATCTGAGTTTGCTCAGTCACTTGATTTCTATTTATGAATAGTACACTATGGCTGACCTATGGGACAGGGCAGTGTGTGGATCAGGTCTATTTACAGGGAAGATAGCTTGGTCTATATCCACAGTGACAGCTTATGAGGAGAAAGGACATGCAAGAAGAGAAAGCATTGCTGGCATCCCTGTCTGTTCTGTGCCAAGAGCCATCATGTTCCTGCTTCCACTCCAATCTTACTCTCATGCCCTCCATGCATCTAAGAGGAGGATGCAGTGCCAACAAAGCCTTCCAGCACATGAAGAAAATTCACATTCCTTAACATTTTCCAGTCCAGCGCTGCCACATCTCCACAGCAGGCAAAACTTTCTTTTCTAAGACACGCTCCTTGCAAACTTTTGGGTATATATCCAGTGGTCTCATAAAACATGTCCTGGGTGTCACATTCAGAACGGGGCATCAGAAGATGAAAATGAGAAATGGTTCCCTTTTTGTTTCTCCCTTCAATCAAATTTTCCTCCTTACCCCATCAGATTTTAAAGTACCACTTACTAAATTACAGTAAGTACTCATTCATTCTGACTCATAGTTCACAAAATATCTGGGATTTATTCTATTGCATATTAGAACCTCCACAGCCCATACCAAATTATACCACCCCATAGTTACATTTGTTTTTCTGGCAGGAGAATACCATTTGTGGGAAGTCATGTTTATGATCGTTTCTTTGGTGACATTTCGCACATGTCACATTAACACCCACGAGCTCAGAGAGAGGGAGTGCAAGTGAAAACTGACAAACAAACTAGCACTGCCACTCTCAACTGATTTGCAGGAGATGGGTGAAAAGAAGTCGCCTTAGTACAGCAAGATTAGAGGACAGCCTTTCACACGGACTCCTGGACACAGAGAAACTACTGATTGCTTCTTCCTACATAGTGATACACAAGCTGTTCTCCACCTGCTTGGTTTTCACAAACAGAGATGGGCCTGAAAATCTAAGAGCCCCAATCTCAAATGTTAATGTTAATGTCTCTTTAAAATGAAAATATAAATTTTATCTGGTAGATATACAAATCTTAAATGTACAGCTTGATAAGGTTTACTCAAGTGTACACCCATGCAATCAGTCACCTCAACAGAGCATTCTCAATGCTTGGGATGGTTCCTCAGTGCCTAGGCTACTGGCCTTCTAGAGTCAACCATTATTCTAACTTTATCACCATAGATTTGTTTTGAATGTTGAGCTTTCCATGAATGCAATTACACAGTATGTGGCACTTTTCAATCCACTTTATGTCTGTGAGATTAATCCACAGTATTACATACCTTTATAGTTTTCTTTTTCATTTTCATTGCTGT
The DNA here is from genome assembly GCF_000001405.40 of Homo sapiens. NCBI lineage: Eukaryota > Metazoa > Chordata > Mammalia > Primates > Hominidae > Homo > Homo sapiens. Next base: position 23,779,374 of record NC_000015.10, on the reverse strand, counting down.
GTAGTATTCCACTGTGTGACTACAGCACCATGTATTGTCCCCTCGTACTTCTGATACACAGCAGAATAATTTCCAACACTTAGCTATTATGAATGACGTTACAACATCACTGTTAAATATATTTTGATGAACATAAGTATTTGCTTCTCTTGGTATATTCTCAGGATAGAATTTGTTGAGTCATAGGGTATATCTATGTTTACTAGATACTACCAAACATTTTCCCAAAGCGGTTGTACCACTTTCATTCCCACTAGCAGTATATGAAAGTCCAATTTCCTTCATAATTGACATTGTCAATCCCTTCAAGTTTAGTGATTTCACAGTCTAATTTTACCTTTTCATGATGAGTAATAGCATTGAGAACTTTTTCATATGTTTGTTGGCCACTTTAACATTATCATTTTGAAGTTTCTGATTCAGCATTTTGGCCATTTTAAATATGATTGCCTGCCTTTTTTTTTATTGATTTGAAGTTCTGCCTACAATCCTTTGTGGGATGTAAAGTTCTTAATTTTAACAAAGTCCAAATTATCAATCTTTTAAAAATATTTGCTGCCTTACAATATTATTTAATTAATATTTTTGTACCCCAAAGTCATAGGGGTAATCTACTTTTTCATTTCTTCTAGAAGGTTAATTGTTTTAGCTTTCACATTTAGGTCCCAGGGCCATTGCAGATTATGTATTGCATATAGAGTGAATTGGAAAAAGCAAGGATAAAGGGGTCTTATTTGCCTATTAGAGTTTATGTATAAAGAAAGACTTTAGTATATCATTTTTGCTCATTTATCAGGCAAACTTTCTTGAAATTAGAGGCAGAAGTAAGATTTGAAGCAAACCCAAATATTTCCCTTCAAGAACTCCAGTAGGTTCTCAAAGTGAGTATCTCAGAAAGACCCACACTCAGCTCTGTCTGGGAAGAGGAATGCAACTGTTGTGAAACATAACCAGAGAAACGTACACTCCACCCCTTCTGTTTCACCTAAAGGAAAAACAAAAGAAAACAAAAACCATAGTCAATGTGGGATTCAAGGAAAGAAAATCAGAGTGCTGCAGCCAGTGAGAGGAATCGAAATCAGGCATAGAGAAGAAACCTATTTTACCAGAAGAGAGTAAGAAACATTTTATGAAGGCCACAGCCTTAAGTGCAGGCAAATCAAAAAAAGCCTGAGATTTACTCAGAATATTTTAGAATGTTACCCTCTTCTTCATATCTTATGATCACATCAAGGCAGCCCCAAAATAATAAATTACAGCTGAAACAGCTGCAAGATACAAACTAGTTGTAAGTGGTAGAACACAGGAAATCCCTTAAAATAAAAGAGGAGACAAAAACAAGGCCACTACATTTTTTTGAAGCCTTTGGTACTTACAACTTCAACAAATATTAAACAAATCACAACTCCTGGCCAGATTAACATAAATCCTCACATTTAAAATCCTAGTTACCTCAGTTCCTACTGGCTGATACAGTATGTTCAGCTTTAACTGCAAAAAGTCCATGCCCAAACACAATGAAAAACACAGACTACAGAAACAATTCAATAATCAGACCCAGACTGTGATATGACAAAGATGTTGGAATTATCAGACAGAGAATGTAAGACAGCTATGGTTAATATGTTAATGTCCCTAATGAAAAAAGTAGATAGACAACATTCAAGAACAGATGTAAACAGTGATTAAAAACTTAAAAAAAAAAAAGGAAATGCTAGAAATACCAAACACCTTAATGGAAATTTTTAAAAAATCTCTTTGATAGACTTTTGACATAGCTGAGGAAAGGATCAGTGAACTGGAAGATAATTAAATAGAAACTTTACAATTGGTGCTTGCTTCAGCAGGATATATATTAAAATTGGAAGGATACACAAAAGGGTAGCATGGCGCCTGCACAAGGATGTCAAGCAAATGTGTGAAGCATTCCATATTTTTCAAGTTGGATAAAAAAAAAAAAAGACATCTTCTGTTTTCCAGAGATCCATTTTAAACGTAACAACATTCATAGAATCAAAGTAAGGATCAATCACACAAACAGCAAAAAGGAGCAGGAGTCAGTATTATTATGTCAGATAATTTTTTTAAACTAACAACAGTAAAAAAGGACAAAGAAAGGCACTATATAATAAAACGTTCAATTCAACAAGATGACTTAACTATCATAAATATATATGCACCCAACATCGAAGAAATTCAGTGTTGCAGCCAGTGAAGGGAATCAGAATCAGTCATAGAGGAGAAGCCTATTTTATCAGAAGAGAGTAAGAAACATTTTATGAAGGCCACAGCCTTAAATCCAGGCAAATCAAAAAAGTCTTGAGTACTTGTTCATAAAACAAGTACTTCTAGGCCTAAAAAAAAAAAAAAAAAGGCCTAGGTCGCCATACAATAATAGTGGGAGACTTCAACACCCCACTGCCAGCATTAGACAGATTATTGAGGCAGAAACTAACAAAGAAATTCTGGACTTAAATTTGACACAACCAATTGGACCTAATAAACATCTGTAGAACACTCCACCCATCAAGCACAGAATATACATTATTCTCATCTGCACTTGGAACAGATTCTAATATTGACCATATGCTCAGCCATACAGCAAGTCTGAATAACTTTTTTAAAAATTGAAATCATACCAATGATACTTTCATGTCATAGTGAAATAAAAATATCTCTCCAAACTACACAATTACATGGAAATTAAATAACTTGTTCCTGAATGACTTTTGAGTAAACAGGGAAATTAAGGCCAAAATTTAAAAATTCTTTGACATAAATGAAAACAAAACACAACATAGCAAAATCTCTGAGATGCAGCCAAAGCAGTGTTAAGAAGAAAAGTTTATAGTGCTAAATGCCTAAATCAAAAAGTTAGAAAGATCTAAAATTAATAATCTTAACATCACACCTAGAGGAACTAAAAAAAGGAACAAACTAACCCCAAAGTTAGTATAAAAAAAGAAATAACTAATCAGAGCAGAACTGAATGAAATCAAGACCCAAAAATCCATACAAAGGATCAACAAAACCAAAAGCTTATTCTTTGAAAGGATAAACAAGATCAATAGACCAGCAGCAAGATTAACAAAGAAGAAAAAAATACAGAAGATCCAAATAAGGACAATCAGAAACAACAAAGGTAGCATTACACCAGATTCCACAGAAACACAAAAAATCATCTGCAACTATTATAAACACTTCTGTGTACACAAACTAGAAAACCTATGGAAAATGGATAAATTCCTGGAGATACACAACTTCCTAAGAGTGAATCACAAAGAAACTGAAACCTTGGACATATCAATAATGAGTTCTGAAATTGAATTAGTAATTCAAAACACACCAACAAAGAAAAGCCCTGGACCAGATGGATTCACAGCTCAATTTTACTAGACATAGAATGCAGAGTTAATACCATTCCTACTGAAACTATTCCAAAAATTTGAGGAGGAGGGACTCCTCCCTAAATCATTCTATGAAGCCAGCATCACTCTGATACCAAAATCTGGCAAAGACACAACAAAAACAACAAAAGAAAACTACAGCCCAATATCCTTGATGGAGATAGATTCAAAAATCCTCAACAAAATAGTAGCAAAATCAATCCAACAGCACATCAAAAAGTTAATTGACCAAGATCAAATTGACTTTATTTGCAGGATACAGGGCTTGTTCAACATGTGCAAATCAATAAGTGTGAATCACTACATAAACAGAATTAAAAATAAAACAATGTGATCATCTCAGCAGACACAGAAAAAGTTTTCTATAAAACTAGTATCCTTCCATGATAAAAACCCTCAATAAACTAGACATCAGAGGGGACATACCTCAAAATAATAACTGCCATCTGTGGCAAACCCACAACCAACATCATATTGAATGGGCAAAAGCTGGAAGCATTACCCTTGAGAACTGGAACAAGATAAGAATGCCCATTCTCACCACTCCTATTCAACATAGTACTGGAAGTCCTGGCCAGAGCAAGCAGGCAAGAGAAGTAAATAAAAGGCATCCAAATAGGAAAAGAGGAAGCCAAACTATCTCTCTTTGTTGGTAATATGATTCTATACCTAGAAAGCCCTAAAGAGTCCCCCAAAAGGCTCCCAGAGCTGATAAGCAACTTCAGTAAAGTTTAAGGATACAAAATAAATATACAAAAACCAGTAGCATTTCTGTATACCAACTACATTCAAATTGAAAGCCAATTCAACAATTCAATCCTGGCTGGGTGCAGTGGCTCACGCCTGTAACACCAGCACTTTGGGAGGCTGAGGCGGGCCAATCACGAGGTCAGGAGAGCGAGACCATCCTGGCTAACATGGTGAAACCCCGTCTCCACTAAAAATACAAAAAATTAGCTGGGAGTGGTGGCGGGCACCTGTAGTCCCAGCTACTCAGGAGGCTGAGGCAGGAGAATGGCGTGAACCTGGGAGGCGGAGCTTGCAGTGAGCCGAGATTGCGCCACTGCACTCCAGCCTGGGCAACAGAGCAAGACTCCGTCTCAAAAAAAAAAAAAAAAAAGAATTCAATCCTATTTACAATAGCCACACACAAACAAAATACCTTGGAATACATCTAACCAAGGAGGTAAAAAATATCTACAAGGATAACTAAAAAACACTGCTGAAAGAAATCACAGATGACACAAACAAATGGAAAACATTCGATGCTCACAGTTCAGATGAGTTAGTATCTTTAACATGGCCATATGTCTCAAAGCACTCTACAGATTCAACACCATTCCTATCAAACTATCAACATCATTTTTACAGAAATAGAAAAAAAAGGGTATTAGTCCATTTTCCCGTTGCTGATAAAGAAACACCCAACCGGGCAACTTACAAAAGAATGTTTTATTGGACTTACAGTTCCATATGGTTGGGGAAACCTCACAATTATGGCAGAAGGCAAGGAGAAGCAAGTCACATCTTATGTGGATGGCAGCAGGCAAAAAGAGAGCTTGTACAGGGCAACTTCTGTTTTAAAAACCAACAGATCTCCTGAGACCCATTCACTATCATGACAACAGGGAAGGAAAGACCCACCCCCATAATTCAGTCATGTCCCACCAGGTCCCTCCCACAACACATGGGAATTATGGGAGCTACAAGATGATATTTGGGTGGGGACACAGAGCCAAACTATATCAAAAAGTATTCTAAAATTTACATGGAACCAGAGAAGAGCCCAAATAACCAAAGTAATCCTTAACAATAAGAACAAAGCTCGAGGCATCACATGGTCATACTTCAAGCTATATTACAAGGCTACTGTAACCAAAACAACATAGTACAGGTACACAAAGTGATACACAGACCAATGGAACTGGATAAAGAACCCAGGAATAAAGCTACACACCTAATCATCTGTAATCATAATCATCTGATCTTCAACAACAACAAGCAATAAGGAAAGGATTCCCAACTTATTACATAGTGCTGGGCTCACTGGCTAGCTGTATGCACAAGATCAAAACTGAACACCTTCCTTTCACTATATACAAAAATCAACTCAAGATGGATTAAATAGTTAAATACAAGCCCTACAACATGAAAACCCTAGAAGAAAACCTACAAATACCATTCTGGACATTGTCCTTGGCAAATAATTTATGTCTGAATCCCCAAAAGGAATTGCAACAAAAATAAAAGTTGACAAGTGGCACCTAATTAAACTAAAGAGCTTCTGCTAAGTGAAAGAAACTATCAACGGAGTAAACAGACAACCTTCGAGAATGAGAGAAAATATTCACAAACTATGAATCCAACAAAGGTCTGATATCCAGAATTTATAAGGAACTTAAATCAACAAGCAAAAAACAAACAAACCCATTAAAATGTAGGCAAAGAACATGAACAGACACTTCTTAAAAGAAAACATACAAATGGCCAACAAACATATGAAAAATGCTCAACATGACTAATCATTAGAGAAATGAAATCAATATCACAATGAGATATCATCTCACATTGGTTAGAATGGCTATTACTAAAAAGTAAAAAAAAAAACACCACATGCTTTATGAGGTTGCAGAGAAAAGGGTACACTCATACACTGTTGGTGGGAATACATATTAGGTCAGCCACTGTGGAAAGCAATGTGGCAATTTCTCAAAGAACTGAAAACAGGATGACTCAGTAATTCCATTACTTGGTATATACCCAAAAGAAAATAAATCATTTCACCAACAAGACACATGTACTTGTATGTTCATCACAGCACTATTCACAATACCAAAGACATGGAATTAACCTAGATGCCCATCTAGGTGGACTGGATAAAGAAAATGTAGTACCTATACATCATGGTACATATGCAGCCATAAAAAAGAATTAACTCACGTCCTTTGCAACAACATGGGTAGAGCTGGAGGCCATTATCCTAAGCAAATTAGCACAAGAAGAGAAAACCAAATATCCTGTGTTCTCACTTATAAGTAGCGGCTAAACACTGAGTACACATGGACATAAAAATAGGAACAGTAGATACTGGAGACTATTAAGAGGGAAAGGGTGAGAAGGAGGCAAAGGCTGAAAAAATACATTATCAGGTTACTATGCTCACTACCTGGGTGACAGGATCATTCATACACCAAACCTCACTGATATGCAATTTACCCATGTAAAAACCTGCACATGTACCCCCTGAACCTAAAAAAAAATGTTGAAACAAAAAGGAAACCTTACAAGTGAAATGCAAAGAGGAAAAAAGGAATGAAAACAAAATCCAAAAATAGAAATGACATCCAAGAACTGTGTGATAGTCTTAAAAGGTATAAGTACTAATAATTGGAATACTGGAAAGATAAGAAAAAAAGGATGGAGCACAATAAATACTTGAAATAATAATGGCCAATAACTTCCAAAATTAATAAAAGATTCCTCCCTAAAACCCGCAGATTCAAGGAGCTCAAAAGTACCAAATAAGATAAACACTTAAAACACACATATACACACACATACACACAAGCGCGCACACACACACACACACCCCTATTGAAACATCAGAAAGTCAAAGGAAAATAGAGAATCTCTTTTTTAAAAAGCCAGAGGAGAAAAATCTTACCTATAAAAAAACAAGGATAAGAATTACAGTGAAAAACAACCCAAAATATGGTTATTGGAAAGTATCTAGCTAGGAGAGCCAATAAAACAGAATAAACAAATATCAGAAAAAAAAAGAGGAGTCACTATTGATCTTATGAGTATTAACAGGATAATAAGAGCATACTGTGAAAAATTCTATGTCCACAAATATGGTAACTTTGATAAAATAAATTAATTACTTAAAAATCACAAGTATGAAAACTCACACACAGAAAAATATATTAACCTGAGTAGCCCCACATGTATTAAAAATTGTCTTAATAATTAAAACCTTTTTAATAAAGAAAGCACAAGGAATAGATGGTTTTAGTTGTGAATTCTTTAAGTAAGAAATAGTTCCACATTTTCACAATATATTTCCCAAAATAGCAGCAGTGGGAGAACATATCAGCTCATTTTATGAGACCAGCATTACCCTAATACCAAAATCAGACAAATATATTACAAGAAAAGAAAGCTAAAGTCAAATATATTCAAAATACCTTAACATAGTATCATCCACCAATATCCAGTAAAATGACAGCATATTATTATCAGGGATATTAGTGCCAGGAATGCAAGGCTGGTTCAAATTTTGTGAATCAGTTTAGGTAATTCATCATATTAAAAGACTGAAAAAGAAGAAAAAAATATGACCATATAAATCGAAGCAGAAAAATCATTTGAAAATAATTATTATCCATTCAAATAAAAAATCTCAAAAAAACAGGAATAGACGGGAGCTTCTTTAGCTTAGTAAAGGGTATATGTGGGAAAATAGTTAACATTATAGTGGTGAGAGACTAAATGCATTCCTCCTATGATCAGGAACAAGGAATGGATGTCTTCTCTTATAAATCTTTTTTTTTTACATTTTTTTTAAATTTATTATTATTATACTTTAAGTTTTAGGGTACATGTGCACAATGTGCAGGTTAGTTACATATGTATACATGTGCCATGCTGGTGCGCTGCACCCACTAACTCGTCATCTAGCATTAGGTATATCTCCCAATGCTATCCCTCCCCCCCTACCCCCACCCCACAACAGTCCCCAGAGTGTGATGTTCCCCTTCCTGTGTCCATGTGTTCTCATTGTTCAATTCCCACCTATGAGTGAGAATATGCAGTGTTTGGTTTTTTGTTCTTGTGATAGTTTACTGAGAATGATGATTTCCAGTTTCATCCATGTCTCTACAAAGGACGTGAACTCATCATTTTTTATGGCTGCATAGTATTCCATGGTGTATATGTGCCACATTTTCTTAATCCAGTCTATCATTGTTGGATATTTGGGTTGGTTCCAAGTCTTTGCTATTGTGAATAATGCCGCAATAAACATATGTGTGCATGTGTCTTTATAGCAGCATGATTTATAGTCCTTTGGGTATATACCCAGTAATGGGATCTTAATTGACAACGTACTCAAAGTCCTGACTAATGTAGTAAGAAAAAAATAGTATACAAAGAAAGATATTTTTATTTACAGATGACATGACTTTCTTTTTCTCCCCATACTAACCACTAAACTAAAAAGAGGACATGATTTTCTATGTAGAAATTTTCTAAACATTTACAATAAAGTTCCTGGAACTAATAGGCAAATATAACAAGGTCAGAGGATACAGGTGCTTTCCTATAAGTAAAATATTAACTATTGGAACTTAAAATATAAAAAATAATAGTATTTACAATAGCACACAAAAATGAAGTACTTATGTATGTTTACAGGATCTCTATGCACAAAACTACAAAACACTGATGAAAGAAATCAAGATCTAACTAAAGGGAAAGCTAGTCACTATTCATGGGTTAATAGGCTCAGTATTGATAAAATATACATCCTTCCTTACTGGACCTACAGACTCAATGAAATCCCAATCAAAATCCCAGGGAGCCATCTTCTAGATATCAACAACGTATTCTAAAATTCCTATAAAAACACAAAGGACCTAAAATAGCCAACACAATACTGAAGAAGAAAAGCTAAATCGGAGGACTCATACTAGCAAATCTAAAACTTAACATGAAGATAGAACAATCCAGACAGTGTGATATTCTTGAAAAAAATAGACATAGATCAATGGAACAGAATGGAGAGACCAGAAAGAGACCCTCACAGTCAATTGATTTTTGAGAAAGGCACACAGGCAATCCAAAGGAGAAGGAACAGTGGTTTTTTGTTGTTGTTTGTTTGTTTTAACAAATAGTGTTGGGACAGTTGGATATTCATATGCTAAAATATGAACCTAGACAATGGCCAGGCATGGTGGCTCATGCCTGTAATCCCAGCACTTTGGAAGGTTGAGGCGGGTGGTTCCCTTGAGGTCAGGAGTTCGAGACCAGCCTGAGCAACGTGGTGAAACCCTGTCTCCACTTAAAATACAAAATTAGCTGGGTGTGGTGGCACATGCCTGTAATCCCAGCTACTTGAGAGGCTGAGGCAGGAGAATCGCTTGAACTCAGGAGGCGGAGGTTGCAGTGAGCCAAGATCGTGCCACTGCACTCCAACCCAGGCAACAAAAGCGAAATGCTATCTCAAAAATAAATTAAATAAATAATTAATTAATTAAAATAAAATATGGTCCTAGACAAAAACTTCATCCTTTCACAAAGATTACCTCAAAAATGAATCATAGGCCTAAATGTAAATTGCAAAGCTATAAAAATTCTAGAATAATACAGTGATGGTTAATATTGAGTGTGAATTTGATTGGATTGAAGGATGTAAACTATTGTTCCTGGATCTGTCTGTGAGGGTGTTGCCAAAGGAGACTGACATTTGAGTCAGTGGACTCGGAGAGGCAGACTCACCCTCAACGTGGGTGGGCACCATCTAATCAGCTGCCAGTGTGGCTAGGATAAAAGCAGGAAGAGGAACGTGGAAGGACTTGACTGGCTTAATCTTTGGGACTGCATTCTTCTCCCGTGCTGGATGCTTCCTGCCCTTCAACATCAGACTCAGCTTTTGGACTCTTGGACCTTCAACTAGAGACTGAAGGCTGCACTGCTGGCTTCCACACATTTGAGGTTTTGGGACTCAGACTGGCTTCCTTTCTCCTCAGCTTGCAGAGGGCCTACTGTGGGACTTCATGTTGTGATTGTGCGAGTCAATACTACTTAATAAACTTCCCTTTATATATACATCTATCCTGTTAGTTCTGTCCCTCTAGAGAACCCTAATACAGATTTGTAAGAGAAAATCTATGCCACTTAGGATTTGGCAATACATTTTTAAATACAACATCAAAAGCATACTCCATAAAATTAAAAAATGATCAATTAGATTTTATTAAAATTATTATTAAAACTGCCATGTGAAAAAAAGTCAAGAAATGTAAAGTCACAGCCTAGCAGAAATATTGCAAAACACATATCAGAAAAAATACTTATACCCAAAATAAGAGGCCAGGCTTGGTTCAAACCCACAACCCAAGCAATTTGGGAGACTGAGGCAGGAGAATCACTTGAGGCCAGGAGTTCAAGACCAGCATGGGCAATATGCAAAAACCCTGTTTCTAAAAAAACATAAATAAATAATCTACATGTGTTGGTGTGCACCTGTTGGAAAAAAAAAAGCAAAGATCTCTTAAAGTTCAACAAAAAGAAATCAAATATAGTATTCCTTCTTTATCCAAATGGAGTATGTTCCAATACCACCAGTGGTTGCCTGAAACTCCAGAAAGTACCAAACCCTATATATATATAAATACTATGTAGAATGTCTTTCTTTTTTTCTTCACAATTTCATGGATTTAAGATTCATCCTTAGCGTAAATGTTGGCAACCTCAACATATTTTTTTCTTTCCTCTTTAAGTCAAGAACTATTACCTAGTTACTTAAATGAAGCAGTTTAGGCTTCTCTTTGGCATATCAGAATTGTCAGCATCACTCTTGTGCCTTGGAGCCATTATTAGAACCGCCTTTGCAAAAAAAAGTAACAGTGAGAAAATTATAACAGTGAAAGAGATCTGACCTAACCAACTGTGTGTCTTGCTTCTAACCTCCAAATTGCCCTTGTCCATTGTATCAGTCAATTTTCATGCTGCTGATAAAGACATACCCAAGACTGGGAAGAAAAAGAGGCTTAATTGGACTTACAGTTCTACATGGCTAGGGAAGCGTCAGAATCATGGCAGGAGAAGAAAGGCACTTCTTACATGGTGGCAGCAAGAGAAAATGAGGAAGAAGCAAAAGCAGAAACCCCTGATAAGTCCATCAGATCTCAAGAGACTTATTCACTATCATGAGACTAGCATGGGAAACACTGGCCCCCATGATTCGATGACCTCCCCTGGGTCCCTCCCACAATATGTAGGAAATCTGGGAGATACAATTCAAGTTGAGATTTGGGTGAGGACACAGCCAAACCCTATCATTCCACCCCTGGCCCCTCCAAATCTCACGTCCTCACATTTCAAAGTCAATCATGCCTTCCCAACAGTCCCCCAGGTCTTAACACATTTCAGCATTAACCCAAAAGTCCACAATCCTAAGTTTCATCTGAGACAAGGCAAATCCCTTCTGCCTGTGAGCCTGTAAAATCAAAAGCAAGTTAGTCACTTCCAAGATACAATGGGGGTTACAACAGGTATTGGGTAAATACAGACATTCCAAATGGAAGAGATTGGCCAAACAAAGGAGTTACAGGGCCTTTGTTGCAAGTCTGAAATCCAGCAGGGCAGGCAAATCTCAAAGCTCCACAATGATCTCTTTTGACTCCAGATCTTACATCCAGGTCACACTGATGCAAGAGGTGGGTTCCCATGGTCTTGGGCAGCTCTGCCCCTGTGGCTTTGCAGGGTACAGCCTCCCTCCTGGCTGCTTTCACAGGCTGGCATTGAGTGTGTAGCTCTTCCAGGTGCACAGTGCGAACTGTTGGTGGATCTATCATTCTGGGGTTTGGAGGATGGTGGCCCTCTTCTCACAGCTCCACTAGGCAATGTCCCAGTAGGGATTCTGTGTGGGGGCTCCCACCCCACATTTCCCTTCCATACTGCCCTAGCAGAAGTTTTCCATGAGGTCCTCACCCCTGCAACAAACTTTTGCCTGGGCATCCAGCCATTTCCATACATCTTCTGAAATCTATGTGGAGGTTCCCAAACCTCAATTCTTGACTTCTGTGCACCCACAGGCTCAATACCATGTGGAAACTGACAAGGCTTGGGGCTTCCACCCTCTGAAGCCACAGTCTGAGCTGTATATTGGCCCCTTTCAGCCATGGCTGGAGTGGCTGGGACACAGGGCACCAAGTCCCTAGGCTGCACACAGCATGGAAGTCCCTAGGTTTCCCTGGGCCCAGCCCGCAAAACCACTTTTTCCTCCTAGGCCTCCAGGCCTGTGATGGGAGGGGCTGCCATGAGGGTCTCTGGCATGGCCTGGGGACATTTTCCCCGTGGTCTTGGGGATTCACATTAGGCTCCTTGTTACTTAGGCAAATTTCTGCAGCCTGCTTGAATTTCTCCCCAGAAAATGGGTTTTCCTTTTCTATCACATAGTCAGGCTGCAGATTTTCCAAACTTTTATGCTGTGCTTCCCTTATAAAATCTCATCACTTTAACAGTACCCAAGTGACATCTTGAATGCTTTGCTGCTTAGAAATTTCTTCTGCCAGATACCATAAATCATCTCTGTCAAATTCAAAGTTCCACAAATCTCTAGGGCAGGGGCAAAGTGCTGCCAATCTCTTTGCTAAAACATAACAACAGTTAAATTTGCTCCATTTCCCAACAAGTTCCTCATCTCCATCTGAGACCACCTCAGCCGGATCTTATTGTTCATATCACTATCAGCATTTTGGGCAAAGCCATTCAACAAGTCTCTGTAGGTTCCAAACTTTCCCACATTTTCCTGTCTTCTTCTGAGCCCTCCAAACTGTTCCAACCTCTGCATGTTACCCAGTTCCAAAGTCACCTTCACATCTTTGAGTATCTTTTCAGCAACACCCCACTCTGCTGGTATCAACTTACTGTATTAGTCCGTCTTCATGTTGCTGATAAAGACATACCCAAGACTGGGAAGAAAAAGAGGTTTAAATGGACTTACAATTCCACATGGCTGGGGACGTCTCAGAATCATGGCAGGAGGTGAAAGGTACTTTTTTTTTTTTCTTTGAGATGGAGTCTCGCCCTGTCACCCAGGCTGGAGTGCAGTGGCGCCATCTCAGCTCACTGCAAGCTCCACCTCCTGGGTTCATGCCATTCTCCTGCCTCAGCCTCCTGAGTAGCTGGGACTACAGGTGCCTGCCACCACGCCCAGCTAATTTTTTGTATTTTTAGTAGAGACAGGGTTTCAATGTGTTAGCCAGGATGGTCTCGATCTCCTGACCTCATGATCCACCCGCCTCAGCCTCCCAAAGTGCTGGGATTACAGGCGTGAGCCACCGCGCCTGGCCTGAAAGGCACTTCTTACAAGGTGGCAGCAAGAGAAAATGAGGAAGAAGTAAAAGCAGAAACCCTTGATAAACCCATCAGATCTTGTGATACTTATTCAGTATCACGAGAACAGCATAGGAAAGACTGGCCCCCATGATTCAATTACCTCCCCCTGGATCCTTCCCACAACATGTGGGAATTCTGAAAGATACAATTCAAGTTGAGATTTCGGTGGGGCACAGCCAGATCGTATCACCCATTCTTGGGCATGCACCAAACTAACTTTAGGAGGAACTTCGTTCATAGTGTAACTTTGAAACAAAGATGATAGCAGCCCTTTCCTGAAACAAACCCCTTCCTTGCCTGGGGACCAGACTGTCTTTGTAAAACTAACAAATTAGGCACAAGATTAGAAATTATGGTTTAGGACATGCAGCCAGAGGCCACAAGAATCCTAACCTCCCCAGTTGCTTCTAGGGATAGCATTTTTATTATAAAACCTAAGACTGGTGCTCCAGAATCAGACCTTGCATTCTCATTCACCAGCTGGTGCCACCAAGATCAGCCATCTGGTTCAACCAGTTCTGCGATCCCACTCACAAACAGAAGACAGCAAAAAGAACCCAGTTCCACCCCCTATGATTTCCCCTCTGACCCGACCAATCTGACCCATTCCCTGCCCTCCACTGACCTGCCAAATTGTCCTTGAACAACCCCAGTCTCCGAATTCTGTGGCAGACTGATTTAAGTAATAAAACTCCTGTCTCCTGTTTAGCCAAGTCTGTGTGAACTAAACTCTTTCTGTATTGAAATTTTCCTGTCTTGATAAATCTGCTGTCTCTGTTGCAATTCCCCTCTATCTGGGCAGCGGGCAAGGAGAACCCATTGGGAGGTTACATTATTAAGTAAAATAAGAGTCAGTTGAACACAAACACTGTAATACCATGACAGTGGGTCTGATTAACTGAGACGACAACTAAGTGACTAAAGGGCAAGTAACACGGACAACAAGGAAACACTGGGCAAAGGGATGATTCAATTCCTGAGTGGGACAGACTGGGATGGCTTGAGATTTCATCATGCTACTTAGAATGGCATGCAATTTAAAACTTATGAATTATTTCTGGAAGTTTCCATTTAACGTATTTGGACTGTGGAAAGCAAGATGGTGGATAAAGGAGGACACTTGTAAATCAAGTTAAAGATAGGCAAAACATTGAACATACGCTTTCTCAAAAAATATGCAATTGGAATGAAAAGCATGAAAAGATGCTACACAGCATTTGCCATTAGGAAGTGCAAATTAAAACAAGTTACTACTACATTTATGGCAATGGCTAAGTTCCAAAAAAACGACCACACCATTTGATGAGAGGATGCAGAGCAACAGGGACTCTCATTCATTTTTGGCAGGAATGCAAAATGGCACAACCACTTCAGAAGACAATCTGGCAGCCTCTCACAAAGCTAAACATAGCATTACCATATGATCCAGCAATCACACTCCTAGGTATTTAGCCAACTGTTTTGAAAACTGAAGTCCACACACACAGTCTGCACATGAATGGTAACATATGCTTTGCTCCTACTCGAGAAAAACTGTCAGCAACCAAGATGTCCTTCAGTAGGTGAACGATGCATTGTGGTACATCCACATAATGGAATACTATTCAGCAATCAAATGAAATGGGCTATCAAGGCCTGCAAAAACATGGAGGAAGTTTAAATGTGTATTACTAAGAGAAAGACGCCACTCTGAAAACACTACGTACTGCACAATCCAATTTATATAACATTCTGGAAAAGGCAAAATGATAGAGACTCAATGGTTGCCAGGGGTTTGGGGACATGGAGGGTTGAATAGGTAAGTGCAGAGGATTTCTTTTGAGGGTAGTTAAAGGATCCTGTGTGATAATTGTCATAATGGATACGTGGCACTTTCCGTTTGTCAAAACCCATAGACCAATACCACACCACCCTTCCAACCCCACATTCACAGTCAACAGCAATGACTGCAGGAAAACCCGTCCTGCCCCGTGAGCATTTTGTGATTTGAGAGAGAGTAGTCCCAGAACAGAGGCAGTGGATTCATTCTCGAGTGCTCACACTCTCTACCCCAAAAGCTTCCATTCGGTTGCCACCACCATTATTTCCAAAAGGGAAACTTGCAGATTCCCCTTTATTGAGGCCCAACGTAAACATGTAGATTTCTGTAGTTGCTCAGCCTCCCACCACTGCTCCAGGCTGGCAAAGCTCGGGGGTCTCAGAGGGTTAACCAAGGGGAGGGTCCACAGGAAGCAGTGTTCAGATTTATCTGCACCCCACACCCCCAAGCCTTTAATTACGCCTTGTGAAACATCACTTTACCTTTTATTCCACATCATAATTCCCAAATGATCAGGGTATTTTATTTTACATCTAAATTTGGGATACTCATAGCCCATCTCAAAATCCCAGCCCGCCAGCTACGTCAATAGGAAAGCGCACGCAAGAGCTGCGCAATTCTGGTGAAGTGTTTACATCTGCAGCAATAAGTGAGAAATGGTTTATTAATAATCATGGCGTCATTGAGAGGGAGGGAGAAGCCGGGAGATAAAGACAAACGCACAACCTCCTCCGCTCTTCTCCAAACCACCCCACCACCAAGTTCCCAGTGCTGACGCAGGAGCACAAAGACCCTGCAATGCAGCAAGAGGGAGTGCGCATGCTCCCAGAGGACCCCTCCCAGGACGCAGACACAAGCCCCCCCACCCTCCCCTTTGGCTGCTATGGACACAAGTGACTCACGAAGAGATTTGTTCTCAAAAACACAGCATTTTTACTCATAGGCCTGAAATCAGCTTTTACTCAAGAATCCCAATTTCAAACATCCAAGCCTTACTACATTGAAAAATATAGCAAATGTCTAACAAAACTGTCCCTTCCAGCAGATTGTAATCAACTTTGTCATCAAAAGGACAAAAAATAAAAACCTGCACAGATATAGCACAGGGCAGACCGAAACTTCAGCTATTGTGGGCTCTCCTTGGATGATCATGTAGAATATCATCAGTACCCTGTACCAGCCCTGAGCTAGGCATGCTTCTGGGGTCAGAAAGTTAATGTGGGCAAAAGGCTTTCATTGAGCACAATTTGCATTTCTGACATTAGGGCCTCCTAAGGCTATGTTTTTTCTTTTCTTTATTTTTTATTTTATTTTTTGAGCTGTTATTGAAGTCACCCTTGACTCTATCAAGTTCTTAACTCACCTCTTGTCGAATTCCATCTGCCTTTTAATTCCACATCTTAAACCACAGATGATCAGGACTTCTCCATTCATCCACACCTGAATCGAAGGCCCCAATATTCCATCCCAAATGTCCACACCCACAGTTGTATTTGGATGGGGAGCAGATAGGCATAAAGGCAATTTATTTGGAGGCACTGAAGTCTGCCTTCATAGGAACAGAACAGAAAATGGCTGATGAACGGCTGTCAGCCCACAAGAGAGGATGTCAGGTTAGAAGGGTCGGCAGCGCATTAGCCCTCTGTTTCTCCCTGCTATTCCCACCCCTGCTTCTGCTGTGACCCTAAAAGAGACACAAACACAATGAAGAACTTGCCAGGCATCAAAGAAGAGAGTGCAAGGCCGGAAGCCCCCTCCTCTCAACGGGAGGGCTCACGGCTTGCCCCTCCCTCCCTCCTACACACTCCCCCTCCCAGCTGTTGGTCCACACATTTTTTTGCAGAAACAAAGCTCTCACAGACACAGACCAGCATACCAGGTTTCCCGAGAATCCCCCCAATCTCAAACAGTCTGCTCTGAGTCTTGTTAAACAGTGAAGACATCACGTCCGAAGTGCACCCCTGCCAGTGAGTGGCAACAGAATATTGGGTTTGGGAGATGTGGGACAATGAATGTGTCTGCCAGTATTGCAGAAATCTTGATTGAGCTACCTGAGGCTTTATTGATTTATTCATTCAGTCTTGACAGAGACTTAGCTCTCCTTCACACTCTTAACTCACGTTGTCCAGCCCCAGCTTCCTGTGATTTCCTGTCTGAAACCAGAGGCTCTCGAGAATTTTTGTGAACCTTTTGTTCTACACATGAACCAGAGATCTCTTTAGAACTTTCTGCAGCAAATTAGCAAATCAAGGCAACTTAAGTGGAGGCAATTTAAGTCTGAACAGTTAAAGAATATAAAATAGATGATTAGGGCTCTTGAGCCCAAAGAGAAGAATAGGCTGCAAGGGTTAGAACAGAGAAGCAGCACAGCCAGCATCTCCCCAGCCCCCAACCACTCCCCTCCCCCAGCCTCTCTATGAATGAGGAAGAGAACAGAGGCACAAAGAGGACCCCTCGGTATACAAAGCCCACTGTGGAGACCCCTCGATGCACAAAGAGGGCATCCCTTTTTCTGTATTCCCCACACTGCACTCCGTGCTGCCTCTCACGTACAACCTCTCCAATGCCCAGCCCGGACACCACATTATCTGAAGGGCCTTAATTTCAAGAGCTCTGCAGTAGTTTTATCTATGCGGGATGTCTTCTGAATCCCACGCAATAATTTTCTCTAGGACTGGAGTGTGAAATGAAAGCTATTAAGGAAATAGACGATTATGAAATGGAAGCAATTTTTCCAAACCAACAGTTATTCTTTTCAATTTCTGATACCACTTCAGCCCTCTGAGCCATCACTACGCAGGTTGTCTAATTAAAACTTCCTTTCCTCTTTTTGCATTGTCTCTAACATATCTCCTACATGGTGCCCAATTAATCCGCTCTGGTGCACAGTACCCACAAATATCTGTAGGTATCAACCAGAGAAACCCAAGAAGTCAATAATGTGAGGCCACAATCAGGCTGTTCTGTGGAGACACCATACAATTTGCCCATCACAACCCTAAACTCAGAGGGAAAGAAAAAGGGGAAGATCAGGGAGGGTTTAAAAAAAAAGACAAAAACACACAAGCCAACATCCCCCCATCTCTCTGCGCCCCATCCCTTCTTCTGAGAGAAGAGAGCTGAGAGACAAAGGGGTGGCCAGTGCTCCTAGCAGAATCTCCTGAGGGCAGAGGGTCCCCCTTTTGTCCCTCTCTCCTCCCTTACATTCTCCTTCCCAGCTCTTTGACACTAGCTGGCTTTGTCTTCTGGAATAAAGCCTGTACAAAATGAGCTATTATACCAGATTCCCCTCAGACGACCCCAGCCCTCATTTCAAACGCTGTTGCCTTGCACCTGGGCCACAGGACTGAACATTAGTGCTGCATCCTTTCCCAGCACTTCAGGAATAAATAGTGCATGCAGGAGACCAAAGCATAAATGTAGGAGGCTAAGGCATTGCTACCTGTTTTCTTCTTGCAGGCTTTATGATGCTTTATCACTCTGTCAAGCTCTGAACCCACTCTTTGTCAAACCCCTGCAACCTTTCCATTCTGTGTAAAATAACACACACAATGAGGGCTTAATCTTTCCTTGTACACCTATATCAGGGACCTTACTTGTCTATTCCAAATTCTAAGGACCTGCAGTTACTTGCAGGAAGATTAGTGAGATGAAAGAATGAGGTCATTCTTGAGCAGTAAGCCTTGGGCTGGACTCATCAATAAAATACCAAAAAGCAGCTCATCCAATGCAGGGAGCTCAGACACAGGGAGAGGAAGGCAGGTAGAGACAGGCACAGTCCATCAAGCACCTCTGCTGCTGCAATCCCAGGCGCTTTGGGGAGAGCAACCTGAAGGAAACAGTTGCATGAAGCAGCACAAGGAGGCGCCAGGAATCCTCCTCCATTACACAGGGATAAAGACTGGCCATTTGCTTCCACAAGCCCCGCCAAAGCTACACCACCATGCAGTTCCCTGTGGACAACAATTCCGCTGTTGAGCAGAATTGAGCCATTAATGCAAAGCCATGCTTATGTTTAATTTCCAACCATTCATTAACTGTGTATCTCCAAAATCTCAGTTCCAAGCATCCCGATTTCCAACCTCCACTTCCCACTCACGTGCCTGAGAAAATCAGTGTAAGCAATACTTTGATACCTACTAAATTCCTGTTCTTTGAGCATTTATTTTTATCTTGTTTTCACTTCTTCCTAGCTTCACCTCTCTTCCTACTCCATACATATCACTTCAGCCCAGTGCATCCACATATGGTCTCTCCCTCCTGTTTTCTGTTTATCCCAGCCCTGAAACTCAGACAGGCTGAAGAAAAGCAGGCAACTCTGCATGTGTTTTAAGTTTGCGTAACTTTTTCTATTGCAATAAAATACACATAATATAAAATTACCATTGTAACCACTTTTACGTGTACATTTTATTGGCATTAAGCACGTATATACTGTTAATGCATCTTCAGATGTGTAGCTTCCATCATCTTCAGAACACATTTCATCTTGTAAAACTGAAACTCTGTACCCATTAAACAATAACTCCCCATTCTCTTCTCCCCATAGTCCTTGACAGCCACCATTCTATTTTCTGTTTCTATGACTTTGTCAGAGTACTCTAAAGTACCTCCTTAAACAGAATGAGACAATATTTGTCTTTTTGTGACTGGCTTATTTCACTTAGTGTAATGCCCTTGAGGCTCATCAATGTTGTACCATACTTCAGCATTTTCCTCCTTTTTAAGCTTGAATGGTATTCCAGCGTATGTATACACCATATTTTATTTATCTATTTGGCTTTCTGTGTACACTTGGGTTGCTTCCATATTTAAGAGATTGTGAATAACACTGCTATGACCACGGGTGTACCAGTATATTTTTGAGAGCATGCTTTTAGTTCTTTTGGGCATATGCCAAGAAGGGGAATTACTTGATGACGTGTAATCTTATTTTTATTTTTTGATGAACTGCTGGACTGCTCTCCACAGCAGCTGTACCATTTTACATTCCCACCAACGCTGTGCAAGGCTTCCACGTCTCAACATTTTCACCAACACTTTTCTGTTTTTTTAATTTTATAGTAGTCATCCTAATGGGTATAACGTGGTATTTTATTGTAGTTTTAGTTTGCATTTCGCCAATTAGTGATGTTCAACTGTGGTTTTTAACTTCACTTTTAAATTATAATCACAGACTTCTGCAGGGGTTCTGACAGAGTGAATAATTCTGGACATGTACTACTCCCTTTTAAAAACAAGAACTTTGGTCAAAATGTATGAAACAATGGGTCTCAGACATTGAACAACAATTTTCAATATATGTAAGAGGATTGAAATCCTACAAAGCATGTTTTCCAATATAAACAGTATTAAACTGAAAATTAGTATAAGAAAGAAGTGTTGAAATCCTCCTCAATATTTGGATATTTTACAACAAAGTGTGAATGACCCATGTGTCAAAAAGGAAAACAAGAGAAAAAGAAAGGTAAGATGATACGGGTAAGAATTGTAACAACCTCCCCCATTTCTTTTTGCCCAGATCCCTCAGAAAAGCAGAGGAATCTACCAAGTGGAAGCCCCCTTTTGGCCTTTCTGATGGTGTGCACTTTATCAAAGTATATAAGCTAGCCCTTCACCCTCATCTTCTCTCATTTTAGACAACACCTTTCAAATTCCTGTTCCAAGTACTCCAACAGGTGATATGTACATTTGATGTGAAATATTTTTAACTGTTGGGCACCATGGGCTGTAAGCATGTTCCCTGTTCTGAAAAAAAGTAACTTAGTAGTCCACATTGGTATAGTACTTTGATTTCATACAAGTGTTTGGAGCATTTGCATCCACCACTAGGCTGTATGCAAAGCACACTTGAGTCTCTATTCCTTTCAGGACTCTTACATAGTCCCCTGGAACTACAGTGTGGTAAGACATAGTCTTGCTTGCCAGCTATGTGTGAGACCTTCCCTTACCCCCGACCACCAGGGAATCTACCCCATAGCCATCTACAGTCTTGGTCTATCTTGCCGCTAGACAGAAAAGTTTTCGTTGTCATTTTGTGCCTCGAAGAGTGCAAGAGATGTGTATCAATGATCAGACTATCCATCCCATCTTGTAGCTCCCCTTGTCCACTCATTTCACCCACCAAAGCGGCTAACTCAAGTGAGCCTGCCAGGAAGTCCACTAGTTGGTTCCAATTACCTTTCGATCATGAAGGGGAATTCTTCTCATGGGCATGAATATGTGTCACTTTAACGTGTCCCTTAAATTCACAGAGTGATTTCTATGGAATCACGCCCCATACAAGAATCCCTTTAATAATTCAGTTCTGCATTGCCCATCTTCCTGAACATATGGTAAGGCCAATGCCACTGATAAGTGGGTAAAGACCTAAATATTAAGGTTCTTGCTATTGTTCAACTATTTCATCTCTACAAAAAAAAAAAAAAACATGAAATTATGACTACTCACCTGCTTTGTTCTTATCGTCAATCAGGGTTTTTTCAACAGTTGGTCATAGTGTGGCAGCCTTCCAAACAGGATATTGTCCATTCACCTTGGAACGACCATTTGTAAACGAAATAGGTTTCTGTTGGCCAATCAAGTGCTGTTTACTGTGTGTCCAGAATTGGTTCCTTCCAGTGGGTTCTTTCTCTCGCTGACTTCAAGAATGAGGCCACAGACCCTCGCGCTGAGTGGTACAGTTCTTAAACACGGCATGTCCGGAGTTTGTTCCTTCAGATGTTCAGGTGTGTCCAATGTTTCTTCCTTCTGGTGGTTTCGTGGTCTCATTGACTTCAGGAGAGAAGCCACACACCTTCACAGTGAGTGTTACAGCTCTTAAAAGTAGTGTGGACCCAAAGGGTGAGCTACACCAAGATTTATCACGAAGAGCGAAGGAACAAAGCTTCCATCCGTTGACGGTAACCCCAGCGGCTTGTCAGGGCTGGCTCAGGTGGCCAGCTTTTATTCCCTTATTTGGCCCCACCCACATCCTGCTGATTGGTCCATTTTACAGAGGGCTGATTGGTCCATTTTACAGAGTGCTGATTGGTCCATTTTTACAGAGTGCTGATTGGTGTATTTACAAACCTTTAGCTAGACACAGAGTGCTCACTGGTGCATTTACAATCCTTTAGCTAGACAGAAAAGTTCTCCAAGTTTCCACTCCACCCAGAAGCCCATCCGGCTTCACCTCTCAATAGGGCACCACTCATGTGGCAATAAAATCTGGCAGCTCCTTAGTTGTTCCAAATTTGGCCCTAGAGGAAAACAGGCTACATGTCCATGAATCTGATGAGTAGTGCCTTCTTGTATTCTTCTGAATGCATAAACCTGTTTCAATCAGTTTCATTTTATTATGGAGCTCTTCTGGGCACTCTCTTCCGTGTTAGACCATTTCCCTGATGTTATCCAAGACATTACGGTATTTCAAGTTTCAAGATTATTTTATGCCCCTTATTCATAGAGGGTGGCTCCAATTGATGTCTAATAGCAAGCCAATAATTGTCTCTCAAATGGTGTTAATGTATCATTATGTGTGGAAATTTTATGGCCCCAAATCCTAACAATCACTGGTGAGTGACACCAACAGGCTTTGGCCATAAACTCTAGTCTGCATGAATGCAAGTTGTAGATACTTCCAAAATTATATCTGAATGCAGATCATAAGGTTCCAAAGGGATTGTGTGAACCACCATTTTTGCAGTTCATACATACCTACTATTGTTTGGTTCCCAATTTCAAATTTTTCCTTTCTGGGGTAATTTTATGTATAAGAGCTAGCAATATTCTTGGATTGCAACATGCATCATCCAATATCCAAACAACCCAACCAGATGTTGTGCTTATTCCTTAATTACAGCAGGTAGACAGTGACAAGGGTATCGTTTGGATGTTTCACCCCTCCAAACCTCACGTTGATATTTGTTTCCCAGTGTTGGAGGTGGGGCCTAATGGCAGGTGTTCAGGCTATGGAGTGGATCCCTCATGAATACCGCAATGCCCTCCCTAGGGGTGAGTGAGTTCTCGCTTTATTAGTTCCCAGGAAAGCTAGTTGTTAAAAAGAGCTGGACATCTCCCCTGACCACCCCTTGGCTTCTCTGTTGCCATGTAATCTCTGCACACGCTGGTTCCAATTTGTCTTCCACCATGAATGGAAGCAGCCTCAAGCCCATACCCAGAAGCAAATGCTGGCACCATGCTTCCTGTATGTCTTGCAGAACTGTGAGCCAAATAAACCTCTTTTCTTTACAAATTACTCAGCCTTGAGTATTCCTTTGTAGCAACACACATACACACACAAAAACACAGACAATATATTATTTTTTGTTGCCTGTGGTATGCCACAGGTGGCCCCTGCTAAGGTTATTCTTAAGAATTTCATGACTCAGGCAGGCCCTTTGATTTTTGCTGGATTTATCAACCATCCTATGTTAGTCATGCATGCCACCACTGTATTTAGTCAGTCCTACCTTCTTTGGTTTCAAATATTATCACGATATCATCAGTGTGTTTTATCATCATGCTTAGGATCTGTATCAAGTCCCAGGTGTCTTTTAGCCAAATTAAATGAGCAATCTTGTAAATTTCCATAACCCTGTGGCAAAACAATACATGCAAATTGGATCCTCATTTTCACATGAAGGAAAACTGTGATTGACTCTTTCTGAGATTGGAAGTAAAAACAAATCTTAAAAATCAATCACTGAGGGCCAGGCATGGTGGTTCATGCTTGTAATCCAAACACTTTGGGAGGCCGAGGTGGGTGGATCACTTGAAGCCAGGAGTTTGAGACCAGCCTGGCCAACATGGTGAAGCCCTGTCTCTACTAAAATACAAAAATTAGCTGCGTGTGGTAACAGGTACCTGAAATCCCTGCTACTTGGGAAGCTGAGGCAGGAGAATCACTTGAACTCAGGAGGCAGAGGTTGCAGTGAGCCAAGGTTGCACCACTGCACTAGAGCCTGGGAGACACAGCAAGACTCTATCTCAAAAAAATAAATAATAAAATAAAAATAAAAATCGAGTACCAGTCTCTTTGGATGTGTATGTGTGGGTGTGTGTATGTGTGTGCACATGCATGTGTGTGTTGCCATTGAAACCATATCAGCGACTGCTAATATTGTAGGTAGTATTGCCTTATTCAAGCCTTGATAATCTATTGTTAGTTTCCATGAGCCTTCCAGTTTCTGGGAAACCATTCAGTATCCACATAGGGATACTGTATAGAGAATTTTTTGGTACCAGTTCTTCAGCTGCTAAAATGACATTAATTAAAATGGTAATCTCTGCTGGGTGCGGTGGCTCACACCTGTAATCCCAGCACTTTGGGAGGCCGAGGCCGGGGTGGGTGGATCATGAGGTCAGGAGATTGAGACCATCCTGGCTAACACGACGAAACCCCATCTCTGCTAAAAATACAAAAAAAAAAAAAAATAGACAGGTGTGGTGGCAGGCGCCTGTAGTCCCAGCTACTCGGAAGGCTGAGACAGGAGAATGGCGTGAACCCAGGAGGCAGAGCTTACAGTGAGCCGAGATCGCGCCACTGCACTCCAGCCTGGGTGACAGAGTGAGACTCTGTCTCAAAAGAAAAAAAAAAAAAAAGTGGTAATCTCATTTTTTTCAACTAGTTTTTTACTCTTCCACATTTTTTACTCTTTCAAATTAACTACCCATGTGAGTTTAGACAGTTTTATTAGTTCTCATTTAGAAAATCTGATTAATACTGACTGAGGGGAGAACTTACATGCCTTCTGTATTACAATTCTAGATAGGGTAACTATCCTTTCAGTCAGATATGTTATTCACATCAATATTACATTCAGGTAAAGGAGATACAATCAGTTTTTCACATACAATCTGTTCATACTTCAATTTTTATTCAAACTTTTAACTTAACAGTATCAACTGCTGCATCCCCATATTTTCCCTAACTTTAACTTCTTGTGATAGTTCAACCATTGGTTTTGAAATCACAGTGCAGTAGGCTTTTGTGTCAAGGAGCCCCCAAATGAGCTCTTCTCCACCCCTTGGCCATTTTATCCACACATGGGTATATGGCTCCAATCCAAACCACAAGAGAGCTGCTCTACCCACATGAGCACTAACACTAGCATGGGCAGTGGACTGGAGACCTTGCAAGCGCATTACACCAGAAAAGGAACTTGTGTTGACTCACTCATACCCAGAGATCTAAGTGGCTTCAGCAGGGTGCCATAGTGAGAGCAAAGCCATTATGGGACTGTATTCTTTCCTGGGAACCACGGCTCCCATATATCCACATCCTGGATCTCCCACTGACATACTTCAGTGTCCACAGAGAGGACCTTAGTGGGCACAGCACTAACTGGACCCAAAGGTTCTGTAATTGCTGCGCTAACCCCAGTAATCTAGCTCACAGGGAGCACTACTCATGGGGGAAAGGATGGCACAGTGCATCAAAAAGATGGCCCCTGAGACAAAGAAAATCACAGTACACACTTTCCAGAGCATGAGCACTCCCTGTCTGGGTCTGTGAAAAGCGACTCCACCCCCAGTCATAGCACAAAGTCTGTTCTTGGCCTCACTGGCTGAGAGTGAGATCCCCTCCCACCAGCAGAGGACTCTTTGCTCAGGCTCATACATGGAGAGCAGGGTCCCTCCTCCTGCTCTGCACACTGCTGCACCTGAAGCTACTTCTGTGCTGCTGGAGGCTGGGACAAGCAAGCCACAGGGTTGCCTGTCTAGGGCTGTGAGTGGTGACTGCATCCCCACTGGCAGCATGGTGTCCATGCTCAGGATAACGTGTGAAGAACAGAGCCCCTCTCTGCTGTGTGTGGTGCTGTGGTGCTGTTGCCACCAAAAGCAGATTAACTTGAGAGCTGAACCTCTGGGGTTGTGGGCGGTGGCCCCAAATCACAGCCACTGCCAACACCAAGGCCACTCAAGACCCAAAGCATTTTCCAACTAGTGCTATTGACATTGCTCACAACACACCGACTTCCCAGAGACTCGAGAACCTGCTTATCTGCCAAGCCAATTGCCGCCACTACCAGCACCCAAGCAAGACACCAGGAGGCTGAAGAATTGGCCAACCTGGTCCTATTAATACCAGTGCAAGTATACCCAGTCCTGGTGCCCAAGAACAAGCATTTCGGCCCAATGCATGAAGACTGGCCCACCTGGCATCCTTGTTCCAACTCTCCACCCATGAGGCCAAGAAGAGGCTTTGTACTATGACTGGAGGTGGAGTCACTTTTCACAGACCCAGACAGGAAGTGCTCATGCTCTGGAAAGTATGTGTTATGATTTCCATTGTCTCAGGAGCCACCTTTTTGATGCACTGTGCCATCCTTTCCTCCAGGAGTAGTGCTCCCTATGAGTTAGATTACTGGGGACAGCACAGTGATAACTTACACTGGTAATCACACCTAAATCAGCAGGGAAATCACATATACCACCGACGCTGCTTACAGCCTAATAAATTATATGGAGACTATACTACAGTGTATACCTGGAATCAAATCTAGAGAGCCTACCCAACCAACACCATTGGTACATCTTCAGGAAGAAGTTCTTGCCTTTGAAGGCATATTCAAAAAATTGAAAGAAGTGACGATTACACCAGTTGCACAGATATCAATGTAAAAACATATGAAACATAAAAACGCAAGAAAATTTCCATTTAACCCTCAAAGGAACAGAGCAATTCTCCAGCAACAAATTCCAATCAAAAAGAAATTCACAAAATCCTAAACAAAAAAATAAAAAATTATGATAATAAAGAAGTTCAATGAGATACAAGAGAATTCCATAAAAACAATACAAAGAAATTGCAAAAAAAATCAGGATATGCACAATAAATTTATCATAGAGATAGATATCATGAAAAAGAAGCAAACAAATTCTGGGACTGAAGAATTCCTTAATTCTTTGTTGCCTGGGCAACAAAGCAAGACTCTGTCTCAAAAAAAATTAAAAAAAAGAAATGTGCAAGGGAGTCCTAAGCTTGGAAGTAAAAGGACAGCAGTTAGCATCATGAAAACACATGAAAATATAAAACTTACTGGTAAAGGAAATGCACAAATGAGGAAAAGAAATTATGCAAACTACCACAGACTCTCAGCAAACAAAAAGGACAATAAATAATAGAAAAGGAAAGAAACAAAAAATACAGAAAACAAATGGGAAAAAAGTAGCATTTTAACAGGAACAAAACCTCATGTCAATAATATCCTTAAATTTAAATAGATTAAATTCTCCACTTAAAAATATAGTCTGGCTGAATGGATTTTTTAAAAAGTTCCAATATATGCTGCCTATAAGAAATGCAGTATACCTCTAAAGACATAAATAAACTGAAAGTAAAGGCATGTAATAAGATGTCCCACACAAATGGAAACCAAAAGCCAGCAGGAATAGCTATACTTAGATAACAGGCTTTAAGTCAAAAACAGTAAACACACACACAAACATACCCACACAAAAAGTCATTATATAATTAAAGAATCAATGCATTAAGAGGATATGACAATTCTAAATATATTGAACACAACACTGGAATACTCAGATTCATAAAGCAAATATTACTAGAACTACACCTAAAAAGACATATAGACTCCAGTAAAATAATATTGGGGCACTTTTAACTCATTCTCAGCATTAGGCAGAAAATCAAGAATGAAACATCAGATGTAAACTGGACTTTAGTCCAAATATACCTTGCAGACATAAACAGAACATTTTATCCAAAAAAAAAAGGCAGAATATACATTCTTATAACTAGAGCATGGACAATTCTCCAGGATTGACCAAATATGCTCCTCCATACTATAGCATTAAAAATCAAGGCAACTGCTCCTGAGTTAGTCATGTCACAATTCATTTTAATAAAGGTTCTTCAAAAAGTTAGTTATATTGAGGTACAAAATGAGACAAATTCTTTGTACTGTAGTCTTTCCTTTCAGTTCCTTCTTAGGTTTGCTCCCTATCCCCAATCTGGACTACCATCTTGCTAATCAGAGGTCATAGAGGTGATATTTGCTGTTCCGGAATAGTTTTTCCTTGGAAGCAACAATAAAGCTAGTGGCAATAGCTAGGACTGGCCACAATCCAAGCTTGGTGCAGGTCCAGGATCTGCTGAAACACTCCTCTTTTATTTTAGCTATCTTAGATAAAAATGGCCACATAATAGTATATGTAGCATGTATTTTCATTACTCTACATTTCTCTAGGGATCCAGTGAGCCAACTCTTAAATAGTTGGTTGTATCATTTCTAAATCATCTTGGTAAAAGTTTACCTCCAATTACCAATCACAATGCAGCTTCTGTATCTTACAGTGGGTGACGTGATAGCCATCCATGCATCAGAAGTGTTTAATTTCCTGGCCTGTTATTTTTCCTTTAACCAAAAAAAAAAAAAAAGAAGAAGAAGAAGAATACATCCATCATATTTCAGTGGGTCAGAGTCAGCCTTGAGACTCCCCCATATGGAACCATCTCGTGAACTGGGTTACCAAGACCATCCTCGGGCTCCATGATTCACTAGAAGAACTCACAGAACTCAGAAAAGCTGTTACACTCACAGTTATGGTTTATTACAGTGAAAGGAAACATTAAAATCAGCCAAAGAAAACACACATGGAACAAAGTCCAGGATAAACCAGATGGAAGCTACCAGTTGTCCTCACCCAGTGGAGTCTCATGGTTGTACTTTATTCTCCCAGCAACAACATGTGATAACACATGTGACATGTTGTCACGGAGAAACACTCATGTAAGTATCAAGTCAAGGATTTTTATTGAGGGTCACTTCCATTGACATGCGGGACCTGCATGACTAATCATGGCTACTCAAACTACAGCTGCCCAGAGCACAATAAGACATTCACCATAAAACATGTTGTTAGCCTAACCAATCTAATCAAATTAGTATCGTGTGGTCTGAGGACTCAGGCCTTAGAAAAACACTCTTATCAGCTGGGCGCGGTGGCTCACGCCTGTAATCCCAGCATGTTGGGAGGCTGAGGCGGGTGGATTACAAGGTCAGGAGATCGAGACCATACTGGCTAACACGGTGAAACCCCGTCTCTACTACAAAACACAAAAAATTAGCCAGGAGTGGTGGCGGGCACCTGTAGTCCCGGCTACTTGGAAGGCTGAGGCAGGAGAATGGTGTGAACCCGGGAGGTGGAGCTTGCAGTGAGCTGAGATAGTGCCACTGCACTCCAGCCTGGGCGACAGAGTGAGACTCCATCTCAAAAAAAAAAGAAAAAAGAGAAAAAGAAAAACACTCTTATTAGGCAGAGCGCTGCAAAGACTTAGAGAGCTCATCTCCCATGATCAGGCTGTGGGGCAGTTCAGAAAGCCTAGCCTTTCTTGGAAATATTCAGAGTTGAGCAGCCCAGGCATAATGGGTTAACCTTTTCCTGCACACACCCTAATAGTTTTATGAATGCATCATTACCTCAATATAAAAATCAGACCTTACAGAAATGTAAAAGTAAAGAAAATTGCACAGCAGCTTTTCTCATGAACATGCAAGCAAAATATTTAATAAAATATTACTTAATTTAATTCATAAATATTTCAAATTTCTAACATACCAGGACTAAGTAGGATTTACCTCCAAAACGTAAGGTGATTTTCACACCTAAAAATAAATAAATGTAATTTACCACATAACAATAATATATAATGAATGAAAAAATAGAATCATATCAGTAAATGCGGAAAATTTATTTGACATATCCAAAGTCATTTTTGATCAAACCTGTTAACAAGTTAGGAGTAAAAGAGGACTTCTTTAACCTGATAAAAACCACCTATGAAAAACCTGCTGATAGCATCATACCTAATAAAGACTTAATGTTTTCCCCTTAAGATGAGAAATACAACAAGGGTGTCCTTTCTCACCTACAGTTAGTCTATATTGTAGTCAAGGTCCTAGTCACTGCAATCAAGCAAAAAAAAAAAGTCATAACGATTAGAATATAAGGGGTAAAACTGCCTTTATGTTTACATAAAATGTTTATCTCTGTAGAGAATCTTCCTCTAAGGAATGTACAAAAACTAATAAAATTAATAAGTGAGTTTAACAAGCCACATAATCCAAAAATGTTTAAAAATAAAGTTTATATCTATACGTTACCATTGAAAAATTGGAAAGTATAATTTAAATATAATTTAGAATGGCATTAAATATATATGTATATATTTAAAATCCTTAGTAGCAAATTTAACAAGGTATGTGCAAGAGTTCTGTGCTGAAAACTGCAACATATTGCTGAGATAAACTAAGAATTACCTACATAAGTTAATGGATGTGAAGACTAAGTTTTACTAAAATGTCACTTCTCGGAAATAGATCTGTAGATACAATGTAATGTCTCTACTAAAATGATTATAAATCTGTGTTGATGATATTGCAATGTATAAATATGTAATTTGTATGATAATAACAGCATTAATTAGGGGGAGGGAACAGATCCATAAAGTAGCAAAGTTCTTGCATACAATTGAAATTAAGTTGGTTTTAATCTACAATAGATTTTGATAAATTAAGCTGTTAATTATAATTCTCAAGGGTACCATTAAGAAAACAATTGAATCACGAGGTCAAGAAATCAAGACCATCCTAGCCAACATGGTGAAACCCCGTCTCTACTAAAAATACAGAATTTAGCTGGGTGCGGTGGTGTGTGCCTGTAATCCCAGTTACTCAGGAGGCTGAGGCAGGAGAATCGCTTGAACCCAGGAGGTGGAGGTTGAAGTCAGCCGAGATGGCGCCACTGCACTCCAGCCTGGCAATGGAGCAAGACTTCATCTCAAATAATAATAATAATAGTTTAAATATATATTGTCAAAGAAAAGATAAAATAGATTAAAGACTTAACTGTATGTCCTGAAACAATGAAACTACTAGAAGAAAACATTAGGCACTTTGGGAGGCCAAGGTGGGTGGATCACCTGAGGTCAGGAATTCAAGACCAGCCTGGCCAACATGGCAAAACCTTGTCTCTACTAAAAATACAAAAATTAGCAGGGTGTGGTGGCACGCCCCTGTAATCCTAGATACTTGGAAGGCTGAGGCAGGAGAATCACTTGAACCTGGGAAGCAGAGGTTACAGTGAGCTGAGATTACACCACTGCACTCCAGCCTGGGTTACAGAGTGAAACTCTGTCTCCAAAGAAAACAAAATTAGGGAAACACTCCAAGACATTAGTCTGGGCAAAATGTTCTTGAGGAATACCCCAAAAGTCCAGGCAACCAAAGCAAAAAATAGACAAATAAGATCATATAAAGCCAAAAAGCTTCTGCACAGCAAAGGAAACAATCAAAAAGTGAGGAATGGAATAAAATATTTCCAAGCAAGCCATCTGACAAGGGATTAATAACTAGAATATAAGGGTCTCAAACAACTCAATAGCAAACAAAAAAATTCTCTGATTAAAAACTAGACAAAAGATCTGAAAAGACACTTCTCAAAAGAAGACATACAAATGGCCAACAGTTATTTAAAAATGTTCATCATCACTAATCATGAAAGAAATGCAAAGCAAAATCACAATGAAATATCATCTTACCCCAGGTAAAATGGCTTTGTGTTCAAATAGACAGGCGATAATGAATACTGGCAAGGATGTGGGGAAAAGAGAATCTTCCTATAAAGTTGGTGGGAATGGGCCGGGCGCGGTGGCTCACGCCTGTAATCCCAGCACTTTGGGAGGCCGAGGCGGGCGGATCACGAGGTCAGGAGATCGAGACCATCCCAGCTAAAACGGTGAAACCCCGTCTCTACTAAAAATACAAAAAACTAGCCGGGCGTAGTGGCGGGCGCCTGTAGTCCCAGCTACTTGGGAGGCTGAGGCAGGAGAATGGCGTGAATCCGCGAGGCGGAGCTTGCAGTGAGCGGAGATCGCGCCACTGCACTCCAGCCTGGGCGACAGAGCGAGACTCCGTCTCAAAAAAAAAAAAAAAAAGTTGGTGGGAATGTAAATTAGTACAACCACTATAGAAAACAGTACAAATGTTGTTCTTCAGAAGACTAAAAATGGAACTAGCATATGATCCAGCAATCCAACTACTTGGTATATATCCAAAAGAAATCAAAGCAGTATATCAATGATATACCTGCACTCCTATGTTTATTGCTGCACTGTTGACAATAGCTAAGATATAGAATCAATCAAAGTATTCATCAATGGATGGATTTTAAAATGTGGTGCATATATACAATGAAATATTGTTCATCCATAAAAGAAGAATAAAATCTCATTTGCACCAACATGGATGGAACTGGAGGACATTATGTTAAATGAAATAAGCCAGGAACAGAAAGACAAATGTTGCATATTCTCACTCATACGTTGGAGATAAAAAAAAAATTTGAACACATCTTTGCTATTGTGAACAGTGCCGCAATAAACATACGTGTGCATGTGTCTTTATAGTAGATTTATAATCCTTTGGGTATATACCCAGTAATGGGATTTTTGGGTCAAATGGTATTTCTAGTTCTAGATCCTTGAGGAATTGCCATACTGTCCTCCACAACTGTTGAACCAATTTACACTCTCACCGACAGTGTAGAAGCACTCCCATGTCTCCACACCCTCTCCAGCACCTCCTGTCTCCTGACCCTTTAATGATCACCATTCCAACTGGCATGAGATGGCATCTCACAGTGGCTCTGAAACTGCACGTTCTGCACATGTACCCCAGAACTTAAAGTATAATAATAATAATATAGGATTAAGAAGTATTGGGGCCGGGCATGGTGGTTCACGCCTGTAGTCCCAGCACTTTGGGAGGCTGAAGTGGGTGGATCACGAGGTCCAGAGATGGAGACCATGCTGGCTAACACGGTGAAACCCCATCTTTACCAAAAACACACAAAAAAATTAGCCAGGCGTGGTGGCGGGTGCCTGTAATCCCAGCTACTCGGGAGGCTGAGGCAGGAGAATGGCGTGAACCCGGGAGGCAGAGCTTGCAGTGAGCCCAGATCGTGTCACCGCACTCCAGCCTGGGCGACAGAGCAAGACTACGTCTCCCAAAAAAAAAAAAAAAAAAAAAAAAAAAGAAGTATTGGAAGGTCACCTGAGGAGCTACACATAATACTTTAGATTACTTAAAATAGACACTGTCAGTACTACAGATAAATTAATGTAACATTTTTAAAGAAAAAAAATTTTTTTTTATCACATGGAGCTGAAGAGTAGAATGATGGTTACCAGAAGCTGGGAAGGAATAGGGAGAGGGGATAAAAAGGGTTACTGAATGGATACAAAAATATAATTAGATCAGAGGAATAACATCTAGTGTTCGGCATTACTATAGGATGATTATAGTTAACAACAATTTATTACATATTTCAAAATAACTAAAAGATTGGAATGTTCCTAATGCAAATAAATGGTACATTTTCTTTATCCATTCATCTGTTGATAGACACTTAGGTTGCTTCCAAATCTTACCCATTGTAAACAGTGCCGCAGCAAACATGGGAGTGCAGATATCTCTTCCATATACTGATTTCTTTTCTTTTTGGTATAAACCCAGCAGTGGGATTGCTGGATCATACGGCAGTTCTATTTTTAGTTTTTTGAGGAACCTCCAAACTGTTCTCCATAGTGGTTGCACTAATTTACATTCCCACAACCAGTGTACAAGCGTTCTCTCTTCTCCACATTTTTGCCATCATTTGTGATTGCCTGTCTTTTGGATATAAGTCATTTTAACTGGAGTGAGATTATATCTCATTGTAGTTTTGATTTGCATTTCACACTGCATGCCTGTATCAAAATATCTCATGTACCCCACAAATATATACACTTAGTATGTACCCTCAAAAATTTTAAAAATAAAAAAATGACTACTCGAGGTGATAGATACCCTAATTACCCTAATTTGAATAAGACACATTATATACTTGTATCAAAATTTCATTTGTAGACCATAAATATGTACAACTATTATGTATACATACAAAATTTAAAATAGAAAAGGCAAGGGAATTAAAATGGTATATTAGAAGTACATATTTAATGCAAAAGAGGTTTTACAAGTTTACAGGAGGAATAGAGGAAAAAGACACGAGACATATATAAATAAATAGCAAATGGGCAGTGACAAATTCTACATTATCAGTAATTCATGAAATGTGAATCAATTAAAAACTCAAATAAAGGGCAGATATTGGATAAATGAATAAAAATAATTACATGCTTTCTACAAGAGACATGCTTTAGATTCAAAAACACAAAGGATTTGGGTTGAAAAGAAAAGGATCAAAAAAGATACATCGAGCAAATAGTACCCAACAATAGAATGCTAAATAAATATTATAAAATTAACCTTTCAAATACAAATTATAATGAGAGAAAAATAAGGGTACTTTATAATAATAAATGTTCAATCTGTCACAAAGATATAACAATTATAAAGATACATTTATCTAACAATGGAGTTCCAAAATACATGAAGCGCAAACTGACTCAATTGAAAAGAGAAATATGTAACTCAGAGATAATGGTCAGAGACCTCAATACCCCACTTTCAGTAATGGACAGAACAATTAGACAGAAAATCAATAAGCGAATAGAGCACTTGAACAACACAATGAACCAAATAGATGTAGCACACATATTGAACACTCCACTGAACAATAACAGAATATCTATTCTTCTCAAGTGCACGTGGAACATTATTCAGGCACAGACCATATGTGAGGCCACAAAATGATGCTCAATAAATATAAAGCCTTATTAAAATCATACAAAGTATGTTCGCCAACAAAAGTGGAATGAATTTAGAAATCAAAGAAACAAGAAAATATGTGAAAGTTACAAATACATGAACACTAAACAACAAACTCCTAAATAAGTGATGTAAAAGAAAAAAAGAAAATTAGAAAATGCTTTGAAATGAAAATGAAAACACACAATACCAAAATGTAGGACATGCCACAAAATAGTGTTTAGTGGAAAATACGTACCTATAAATACCTATGTGAAAAAAGAAATTCTCAAATGAATAATTTCATCTTCCACCTTAAGATACTAGAATCGGCCTGGTGGGGTGGCTCACACCTGTAATCCCAGCAGTTTGGGAGGCTGAGGCAGGTGGATCACCTGAGGTCAGGAGTTCCAGACTGGCCTGGCCAACATGGTGAAACTCCGTCTCTACAAAACAATACAAAAATTAGCCGGGTGTGGTGGCGTGAGCCTGTAATCTCGGCTACTCAGGAGGCTGAGGCAGGAAAGTCGCTTGAACCTGAGAGGCAGAGGTTGCCGTGAGCCAAGATTGCACCATTGCACTCCAGCCTAGACAACAAGAGTAAAACTCTGTCTCAAAAAAAAAAAAAAAAAGATACTAGAACTAAAGAAAAACAAACTAAAGGCAAAATGTGCAGAAGGAAGTAAATAATAAAGATTAACATGGAAATAAACTATAGAACAGAAAAACAATAGAGCTTATCAAACAAACCAAAATTGGTTTCTGAAAAAATCAAACTTGACAATATTTAGCTAGACTAAGAAAAGAGATGACTCGAATTATTAAAATAAGAAATTATAAGAAATACCTTAAAAAATAAGGACTATATGGGAATACTATGACAAAGTCTACATCAACCTAGGTAACTTGGGTAAGATAAATTGCTAGAGACACACAAACTGCTGGAACTAACTAGAAACCTGGAAAATTTGAATAGACTTCTAAACAGTAAAGACGTTAATTAGTGATAATAATAAAACTTCCCCCAAACAGAAAACCAGGACCAAATATATAGTCAAGAATTCTACTAATGTTTAAAAAATTAATACCAATAAAGTCTTACAAAAATATAGAAGTAGAAACTCTTTGCAGCTCATCCTATGAGACCAGTGTTATGCTAATACTAAAACTAGATAGACATCACAAGAAATTAAAATTGTAGACCAATATATTTTACAAATGGAGAAGTAGAAATCCTCAACAAAATTCTAGGAAGCCAAATCCAGCAACACATAAAATGATTATACGACACGACCAAACAACATTTATCACAATAATGCAAGAGTGGCTCAACACAGACAAATCAATGTAATTCACCATATTCATAGAATAAAGGACAAGATCACATGATACAGAACCATCATTTGACAAAATGCAACACAAATTCATGATAAAAACAGTAAAGAAATTTGGTAAAAATGGAGCTTCTTGAAGCTGATAAATGGCATCTATGAAAAGTCACAGCTACCACCACCAAGACTAAATATTTTTCCCTAAAAATCAGAAAATATACAAGGGATATGCTCTCACCCTTTATATTCATATTGCACTGGAGGTTCTAGCCAGGGAAAGTTGGCAGGAAATTCAATGAAATTCATATATATTGAAAAGGAGGACATAAAACTATTTCTAAGTGTAGATTGCACGGTATCATATACAGAAATTCCTAATGATCCTACAAAAATATTAGAGATGATTTACTAGAGCAAGTTTGCAAACTGCAAAAGATCAATATTAAAAAAAACAGTTATATATAATAAACAATCCAGAGAGGAAATTAAGAAAACAATTATATTTACAATGTCAAAAATAAATACTTACGAATAAATTTAACAGAAGAAGTACACCACTTGCATGCTGAAAACTACAAAACATCATTAAAAGAAATTCAGAAGAATAGCATTGATTTTGTAAATTGTTTTTGACAGTATAGCCATTTTAATGATATTGATTCTTCTAATACATGAACATAGAATATTTTTTCTATTTGTTTTTGTCATCTCTGATTTCTTTCAACATTGTTTTGTAATTCTCCTTGTAGAAATCTTTCACTTCCTTGGTTACCTGTATTCCTAGGTTTTTTTGTGTGTGGCTATTATAAATGGGATTGCATTCTTGTTAACTACCACTGGATTCAGCAATCCCACTCCTGGGTACATATCCAGAGGAAAATGAGTCAGCCTACCAAAAATACACTTGCACCTGTATGTCCATCACAGTGCTATTCAAAATAGCAGAAATGGAATCAACCCAGGTGCCTATCAGTGGTGGATTGGATAAAGAAAATGTAGCATATATACATCATGGAATACTATACAGCCATAAAAGAAGAATGAAATTTGCAGAAACATGGATGCAACTGGAAACCATTATTGTAACCATTTCCAGAAACAGAAAACCAACCAGCACGTGTTTTCAATTATAAGTAGGAGCTAAATAATGGGTACATATAGTCATAAACATGGGAATGATAGATACTGGGGAATACAAGATGGAGGAGGGAGGGGTTAAGTATTGAAAAAACCTACGTATTGCGTACTGTGCTTACGACCCGGATGATTGATTCATTCATACCAAACTTCAGCGTCACAAAATATTTTCCTTTGTGGCAAACCTGCACATTTACCCCCAATTCTAAAATAAAATCTGAAAAAAGAAATTGACAAATATTTAACTAAATGGAAAGATAATCCATGTTCATTGATTGAAAAAATTCATATTTTTAAGATGCTGCTACGGTTTGAAGGTCTCCTCCCAAAGTTCATGTTTTGAAAACTTAACCCCCAGTGAAATAGTGTTGGGATGGGCAATATAGTAAGAAACAAATGAATCATGAGTGTTCATCATCATTAATGGATTAATGTATTTATTGCAGGAGTGGGTTAGTTATCATGACAATGGATTGTTACACAGCAAGTCAGTCCCTGATGCTGTTTTCTCAGTCTTACGTTCTCACTTGCCCGTCCATCATGCTATGATGCAGCATAAAGGCCCTCAACAGGTGCCAATGCCATGCTCTTTGACTTCTCAGCCTCCAGAACTAAGAGCTGAATGAATTTCTTTCTTTGTAAATTACCCAGTCTGTGGTGCTCTGTTACAGCAACAGAAATTGACTAAAATAGATTAAAGCACTCCCCCAAATAAATCTTTAGATTCAACACAATCCCTACCAAAATCCATGCTGGCCTTTTTTTCTCACAAATTGACAGGCTAATTCTTTTCTCACAAATTGACAGGCTAATTCAAAGTTCTTATAGAAGGAGCTGATAATAGCCAAAAAATCCTGAAAAGCAACAAAATTGAAGGACTCACATTTTCTAATACTAAAATTTTCTACATGGTAATCAATAGACCGTAGTATTCACATGAGTGTAGACAAAGACCTGAGGGAACAGAAATAAACTTACGATCTGAGGACAATTTATTTGTAACACAAGTTCCAAAACAATTCAATGGGTTAAATAATAGTGTTTTCAAAAAGTTGTTCCAGAAAACTGTATATTCAGATGAAAAAGAATAAAATTGGAGCTCTCAATCAACTGAATCTTGACCAAACAATAAATATAACCACTAAGAGATAAATCTCAAAACAAAACAATCCTCAACCTAAAATAAATAATAAATAAATAAATAAATAATAGAAGAAAAAGTAGCTGTAAATCTTCATTTTCTTGGATTAGGCAAGGTCACATGTGGTCATAGGTCACAGATATGACATCAAAAGCACAAGTGACAAAAAAGGATAAATTAAACATCATGAACTTGTGATTTTAAATGCACTATCAGGCTGAGAGTGGTGGCTCGCCCTTGTAATCTCAGCACTTTGGGAGGCCGAAGTGGGAGGGTTCTTGGTGGAGGAGGGAATTAGTAGTGACTGATAATGGGTATGTGCTTTTTTTTTTTTTTTTCTTTTGAGACAGAATCTTACTCTGTAGCCCAGGCTGGAGTGCAGTGGGGCCGTCTCAGCTCACAGCAATCTCCGTCTCCCAGTTTCAAATGATTCTCCTGCCTCAGCCTCTGGAGTAGCTGGGACTACAGGCAGGCGCCACCACCCTCGGCTGATTTTTGTATTTTTAGTGGAGACGGGCTTTTGCCATGTTGCCCAGGCTGGTCTCGAACTCCCGACCTCAGGTGATCCACCCATCTTGGCCTCCCAAAGTGTTGGCATTACAGGCTTGAGCCACCACGCCCAGCCATGTGTGTGTGCTTTCATTCTGGGGTAATGAAAATGTTCTGGAACTAGACAGTAGTGATGGTTGTACGAATTTGCAAATATATTAAAAACCACTGAATTGTACACTCTAAAAGGATAATTGTTATAGTATTTGAGTCATATCTCAATAAAAAAGAGTATGTGATAGTGGCAGAAGGATAGATGATTGGTTGATCAAACACAATAGAGAACTTAAAAACATACCCCCTCATCACTGTGGCCATATTTGACAAAAGAGCAAAAGTAATTCAATGGAAAAATAGAAGTCTTTTCAACAAATAGTATGAGAGCAATTGAACATCCATAGATGGAACAATGAACCTTGATCTAACTCACAATTTATCCAAAAATGACATCATAATGGACTGCAGAATTAAAAGTAAGTGTAAAATTTTAGAAAAAGCATAGGAGAAAATTTTCAGAATATCCAACTAGAAAAAGAGTTCTTAAACCAAAAGCAAAATCTATAAAAGGAGAAATTATGTGAAATTTTATTAAAATTATAATTATCATTATTTTTGCTCTGTGAATGGCCCTGTTAAGAGCATAAACAGACTACAAAACAGACAGGGCAAAAATATTTGTAAACAACATGTCCGACAAAAGATTCATATCAAGAATATATATAAAGTCAGGAAACAACAGGTGCTGGAGAGGATGTGGAGAAATAGGAACACGTTTACACTGTTGGTGGGACTGTAAACTAGTTCAACCATTGTGGAAGTCAGTGTGGCAATTCCTCAGGGATCTAGAACTGGAAATACCACTTGACCCAGCCATCCCATTACTGGGTATATACCCAAAGGACTATAAATCATGCTGCTATAAAGACACATGCACACATATGTTTATTGTGGCATTATTCACAATAGCAAAGACTTGGAACCAACCCAAATGTCCAACAATGATAGACTGGATTAAGAAAATGTGGCACATATACACCATGGAATACTATGCAGCCATAAAAAATGATGAGTTCATGTCCTTTGTAGGGACATGGATGAAATTGGAAATCATCATTCTCAGTAAACTATCACAAGAACAAAAAACCAAACACCGCATATTCTCACTCATAGGTGGGAACTGAACAATGAGAACACATGGACACAGGAAGGGGAACATCACACTCTGGGGACTGTTGTGGGGTGGGGGGAGGCGGGAGGGATAGCATTGGGAGATATACCTAATGCTAGATGATGAGTTAGTGGGTGCAGCGCACCAGCATGGCACATGTATACATATGTAACTAACCTGCACAATGTGCACATGTACCCTAAAACTTAAAGTATAATAATAAAAAAAAGACAAAAATATATATATATAAAGAACTCTCAAAATTCAAAAGTAAAAACAAAAAATAAGAAAAAATGCCCAAAATACATGAAGAGACATTTCACTAAAGAAGGTATATAGATAGAAAATAAGCACATAAAAAGATAGTTAGCATCATTACCTGTGAAGAAAATGCAAGTTAAAACCACAATGAGGCCGGGCATGGTGGCTCACACCTATAATCCCAGCACTTTGGAAGGCTGACAATTGCCTGAGCCCAGGAGTTGGAGAGCAGCCTGAGCAACATGATGAGATGCTATTTCTTTTTTTTTCTTTTTTTTTCTTTTTTTTTTCAGACGGAGTCTCGCTCTGTTGCCCAGGCTGGAGTGCAGTGGCGCGATCTCTGCTCACTGCAAGCTCCGCCTCCCGGGTTCACACCATTCTCCTGCCTCAGCCTCCCGAGTAGCTGGGACCACAGGCGCCCACCACCACACCCAGCTAATTTTTTGTATTTTTAGTAGAGACGGGGTTTCGAGATGCTATTTCTATAAAAAAATACAAAAATCAGTCAGGCATGGTGGTGTGCACCTGTAGTCCCAGCTACTCAGGAGCGACCAGCCTGGGCAACATCGTGAGATTGTGTCTCTACAAAAAGTAAAAAAATAAAATGAAATGCACTATCAAAAAGTGAACAGATGACCTGGGCATGGTGGCTTGTGCCTCTAATCACTTGAGAGGATCGCTTGAGCCTGGAAAGTCGAGTCCGCAGTGTGCCGTGATCGCGCCACTGCACTCCGGTCTGGGTGACAGTGAGTCTTTGTCTCAAAAACAAAACAAACATACAAACGAAAAAACACAATTGGATACCATGACACATTTGTTCAAAATTGCGAAGAAAAAAGTGACAATGCAAAATGCAGAGAAACTGAATCATTGTCCCATGCTGTTAGGAAAAAAATACATACAGCAGCCCCTAAACATAGAACTACCATATAATCTAGGCATTATACTCTTGGTAAGTTATCCCTAGAGAGATGAAGACTTCGGGTTTGCACCAAAACTTATCCATGAATGTTTATAGCATATTTATTCATAATAAGTCCCAGACTTAAAACAAGCCAAATACCTTCAACTGGTGCCTGATTAAACCAACCATGGTACCTGCACTTCCTGAACTATTCAGCAGTTAAAAGGAATCAAGTATTGATACATACAACAGCCAGCATGGATAATCTCTAGACGATTATTCTGAGTGAAAAAAGCCAAATTCAAATGTTAGACATTCTATGATTCTCTTTATATAAAATCCTCGAAATGACAAAATTATAGAAATGGAGAGCAGATTAGTGGTTGCTTGTGGTTACAAATGCATTGGGCATGCAGTGAGTGGGGGTGGCTATAAAGGGTGCTGTGGAGGTCCTTGTGGTGATGGGGCTATTCTGCATCTTGGCAGTATCAGCGTCAGTGTTCTTGTGACACTGTACTAGAAATTTTGTAAGGTTATGATACTGGGAAAAACTGAGTGAAAGTACACAGGATCCTTCAGCATTACTCCTTATAACTTCCTGTAAATATACAATTATTGCAAAATTTGGAGTTAAAATCATTTCTATTTCTATACACTAGCATTAAAAACTTGGAAAATAAAATATTAAATAAGCCACACTATTTACAATAGCATCCCAAAATGTGACATACTTAGGGATAAATTTAACAAAACATGAGGCTAACCCACTGACAATGACCCATTCAAATTGTTCCTGGCAAAAATATGCAGCACACCTTTGGCAGCCTGTCCAGATCCACAGGTTCAGGCCTACATCTGGATATTGGAGAAAGGGAGCCGCGCTAATATCTCTGCAGTCAGGGTGATGCTGCTGTGGAACCTATTTTCACTAGGCATA
The DNA here is from genome assembly GCF_000001405.40 of Homo sapiens. NCBI lineage: Eukaryota > Metazoa > Chordata > Mammalia > Primates > Hominidae > Homo > Homo sapiens. The sequence goes on along the minus strand of NC_000015.10, from coordinate 23,736,898 downwards.
TACCTCCTAGCTTATTCTTTCCCACCTCATGCATCTCTCTAGGGTCCTCTTCACCTCTAGACTGCTTTTTTCTCTCACTAGGATCTCAAAGGACCTTAGAGCACATTACAGGGCATACATCTCGCTTTCATTTGGACATATTATTCCCCATTGACATTTACCTTCTGAAATCATCATACCCCAGAGCATAATGCCCTGTCCCTTAATTCAATATAAATTTTAAATGTCCTTCTTTGAGCCACAATTGACAGGGAAACAAAGTTAAATAAAACACCCTCGCTGTCCTCCAGGACTTCACACTATTAAGGATGAACTAATTCATTTAAAGAGAACTCAAATTACAATAGACCTGTCTCAGCAAACTTATGTGGAACTTAAGGGAGCCTAGTAACCCGTCTCCCTGGCAACAGTTTCCACTCTACGCATTGCCTAAGGACTGATTTCCTTCCCTCCCTTCCCATCCCCTCCTATTCGTCTATCTTCCTGATCAAATAAATTTCATGCCACACTCAGAATACAAGAAAGAGAGAAAGTGCAGGAAAGAGGGGGAAAAAAGCCTAGATGTGGTGCTAATCACCTGTTGGAAGCTGTGCCTGACTCTGTACATTTCATTTATTCAGAGTCTTAGAGCGACTAGACCAGTCCAGTGCCATTATTTCACTCACCATGGGAAGACACAGGGACTGGGTCTCCATAGAGAGCCTCACTGTGTGCAGGGAGTAGCTTCAATACAGAGGAAGAATATCAGACCCAGAAATCATGACACTGCCCCTGTTCTCCTCTATGTTTAAAAATAATAATAATAATAGGGCCAAATGATTTTAGGGAAGATTTACAAGGAAAAGAATACAAGAATTGGGATACTAAATGGCATTAAAGACTATAAGGGGTTTAAAAAAAGCCCTACCTTCATCAACAAAAACAAAACAATGAAAACAAAGGGAAACAACACAAGAAATATTAGACACATTACTCTCTCCACCCCTCAGGTGTTCCTACTGACTATAACAATAAATTAATACTAAATAATTAAGGGATACAAATAGTTACAGTCCAAATCTCTCTCTTTGAAAAACACATACACACACACGTACAATTATACACTCAGTGAAAAATGTGAATAATTTTAACTTTGCTAATCATTAAACTAAAGCAAAGATTCCAATTCATAATCATCAGATTAAGAAACTTTTTATTCCTTAAATGCAAAATTAAGATGACATTGTGCAAATCTTATGTCTTGTAGCAAAGTGATGCCATAATACACAAGGTTCAGTATTGATTGAGCCAGTACATTTGGAAATCAGACGGCATCATAATCAAATGCCATAAAACATATTTTCAAAAAATATTTCACCCTTTGCCCCACTGAAACAATCCCATGTATCTTATAATGAAATATGACAAAAACTAGAAATATACCAGTGCATATGCAAACGTTCAAAGAAATATCATTTAAAATGACCCCCCAAATTGGATGTGACCCGAATTTCTAATAACAGTGTATAATAATTAATTGAATAATGGTCTTTTCTCCCTTATAGATACTCATATTACCTAGAAAAATAATTACTAGGTCTATCTAGTGGTCTGAAAAGTGCTTGTGAAATTACTGCCAGGTGAAAATCAGAATATAAATTACATATTGCTATCATTTCATCTACTCAAAAAACATTTATTCATATGCAAATAAGGTCTAGCCAGGAACACAATATTATAACATGTATTATGTGTGTGGCATTGAAATTCATTTGATCAGGAAGATAGAAGAGTGGGAGGGAATGGAATGAGAGAAGGAAATCAGTCCTTAGGCAATGAGTAGAGTGGAAACTGTTGCCAGGGAGACGGGTTACCAGGCTTCTGAAATAGCGTAAATGAGAGATGATGAAATTCTAAACCAAGGCAGAGGATGCGGGGATAAAGAAAAAGGAAAAATTGACGTTACTTTGTGTGTGTGTGTGTATATATATAGTCTTTCTGTACAAAAAATTACATATTATTATATATAATTTCTGTACAAAACTACATATATATAACTATATATATAATTTTTGTATAGAAAGACCATATCTGAAAAGAAAAGAAAAATGATTCCTTTTCCTCAGGAACAAAACAACTAAAAAACAAAAACAAAATCAATAAACAACAACCACAAAAAAAAAATCCCAAAATACAGAAAGTAAATGTTACACGGGCCTTCGGACTATTGGAATAATTTGAAATAATAGTATTAGGTACTGTTTACAAATTACTTAATCAGACCCGGGCAATTACCTCTTGTCATATTTTTATGCAGCATATGAGATATTTTTTCATTAGTATCCTCATTTTAAAGAGGAGATGACTGAAGTGGAAGGGGTTAGATACCCTGCCCCCTGTCACACAGGGAGACTGTGGGAGATCATTCTAGAACTCCTACCAGAGAATGGGCCCTAACTTATACCCTGAATTACATTCCCAGTGCCTGGGAAAGAATGATAGGATACACAGACCTGAATTAAATCTGAAAATCAACTTCTCTTTGCTTCTTTTATTCTTTCTTCTTCCCTTCTTCTTTCTTCTCCTTCTTCTTCCTTTCTTTCTTTCTCTTTCCTTCCTCCCTTCCTTCCTTCCATCTTCCCTCTTCTTTCTTCTTTTTCTTCTTTCTTTTTGGCGGGGGGTGGGGGCAGTGGTGTTAAACTCATTTCTAAATATTTTTGGTCTTCTCCATGCTAGTGATTTTGCTATGAGATTATGGTTTGCAGTATTGGTTCCCCTGTGGAAGGTTAATAGTTAACAGGTATATAGGGATTACAATTCATGAATAACCTTTCAAATTAAAGAAGAGAGAGGAGGTTAGGTTCACCTTTTAATTGTTTGTTGGGGATAAATGGGTGGAGTTGACAAGTAATGAGAGATGGTGGTGGGTCTAACAGAATATTCAAAGGTAAATTTATCTCCCCTCTCCAAATAGCAGAAGAAACCACAAGTCCGGGAACCTAACTCTACAGTCTCTCCCTGGGTAGAGACTGGTGTTGGGGAGAGCAGACCAGGAGAATATGCTATAAGACAACTTAGACAGGGTCACAGGAAGCAGGAGCTGTATTGCAGTGTGGAATGTGTGATGAGCAGCTGATGAAAAAAAAAAAAAAAAAAAAAACAGAAAAACAGGCACTGCAGCACATCAAACAGACGTGGCGAAGATGACTATAGGAAAATTCTCCAAAATCCAAAGTTATTGGATTCGCACCATGGGGGTTATAAAAATGTTTTGTTTATTTTCTATATTTTCCAAATTTCATAAAAAGGTATACATTTTACATAAACTATCTGTATAAAAATTAACTGAAACCCAGTAAGCTGCATTGCTCTGTTGAGTGGGCTCTCGGGCGAATCCAGCCAGTAGCACTGCTTCACCTCTCACATGCACTCAGGGTTTCCAGAGGTACTAACCGAGGACTCTGCCCAAGACAATGACTCTGAAGGATGGACTATTGTTCGAGCTGTGCATTACTGGCCTAAATTTATAACTGAGCTGAAAGCATAAGCTAGAGAAGGCTAACTATATGTTAAAAAGTAGAATCAGTCACAAGAAGTTAACTTGATTTATAAATACCATTCTAAACAAAAAATAGCAATACCATTAGCAGATAAAAATTAAGAAAGGAGGCTGGGCACAGTGGCTCACACCTGTAATCCCAGCACTTTAGGAGGCCGAGGCGGGAGGATCACTAAGGCCCAGGAGCTCCTGACCAGCCTGGCCAACACAGTGAAACCCCATCTCTACTGAAAAGACAAACAATTAGCCAGGCGTGGTGGTGCTGGCCTGTAATCCCAGCTACTCTGGAGGCTGAGGCGGGAGGATTGCTTGAACCCAGGAGGCAGAGGTTGTAGTGAGCCGAGATCACGCCACTGCACTCCAGCCTGGGCGACAGAGCAAGACTCCCTCTCAAAAGAAATAAAGAAAAGAAAAGAAAAGGAGAGAGGTTACCCCATATCATATGTGGTTACTATCTATACACTATCAATAAGTAAAACACATGGAAAGCTCAGGGAATATCCCTTTTAAAAGTAATTTAGAAAGAGGCAAGAGACATACATTATGAGTTGACCAACCTCACTGTATGCAGTGTTGACGTGTGGAGAAGTGGGCATCAGTGAGCTGTGGGGATCTCCAGATTGAAGGGATCTCCAGGTTTGTAGAAACATATGTGAAGGCAATCTGGCAATATGTCACAAAAAAATATATAATTATATTGTGTAACACAGCAATTCCTTGTCTAGGACTGTGTACAATAAGTGTTCAGAAATAAGAATGTATATTGTGGGGATAAATACTAGCAAAAATTGGAAAAAATCCTAAATGTCTATCCATAAGAAATGTTTTAAAGAATCTCTGCCTAGTTAACATGATAGATAATTGAGCATTGCTTAAAGTGTCTGAGATATTGACTTGAAAAGATTCAATTTGGAAAGTAGTATAGGCCGGGCACAGTGGCTCACGCCTGTAATCCCAGCACTTTGGGAGGCCGAGGTGGGCAGATCACGAGGTCAGGAGATCTAGACCATCCTGGCTAACACGGTGAAACCCCGTCTCTACTAAAAATACAAAAAATTATCCAGGTGTGGTGGTGGGCACCTGTAGTCCCAGCTACTAGGGAGGCTGAGGCAGGAGAATGGTGTGAACCTGGGAGGCGGAGCTTGCAATGAGCTGAGACCGGGCCACTGCACTCCAGCCTGGGTGACAGAGCGAGACTCCATCTCAAAAAAAAAAAAAAAAAAAGTAGTATAAAAATATAAATATATGATCCGATTATTTTTTCCAAAGTATACACAGGCACAACATTGTTGGAAAAATATATAAACTAAATTGTGGTGATATAAATGGAAATGGAATTACTGGAGTAATTTCTGTTTTTCTACATCTGTGTTCTCTCAATTATTTATATTCTAACAATATATTTTGAATTTATAAGGAAACAATAGTTTTTAAAATAAAGAACATAATAAACATTCTTATAAATGGGCAAAGACATAAACAATATATACCAAAAATATAAATAATAAATATAAGAAAAACAGTTTGAGCTTCCTAATAGTTATGCAAATTCAGAACTGCAGAATGGCATGCCATTTCCACATATCAACTGTCAAAAAATGTTAAAAACATATGTACTGCAAAGATGGTGAGATAACATATCTTTTGCACCTTTACCACTGGGAATTAATTAGGCAAATCCTAGCAAGTACATTAAAAATGCCGTTTTGTTTTTGTTTTTGTTTTTTGTGTTTTTTTTTAAGAAATTCACATTCACATTCAGGAATTGGCATTAAGACAACAATCAGGGCTGGGCGTAGTGGCTCACACCTGTAATCCTAGCACTTTGGGAGGCCGAGGTGGGTGGATTGCCTGAGGTCAGGAGTTTGAGACCGGACTTGGAAACACAGTGAAACCCTGTCTCTACTAAAATATAAAAAAATTAGTTGGGTGTGGTGGCATGTGCCTGTAATCCCAGCTACTTGGGAGGCTGAGGCAGGAGAATCACCTGAACCCGGGAGGCAGAGGGTGCAGTGAGCTGAGATCGTGCCATTGCACTCCAGCCTGGGCAACAGTGTGAGACTCTGTCTGAAAAAAAAAAGAAAAAGAAAAAGAAAACAATTGGACTTTAGACAATAATTTATTTATGGAGATGTTTATCATTGCATCATTTGAAGATCACTTAAAATTTTAAAATGAAAGAAAATTAGTAAACAGTGCTTTGTAAAATAATTAAAAATTATGTTTCTATAGAATTTATGGAGTCAGCAAGGTCTAGCAACCAGAACAGCATCAAGGTTTGGCAAATTAAATGTGGAATAAAGGTGGACAAGGCTTGAGGTGCATAGAACAAGTTAAAATGGGAAGAATCGGCTCCATTTTTGCTACTTTAGAGTGTATAAGGAGGCAGATTCTTTAGTAACATAAACAAATTACTTAAGAACCCCTTGTTCTGTTACCCAGGGAGTTGGTTTGACCTGTGGACTTTCCACCTACATAACCTCTAATCTGGTCATTATTGCTGTTTGTAGAAGCAGAATTTCAGAGGAATAAAGAGAAAAATTCAGCAGTATTTGGAAGCCTCAACTTAGAAAAAGAAGGGTCCAACTACTTCTCGTTGATAGGAAATATTTCAGAACTAGAGTGATATATGTGTGTTTTTGTGAATTTATGTATATATGGTATTTATTCATAAAATATTTTATTCATATGAAAAAGGCAGAACCCAAGCTCACTATCATCAAAATAAAGTTACCTCTGAGTTTGCCATTCTTCATTTGGCTTCAGGGTGACATTAATCCATAGGTGGCTAGTGGCAAGATACATAAAGAGATGGAATACCCTGACTTAACTCTCACATATTGTCTATACAATAAATTGTGCTAAGCAGAACCAAAACTAATGGTAGAGATAATTGGTAAGAAAGCCAGTTTCACTGAGTAAGAAACACTGGTGAGGAGGGGGCAATCACTGAAAGGTGAATGATGCTATTCTTTGGCTTTGAGTTCCAAAATGCACTGTGAGATCTAATGTTCCTAAATGATGCATTCCAGCTGGAAAACAAAACCAAATGTAAGGATAATAGGACAGTTGTCCTTTTCAGAAGCTCTCAAGGATTTTTAAAAATCTGTAATGACAAATCTTTGCTTTGTTAACTGTGTTCGTCATTTTGACTTAAGAAATATTGCGATAGACGGCCGGGTGCAGTGGCTCAAGCCTGTAATCCCAACACTTTGGGAGGCCGAGGCGGACAGATCACGAGGTCAGGAGATCGAGACCATCCTGGCTAACAAGGTGAAACCCCGTCTCTACTAAAAATACAAAAATTATCCAGGCGTGGTGGTGGGCACCTGTAGTCCCAGCTACTCGGGAAGCTGAGGAGGGAGAATGGCGTGAACCCAGGAGGCGGAGCCTACAGTGAGCCGAGATTGTGCCACTGAACTCCAGCCTGGGTGACAGAGCAAGACTCCATCCCCCAAAAAAGAGAAAGAAAGAAAGAAAGAAATATTGCGATAGACACAGAAAAAAAAATAGATTTTTATTTAGGGTTTCAGCTTGAGGATGAGTTAGTGATGAATTAATTGAGAAACAAAACACCCAAGATTTTCAATCCTTCAAACAGCAACATGAAAGGAAACTGCTCAAGGCTAGGGAGCTCCGTCAGAAAAGAATTAGAATTAACAGTGTATGAGCCTAACATAGACTGAGAGTAATGTCTCTTTCCAACAGCCATATTGGAAAACTTCATAATTCGTAAGGCTTTGGGTATAGTAACATCAAAAGGTTTTCCTGAATCTTGGGGAACAATTAGCCTTAGAATGAGCACTGTTCTGGTGTAGCCTAAAAAAAGATATTAACATCTAAGCAGATGAACTAAATCTCAGAACATGTGAATCAAAAATATGAAGTTAAAAAATACACTGGTCCTGAAGAGAGAAAATTCAAAATGGCTGGCACTCAATACCAGGAACACAAAGAAGTAGGAAATGTAGCATCTAATGAAGAAGATAATCAATACATCAAAATTAACCCAGAATGGACACACATATTATTATTCACAAAAAGTAATATTAGAAACGCTATCAGAACTCTATTCTGTATGTTTTAAACTTTCAGTAGAGACATCAAAGTTATTCAAAAATCAAAACCAAACTGTCAGACATGAAAACTACAATGAATGAGATGAAATTACACTAGATGGAATCAAGTGTAATGGAATGACAGATTAAACATTCCATGAAAAAATTAGTGAATTAAAAATCATAGCAATAGGAACTCCAAATCAAACACATAAGAGAAAAACAATTTATGAAGAATTTATGAAGAACCCATTTCCCTCAAATAACTGAAGATGTAATGGTAAAAATTTGTCAAAATTTGATGAAAAATGTAAACTCATAGGTCCAAGAACCCTAATGAACCCAATAACAAGAAATGAAAAAAAAGAACAAACAAAGCATCTCATAATCAAAATATTCAAACTCAGTGATAAAGAGAAAAGTTAAGAGTAGCCAGAGAGAAATAGACACATTCCACACATAGCAACAAAGACAAGAATGGTAGTAGAGAGCTCACTGCAAAAGTGCAAGGGAGAAGACAGCAAAATCGTTAAAATACTCAAAGAGAGAAAAAAACTGTAGACATAGAATTTCATACATATCGAAAACACATTTCATAGAGAAAAGGTGAAATGAAGACTTTTTTCCCACATACAAACGCTGAATGAGGGAAGTGACTTCATGGAAACTGGAGTAGCTCAAGAATTGGCCCCTTTAGTGAAGCAACAATGAGGCTGGCAACACTGAATCAACTTTTTCAGAATTTTGGAAGCTAGTTAAAAATAATAATAATAATAATAATAAAATAAATAAAACAACTTACAGCAATCAGGATTATTTAATGAAGAAAGAGATGGCTAAATTTTGGTTATAAAGCATCATGGACTTTTTGCTTATCAACAGACCATCCCTCATTCACCAGATCTACAGAAGGCATGGAGACAGTGTTCCTAGTGTGGACTGGTGGTGTTGGGGGAAAAAATATGGACCTTGTGGCCAGGCGTGGTGGCTCACGCCTGTAATCCCAACACTCCGGGAGGCCGAGGCGGACGGATCAGGAGGTCAGGAAATCGAGACCATCCTGGCTAACACGGTGAAACCCCGTCTCTACAAAAAAATACAAACAATTAGAAGGGCGTGGTGGCGGGCGTCTGTAGTCCCAGCTACTCGGGAGGCTGAGGCAGGAGAATGGTGTGAACCCGGGAGACGGAGCTTGCAGTGAGCTGAGATCACGCCACTGCATTCCAGCCTGGGCGACAGAGAGAGACACTGTCTCAAAAAAATAAATAAATAAAAATGGACCTTGCGATACATATTTACGAAAAAGATGGCTGTGTGTTTTAACCTGCCAGGCAGTTCCTTGATGGAGCAGTGCAGAAACTGGCATTTGTTTTGCCCACCATGGCCAGAAAGTGATTTTTTAAAAACCTGCAAAAGGATTGAAAATTGCAAATCATACATTGATAAGGATCAAATATACAGAATATATAATGAATGTGTTAGTCTGTGTGGATTGCTACAGCAAAATACCATAAACTGCATAGCTAATAAACAATAGAAATGTGTTTCTCACAGTTCTGGAGACTGAAAAGTCCAGTATGAAGGCATCAGCGGATTTGGCGTCTGGTGAGGACTCACTTTCTGGTTCATAGATGGTGCCTTCTAGCTCCCTCCTCACATGGTGGAAGGAATGAATAGCTCTCATGGACCTCTTTTATAATGGAAGTAATCCCATTCCCTGAGTGTTCTATCCTCATGACCTAATCATCAATCAAAGGCTGTATGTTCTAATACCATCATCTTGGGGATTAGAATTTTGACATATGAATCAAGGTGGGAAAACAAATATTCAGACCATAGTAAGGAACCTTTACAATTCAATGGAAGAAAAAGAGAATTGGTAAGTAATGTGAATAGAAAGTTCTCCAAAGTATCTATATGAATGGCAAATAAGCATACGAAACAATGTTAAAAATATTTCATTTTTAGAGAAATGCAAATCAAAATCACAATGAGATGTCACTTTATACCACTAGGATAGTGACAATTAAAAAAAGGAAAAACATAACCAGTGTTGAAGATGTGGAGAGACTGTAACCCTTGTAAATCAATGGTGGAAATGTGTGGCATTTCCTGCCAAAGTAAAACAGAATGGCCCATGGAATATGATCTAGCAATTCCACTCCTAGGGATGTGGCCTCCAATATTGAGAACAGGCACTAAACTACTTACATGTAAATGAATTCTATATCCCAGAAATTCTATATCCGGGCCATGTGTGGCTCATGCCTGTAATACCAGCACTTTGGGAGGTCGATGAGGGCAGATTGCTAGAGCTCAGGAATTCCAGACCAGCCTGGGCATCATGGTGAAACCCAGTATCTACCAAAAACACAAAAAATCAACTGGGTGTGGTGCTGTGTGCCTGCAGTCCCAGCTACTCAAGAGGAGGTGGGAGGATCACTTGAGCCTCAGTGGTGGAGGTTGCAGTGAGCCACAATCAAACCACTGCACTCCAGCCTGGGTGACAGAGTGAGATCCTGTCTCACAAAAAAGACAAGAAAAGAAGAGAGAAGAAATTCTATATCCTGTACAATTATCCATATAATGAAAGTGAAGTAGAAATAAAGACTTTCTCAGGTGAAGAAAAACTGGGAATTCATCACCAGCAGACCCCCATTGTAAAAAATGTTAAAATAATATTTCAAGGAGAAGGAAATCACTTAGAAACTCAGATCTAGATAAAGAAAGAAAATGTGTTAGAGAAGGGATACATGAAGGTAAAATAAAATTGTCTGTATTTCTTAGCTATCATTGATCTAAAATATAACTTTGTTTAAAGTAATGATAGTAGCAAGGTATTAGGTGATTATATGATTATTTTTCTTTTGTCTGTTGATGTGGTGCATTACATTAATTTACTGATTTTTCAAATATGGAAGGAGTCTTGCACATTTGGAATCAATCCATATTTGGAATCAATCCATATTTGGAATCAATCCCACTAGGTCATGGTGTATAATTCCTTATATATTGCTAGATTCAACTTGCTCGTATTTTGTTGAGATTATCTGCATCTGTATTAGAAGCAAATCATATCTCTGATAAGGGACTTGTACCTAGAATATAGAAAGAACTATTACAACAAAATGACATAAAGATGAATAACCAATTTTTTAAAAGGGCGAAGGATCTTAACACTTCCTCAGAGAAGAAACATAAATGGCTAATACACACATTAAAAAAATGTTCAACATCATTAGTCATTAGGACAGTGCAAATCAAAACCACAATGAGACAACTCTGCACATCCCCTGGGATGGCAACATTCAAAAGGACCCACTAGCATGTGTTGGTAAGGATGCAGAAAAATTGGACAACTTGTATGGTGCTTGTGAGAGTATGAAATTGTGTGCCCTCTTCTAAAAAGATTCTGGCATTTCCTCACCAGATGATAGAGTCACCAGATGATCCTGCGACTTTTCCTCACCATGAGAAAATAAATTTTCACACAAATACTTGCATATGAATACTTACAGCAGAAGTAATCACAAGCCAAAAGGCTTCAGAAATAACCCCAATGTCCAGCAATAAATGAATCGATGGTGATGTATATGTGCAATGGAATATTATTAAGCCATAAAATATAACAAAGTACTGATATATTCCATAATACAGAGGAATCTCAAAAATATTATGATCTGTGAAAGAAGCCAGACAGCAAAGTCCACATATTCTATGATTTAAGGCATGTAAAATAACCAGAATAAGTAAATTCATATAAGTCATTGGGAATGGGATGGAATTGCTTAATAAGAGGTTTTATTTTAGGGTGATGAAAATATTTTAGAACTAGATAGAGGTAGTAGTTTAATAATATTTTGAATTACTAAATGCAGTTGAGTTGTTCATTTTAAAATGGTTAATTTTAGGTTATATGAATTTCAACTCATTTTTTTAAGCTGAAAGAATTAATTACCAGCACACCTACAATTTTTAAAAATGTTAGAGAGAATCTTCTAATGTAGAAGAAAACTCATACCAAATGGAAATATGAAACGACACCAATGATTTTCAATTAGGGGCAATTTTGCCTCCCAAGGTATGTTTAGTAATGTCTGAAATTATTTTTGGCTGTCATGACGGGGGAGGAGGGTGATTTGTTACATGTATCCTGTGTGTAGAGGGCAGGAATAGAGCTAAAAATACCGCAATGAACAGTATAAAATCCCCTATATCAAAAAATAATTATTTATCCCACAGTGTGAATAGCGCCAAGGTTGTGAAAACATGATATATGCAAAGGGAAAAACAGCATGGGAAATGATAAGAATTTTTTTTTCAAAAAATTTAAATGTCTTGAAAATATAATTGATTAGTTAAACTACAGTAAAAACAAATATTGTTAATTATTGTAGAGGGGGGTATAGCATTTATAAAATAAAAAGTAAGAACACAGTGCAATGGTCAGAGGAGAAAAAAGAAAGCATACTATTACTAGGAACTATCCATAGTATACATAAGGTGGTATAATATCATTTTAAGGTAGTCTGTGATAAGGTAAACACGTATATTCTAAACTCTAAAGTAACCACTAAAATAGAGAGTTATATCTAATAAGTAAAGAAAAAAAGAAAATAACGAAAATAATACGTAGGAAGCAGAATTAAAGGGAAGATGGGGACAGACAGCAGACAGGACAAATAGAAAACAAATAGAAAGATGAAATATTCAAACTTTACCATGTCAGTATCACATGAAATATAAGTGGTTTAAATACCACAATTAAGGCCCAAACTGGAATTTCTAGTTTCAGCTCAGAGACTAATGGGAGCTAGGACAGTGGGAAGCCCCTGAGGGCCACAAACATGTGGGGAGTGGGATTGCCTCTGCTTGATGGATTTTCTGTCCCAGAAGTTCCTCTAGGAACTCCATTAGGTCTTGGCCAGGCGCGGTGGCTCACGCCTGTAATCCCAGCACTTTGGGAGGCCAAGGTGGGCGGATCATGATGTCAGGAGATGGAGACCATCCTGGCTAATACGGTGAAACTCCATCTCTACTAAAAACAAAAAAGTAGCCAGGCGTGGTGGAGGGCGCGTAGTCCCAGCTACTCCGGAGGCTGAGGCAGGAGAATGGCGTGAACCCGGGAGGCGGAGCTTGCAGTGAGCCGAGATCGTGCCACTGCACTCCAGCCTGGGTGACAGAGCGAGACGCTGTCTCAAAAAAAAAGAAAAGAAAAGAAGAAAAGAAAAGAAAAAAGAACTCCATTAGGTCTCATAGGGTACACTCCAGAGATTCCAGAAAAAGCTTCATGCTAGGTAAAGGAACAGTAGCCTCTAAATAAACATAAACCTCATGAATCCCCTAAGTAACAAATATAGATAAATCTACAGAGAAAAGGGCAACAAAAACTATAGCCATTGAGCACTCACAGAAAACCCATGGAGCTGGACGGGGGTAACAGCATAAATAAAGCCCTACCACTGGGGGGAGGGCCAGGAAAACACAGGAGGGAGGTTGGGAGTGCTAAGGATCAGCCAGATCAGTTAAGCAACAAAAATAAATAAAAGGGCATCCAATTTTTTTTTTTTTTTTTGAGACAGAGTCTCTCTCTGTTGCCCAGGCTGGAGTACAGTAGAGCAATCTCAGCTCACTGTAACCTCTGCCTCCTGGGTTCAAGCGATTCTCCTGCCTCAGCCTCCTGGGTAGGTGGGACTACAGGTATGGACCAGCACTCCCAGCTAATTTTGGCATTTTTAGTAGAGATGGGGTTTCACCATGTTTGGCCAGGCAGGTCTGAAACTCCTGACTTCAGGTGGTTTCACTTTGTTTGGCCAGGCTGGTCTCGAACTACCCACCTCGAGTGATCTTCCCAACTCGGCCTCCCAAAGTGCTGAGATTACAGGCATGACGCACCATGCCTGGCAGGCATTCAAATATTATAGGAAGAAAATTGTCTCTGTTTGCTGATGACATACTCTTATACATAGAAAACCCTAAAGAGGCTACCAAAAAAACTTTTAGAACTAATAAACAAATCTAGTAAAGTTGCAGGATACGAAATCAATGTGCAAAAATTAGTCTTGTTTCTGCACACTAACAATGAATGATCCAGGAGGAAAAATTAAGAAAACAATCCCATTTACAACAGCATCAAAAAATCATACTTAGGAGTAAATTCAACCAGAATGTGACAGATTTGCATACAGTAAACTATAAAACATTAATAAAAGACATTGAAGACAACACGAATAAATGAAAAGACCCCTTGTGTTCATGAATTGGAAGAATTAATGTTGCTAAAATATCAGGACACTATCCATAGCAATCTAGAGATTTAGAGCAATTGCTGTCAAAATTCCAATGTCATTTTTCACTGAAATAGACAAAACAATCCCCAAATTCATAGGGAACCACAAAAGACCTTGAGCAGCCAGAGTAATCTTGAGCAGCATGAACAAAGCTGGAGGCATCACATTACCTGATTTCAAAATATATTACAAATCTGTAGTAATCGAAAGGGCATGGCATAGAAACAGACACATCAACCAAAGGAACAAGATAGCCTAGAAGGCCGGGCGTGGTGGCTCACGCCTGTAATCCCATCACTTTGGTAGGCAGAGGCAGGCAGATCACAAGGTCAGGAGATTAGGACAATCCTGGCTAACACAGTGAAACCCCGTCTCTACTAAAACTACAAAAAAAAAAAAAAAAAAAGCCTAGAAATAAACACATGCATCCATGGTCAATTGATTTTTGAAAAAGTTTCTAACACCACACACGGGAAAAGAGTCTGTTCAATAAAGCGTGTTGAGAAAACCAGGTAGCTATATGCAGAAAACAAAATTGGACTCGTTTCTCACCCTTTTACAAAAAAAAAAATCGAAATGGATTAAACACTTAAACATGAGACCTGAATATGTAAAGCTACTAGAAGAAAACATAGAGGAAAACCTCCATGACGTGGGTCTGGGAAAGGGTTTCTTGGACATGACCCCAAAAGCACAGGCAAGCAAAAATATGCAAATGGGATTGCATCACATTAAAAAGCTTCTGCACAGCAAAGGAAAAATTTAACAGAGTGAAGAGACAACCACTGGATTGGAAGAAAACACAGGTGCTCCTCAACTTATCATGGAGTTACATTTGGATAAACCTGTCATAAATTGAAAATGAAAATTGGAAATGTTGTAAGAAATGCATTTAATACAACTGACCTACCTTAAACATGCTCAGAACACCTATATTAATCTGAGCAAAATCATCTGGCAACACAGTCCACTGTGGAGCATTTTTTTTTTAATCCTCATGATCATGTGATAAATGAGAGCAGCATCTCATTGCTACTGCCCAGCATAGTGAGAGTATTGTACCACATATTGCTAGCATGGGGAAAGATTGAAAGTTAAAATTCAGGCCGGGCGCAGTGGCTCATGCCTGTAATCCCAGCCCTTTGGGAGGCCGAGGTGGGCGGATCACAAGGTCAGGAGATCGAGACCATCCTGGCTAACATGGTGAAACCCCGTCTCTACTAAATATACAAAAAATTAGCCGGGCATGGTGGCAGGCGCCTGTAGTCCCAGCTACTCAGGAGGCTGAGGCAGGAGAATGGCGTGAACCCAGGAGGCTGAGGTTGCAGTGAACCGAGATCGCGCCACTGCACTCCAGCCTGGGAGACAGAGCAAGACTCCATCTCAAAAAAAAAAAAAAAAGTTAAAATTCAAAGTAAGATTTCTACAGAGTGTGTATTGCTTTCACATCACTGTAAAGTTGAAAAATCTGGACCATCACAAGACAGGACTGTCTGTATTTGCAAACCATACATTAATAAGGGGTTGATATCCAAAATATACAAGGAACATAACTCAGTAGCAAGAAAACAAGTAGCTCAATTAAAAAATGAGCAAATGATCTGAATAGACGTTTCTCAAAAGAAGATAAATGGCCGACAAACATAGGAAGAAATGCTCAATATCAGCAATCATCAGGAAAATGCAAATTTAAGCCACAATGACATATCGCCACATATGTTAGAATGTTTTTCATAGAAAAGCCAAGTGATAACAAGTGTTGGCGAAAATGTGGAGAAAAGGGAACCCTTGTACACTGTCAGTGGGAATGTAAATTAGTGCAGACATACGGAAAACAGTATGGACATTCTACAAAAAGTTAAAAATAGAACTACCATATCATGCAGCAATGCTACTACCGAGTATATATCCAAAGAAAATGAAATCAATAGGTTTAAGCGGTATCTGCACTGCCATGTATCAACTTAACTATCCATCAACAGATGAATGCATAAAGAAAATGTGGTATATATACACAATGAAATATTATTTATCCTTTCAAATGAAGGAAATTCTGTCATTAGCAACAACATGGATGAACCTAGAGAAGAGAACATAAAATAAGTGAAATATGCCAAACACAGAAAGACAAATACTATATTATCTCACTTATACAAGAAATCTTAAAAAGTTGAACTCATAGGATCGCTTGAAACTGGGAGGCAGAGCTTGCTGTGAGCTGAGATCGCGCCACTGCACTCCAGCCTGGGCAACAGAGCGAGAGTCCATCTCAAAAACAACAACAAAAAAAAAAACAAAAAGAAAACAGAGGGGTCAATTTCTATGTTTATCCAAAAAACAATCTATAGGAGTATTGGATTGGCTTCAAGTCTTCCCTTAACCAGACTAACAAGCATTAAGTAAAAGTAGTAGAGCAATAGAGCTGAGAGAACTGCAAGAGACAAATTCTTACAAGGGAACAGTGCAAATGGAATACTCAATGCTGAGGAGGAAAATGCAAAACAAAGTAGGGAGTAGACATTGAGTAAAACCTTATGATAAATAAGCCTGTATTCTAAACACAAGGTATCACAAGAGAAATAGGGATTCTTCACTGTATTCTATACAGTGAGGGTATAGCAAGAACATAGGCATGGTCTGTACAGAGGATCAAAGATAAGAATTATAGTAGATTTCTTGTCATAAACTACACAGGAAAGAAGACAATGGAGTGCTATCTTTAAATGCTGAAAGTAAATATACTGTCAATCCAGGATTCTTTTATTCCATTATTTTACATAGTAAGAAAATGCTTCAAAAATGAAGGTTAGAAAAGACATTCTCAAAACAAAAGCTGAAGAAATTGATTAACAGAAGACCCACTATATAAGAAATAAGAAACATTCAATGGAGTTCTTTTTATTTATTTATATTTTTTTATTTTTTTATTATTATACTTTAAGTTTTAGGGTACATGTGCACAATGTGCAGGTTTGTTACATATGTATACATGTGCCATGCTGGTGCGCTGCACCCACTAACTCGTCATCTAGCATTAGGAATATCTCCCAGTGCTATCCCTCCCCCCTCCCCCCACCCCACAACAGGCCCCAGAGTGTGATATTCCCCTTCCTGTGTCCATGTGTTCTCATTGTCCAATTCCCACCTATCAGTGAGAATATGTGGTGCTTGATTTTTTGTTCTCGCGATAGTTTACTGAGAATGATGATTTCCAATTTCATCCATGTCCCTACAAAGGACATGAACTCATCATTTTTTATGGCTGCATAGTATTCCATGGTGTATATGTGCCACATTTTCTTAATCCAGTCTATCATTGTTGGACATTTGGGTTGGTTCCAAGTCTTTGCTATTGTGAATAATGCTGCAATAGACATACGTGTGCATGTGTCTTTATAGCAGCATGATTTATAGTCCTTTGGGTATATACCTAGTAATGGAATGGCTGGGTCAAATGGTGTTTCTAGTTCTAGATCCCTGAGGAATCGCCACACTGACTTCCACAATGGTTGAACTAGTTTACAGTCCCACCAACAGTGTAAAAGTGTTCCTATTTCTCCACATCCTCTCCAGCACCTGTTGTTTCCTGACTTTTTAATGATTGCCATTCTAACTGGTATGAGATGGTATCTCATTGTGGTTTTGATTTGCATTTCTCTGATGGCCAGTGATGGTGAGCATTTTTTCATGTGTTTTTTGGCTGCATAAATGTCTTCTTTTGAGAAGTGTCTGTTCATGTCTTTTGCCCACTTTTTGATGGGGTTGTTTGTTTTTTTCTTGTAATGAGTTCATTGTAGATTCCGGATATTAGCCCTTTGTCAGATGAGTAGGTTGTGAAAATTTTCTCCCATTTTGTAGGTTGCCTGTTCACTCTGATGGTAGTTTCTTTTGCTGTGCAGAAGCTCTTTAGTTTAATTAGATCCCATTTGTCAATTTTGGCTTTTGTTGCCATTGCTTTTGGTGTTTTAGACATGAAGTCCTTGCCCATGCCTATGTCCTGAATGGTAGAGCCTAGGTTTTCTTCTAGGGTTTTTATGGTTTTAGGTCTAACATTTAAGTCTTTAATCCATCTTGAATTGATTTTTGTATAAGGTGTAAGGAAGGGATCCAGTTTCAGCTTTCTACATATGGCTAGCCAGTTTTCCCAGCACCATTTATTAAATAGGGAATCCTTTCCCCATTGCTTGTTTTTCTCAGGTTTGTCAAAGATCAGATAGTTGTAGATATGCAACGTTATTTCCGAGGGCTCTGTTCTGTTCCATTGATCTATATCTCTGTTTTGGTACCAGTACCATGCTGTTTTGGTTACTGTAGCCTTGTAGTATAGTTTGAAGTCAGGTAGTGTGATGCCTCCAGCTTTGTTCTTTTGGCTTAGGATTGACTTGGCAATGCGGGCTCTTTTTTGATTCCACATGAACTTTAAAGTAGTTTTTTCCAATTCTGTGAAGAAAGTCATTGGTAGCTTGATGGGGATGGCATTGAATCTGTAAATTACCTTGGGCAGTATGGCCATTTTCACGATATTGATTCTTCCTACCCATGAGCATGGAATGATCTTCCATTTGTTTGTATCCTCTTCTATTTCCTTGAGCAGTAGTTTGTAGTTCTCCTTGAAGAGGTCTTTCACATCCCTTGTAAGTTGGATTCCTAGATATTTTATTCTCTTTGAAGCAATTGTGAATGGGAGTTCACTCATGATTTGGCTCTCTGTTTGTCTGTTGTTGGTGTATAAGAATGCTTGTGATTTTTGTACATTGATTTTGTATCCTGAGACTTTGCTGAAGTTGCTTATCAGCTTAAGGAGATTTTGGGCTGAGACAATGGGGTTTTCTAGATATACAATCATGTCATCTGCAAATAGGGACAATTTGACTTCCTCTTTTCCTAATTGAATACCCTTTATTTCCTTCTCCTGCCTAATTGCCCTGGCCAGAACTTCCAACACTATGTTGAATAGGAGTGGTGAGAGAGGGCATCCCTGTCTTATGCCAGTTTTCAAAGGGAATGCTTCCAGTTTTTGCCCATTCAGTATGATATTGGCCGTGGGTTTGTCATAGATAGCTCTTATTATTTTGAAATACGTCCCATCAATACCTAATTTATTGAGAGTTTTTAGCATGAAGGGTTGTTGAATTTTGTCAAAGGCCTTTTCTGCTTCTATTGAGATAATCATGTGGTTTTTGTCTTTGGTTCTGTTTATATGCTGGATTACATTTATTGATTTGCGTATATTGAACCAGCCTTGCATCCCAGGGATGAAGCCCACTTGATCATGGTGGATAAGCTTTTTGATGTGCTGCTGGATTCGGTTTGCCAGTATTTTATTGAGGATTTTTGCATCAGTGTTCGTCAAGGATATTGGTCTAAAATTCTCTTTTTTGGTTGTGTCTCTGCCCAGCTTTGGTATCAGGATGATGCTGGCCTCATAAAATGAGTTAGGGAGGATTCCCTCTTTTTCTATTGATTGGAATAGTTTCAGAAGGAATGGTACCAGTTCCTCCTTGTACCTCTGGTAGAATTCGGCTGTGAATCTATCTGGTCCTGGACTCTTTTTGGTTGGTAAGCTATTGATTATTGCCACAATTTCAGATCCTGTTATTGGTCTATTCAGAGATTCAACTTCTTCCTGGTTTAGTCTTGGGAGAGTGTATGTGTCGAGGAATTTATCCATTTCTTCTAGATTTTCTAGTTTATTTGCGTAGAGGTGTTTGTAGTATTCTCTGATGGTAGTTTGTATTTCTGTGGGATCGGTGGTGATATCTCCTTTATCATTTTTTATTGCATCTATTTGATTCTTCTCTCTTTTTTTCTTTATTAGTCTTGCTAGTGGTTTATCAATTTTGTTGATCCTTTCAAAAAACCAGCTCCTGGATTCATTAATTTTTTGAAGGGTTTTTTGTGTCTTTATTTCCTTCAGTTCTGCTCTGATTTTAGTTATTTCTTGCCTTCTGATAGCTTTTGAATGTGTTTGCTCTTGCTTTTCTAGTTCTTTTAATTGTGATGTTAGGGTGTCAATTTTGGATCTTTCCTGCTTTCTCTTGTGGGCATTTAGTCCTATAAATTTCCCTGTACACACTGCTTTGAATGCATCCCAGAGATTCTGGCATGTTGTGTCTTTGTTCTCATTGGTTTCAAAGAACATCTTTATTTCTGCCTTCATTTCATTATGTACCCAGTAGTCATTCAGCAGCAGGTTGTTCAGTTTCCTTGTAGTTGAGCGGTTTTGAGTGAGATTCTTAATCCTGAGTTCTAGTTTGATTGTACTGTGGTCTGAGAGATAGTTTGTTATAATTTCTGTTCTTTTACATTTGCTGAGGAGAGCTTTACTTCCAACTATGTGGTCAATTTTGGAATAGGTGTGGTGTGGTGCTGAAAAAAATGTATATTCTGTTGATTTGGGGTGGAGAGTTCTGTAGATGTCTATTAGGTCCGCTTGGTGCAGAGCTGAGTTCAATTCCTGGGTATCCTTGTTGACTTTCTGTCTTGTTGATCTGTCTAATGTTGACAGTGGGGTGTTAAAGTCTCCCATTATTAATGTGTGGGAGTCTAAGTCTCTTTGTAGGTCACTCAGGACTTGCTTTATGAATCTGGGTGCTCCTATATTGGGTGCATATATATTTAGGATAGTTAGCTCTTCTTGTTGAATTGATCCCTTCACCATTATGTAGTGGCCTTCTTTGTCTCTTTTGATCTTTGTTGGTTTAAAGCCTGTTTTATCAGAGACTAGGATTGCAACCCCTGCCTTTTTTTGTTTTCCATTTGCTTGGTAGATCTTCCTCCATCCTTTTATTTTGAGCCTATGTGTGTCTCTGCATGTGAGATGGGTTTCCTGAATACAGCACACTGATGGGTCTTGACTCTTTATCCAATTTGCCAGTCTGTGTCTTTTAATTGGAGCATTTAGTCCATTTACATTTAAAGTTAATATTGTTATGTGTGAATTTGATCCTGTCATTATGATGTTAGCTGGTTATTTTGCTCATTAGTTGATGCAGTTTCTTCCTAGTCTTGATGGTCTTTACATTTTGGCATGATTTTGCAGTGGCTGGTACTGGTTGTTCCTTTCCATGTTTAGCGCTTCCTTCAGGAGCTCTTTTAGGGCAGGCCTGGTGGTGACAAAATCTCTCAGCATTTACTTGTCTGTAAAGTATTTTATTTCTCCTTCACTTATGAAGCTTAGTTTGGCTGGATATGAAATTCTGGGTTGAAAATTCTTTTCTTTAAGAATGTTGAATATTGGCCCCCACCCTCTTCTGGCTTGTAGAGTTTCTGCCGAGAGATCCGCTGTTAGTCTGATGGGCTTCCCTTTGTGGGTAACCCGACCTTTCTCTCCTCTGGCTGCCCTTAATATTTTTTCCTCATTTCAACCTTGGTGAATCTGACAATTATGTGTCTTGGAGTTGCTCTTCTCGAGGAGTATCTTTGTGGCGTTCTCTGTATTTCCTGAATCTGAATGTTGGCCTGCCTTGCTAGATTGGGGACGTTCTCCTAGATAATATCCTGCAGAGTGTTTTCCAACTTGGTTCCATTCTCCCCGTCACTTTCAGGTACACCAATCAGACGTAGATTCGGTCTTTTCACATAGTCCCATATTTCTTGGAGGATTTGCTCATTTCTTTTTATTCTTTTTTCTCTAAACTTCCCTTCTCGCTTCATTTCATTCATTTCATCTTCCATCGCTGATACCCTTTCTTCCAGTTGATCACATCGGCTCCTGAGGCTTCTGCATTCTTCACGTAGTTCTTGAGCCTTGGTTTTCAGCTCCATCAGCTCCTTTAAGCATTTCTCTGTATTGGTTATTCTAGTTATACATTCTTCTAAATTTTTTTCAAAGATTTTAACTTCTTTGCCTTTGGTTTGAATGTCCTCCTGTAGCTCGGAGTAATTTGATCGTCTGAAGCCTTCTTCTCTCAGCTCGTCAAAGTCATTCTCCGTCCAGCTTTGTTCTGTTGCTGGTGAGGAACTGCATTCCTCTGAAGGAGGAGAGGTGCCCTGCTTTTTAGAGTTTCCAGTTTTTCTGCTCTGTTTTTTCCCCATCTTTGTGGTTTTATCTACTTTTGGTCTTTGATGATGGTGATGTACAGATGGGTTTTTGATGTGGATGTCCTTTCTGTTTGTTAGTTTTCCTTCTAACAGACAGGACCCTCAGCTGCAGGTCTGTTGGAGTACCCTGCCATGTGAGGTGTCAGTGTGCCCCTGCTGGGGGGTGCTTCCCAGTTAGGCTGCTCGGGGGTCAGGGGTCAGGGACCCACTTGAGGAGGCAGTCTGCCCGTTCTCAGATCTCCAGCTGCGTACTGGGAGAACCACTGCTCTCTTCAAAGCTGTCAGACAGGGACATTTAAGTCTGCAGAGGTTACTGCTGTCTTTTTGTTTGTCTGTGCCCTGCCCCCAGAGGTGGAGCCTACAGAGGCAGGCAGGCCTCCTTGAGCTGTGGTGGGCTCCACCCAGTTCCAGCTTCCCTGCTGCTTTGTTTACCTAAGCAAGCCTGGGCAATGGAGGGCGCCCCTCCCCCAGCCTCGCTGCCGCTTTGCTGTTTGATCTCAGAAGGCTGTGCTAGCAATCAGCGAGACTCCATGGGTGTAGGACCCTCCGATTCAGGTGCGGGATATGATCTCCTGGTGCGCCGTTTTTTAAGCCCGTCGGAAAAGCTCAGTATTCGGGTGGGAGTGACCCGATTTTCCAGGTGCCGTCTGTCACCCCTTTCTTTGACTAGGAAAGGGAACTCCCTGACCCCTTGCGCTTCCCTAGTGAGGCAATGCCTCGCCCTGCTTCCGCTCGCCCACGGTGCGCGCACCCACCGACCTGCGCCCACTGTCTGGCACTCCCTAATGAGATGAACCCCGTACCTCAGATGGAAATGCAGAAATCACCCGTCTTCTGCGTCGCTCACACTGGGAGCTGTAGACCGGAGCTGTTTCTATTCGGCCATCTTGGCTCCTCCTCAATGGAGTTCTTAACACTGAAGGAACATGATCAATGTCAAACATTTGAATGTAGGCAAATAGGTAAGAGTTTTGGAAACAGAATAAATACAGGTAAATGAAACCTTTTTTTCTTATTTTTATATTCTGACACATAACCTGCATTTTAAAGCAAAAATAGTAACCATGTTTTATCTGTTCATAGCATATATATATAAATAATTTTATATATAAAAATATTCATAGCATATATATAGCATATATATAATTTATAGCATATATATAATTCATAGCATATATATAATTTGGAAACAATATATAATTATATATAAACTATATATATAATTTGGAAACAATTATATATATATAATTTATAATAATTCATAGCATATATATAATTTGGAAACAGAATATATATAATTATATATATAAACAATATATATGTAATTCATAGCATATATATAGTTCATAGCATATATAAATAATTTTATATATAAAATTATACATATATTATCAAAAATTATATATATTTGTAAACATATGACAATAATAGCACAAAGTCAATCCAAAGTGATACTGGGAGGGAGAGATTGGAAATTTACTGTCATGAAGTCTTTATATGACATGTGAAGAGGTATAATATTATTTAAAAGTACACTCAGATTACATTTAAATGTATACTGTAAACCCCAGGACAACTAGTTTTGTTTCTTTTAATGGAAGTCAACTTCTGGTTTACAAGTGACACTGAAGTCATCATTCCTATTCTTACAAAAAGAGGAAAACTTACAATCAATAACTTTTCTTAGACCCATCAGAGATGTGAGGTCGCAGGAGAAAGTGCCACCTGAAATCTGAAGAGACTGGTGAACACAGAGACACAGCTGAGCTCTCACACCTGGAGCAGAAGCCACTGGAGCCGTAATCTGGTAGGAATTCTTAAACGGTAATTTTAGTGAATTTCTGGACAGTGAATTTGGACTAGCATAGAGTAAAAAGCTCCTGGAGGTCAGAGTCTTGAGGGGCCCTCCCCGACCTTTGTGGGTTTACCTCTACCTCTATGAACCTCATTGTTACCTGGTGTAATGGCTACATGACATAACTGAATTTCTACCCCACCCAAATGCTGCTTAAAAAGAATACCTGTTGGATACTATGCTTATTACCTGGGTAACTAAATAATATGTACACCAAACCCCCACAACATGCAGTTTACCTACATAGTAATCTGGCATATGTGCCCCTAAACCTAAAATTAGAGTTATAAAAAGAAGAAGACACATGCAGTACAAAGTTCTCTCTGTAACTACACCAGCCAAAACTGGCTGGAACCTAGATAGCTGACTGAATGGCTTCAAAAAGTTCTCAGGTTTCATTATAATTTCATTTCTGTGTTAAATGACACTTCCACCAGCACCATGACAGTTGACCATCGCCATAAAAACAACTGCAAGAAGCCACAGAAGGCCAAAAAAGAAGGCTTCACTCTGGTTCCAAGTTCACTGCCCATTTCTGGAAAAGACATAACTATTTATCCTATCACTTTTAATGTCCAGTCCCTTTGTTTATATTGACGCCCTATATTTTAACCTCCTCACCCCCGACTAGTAGAGAAGCTGATTTGTGACAAACATCCCTGCTTCTTCATTTCCTGGCCATGAATAGCTCTGCTTGATGCTCACTTTCGGTTGCTTATTGGCTCTGTGACACCAAATGGGGACAGAGCCCATCTTTTCAGGCTACCAACTTTATTGGTTAAAAAATGGCAACTGGCTGGGCACGGTGGCTCACGCCTGTAATCCCAGCACTTTGGGAGGCTGAGGTGGGCAGATCACGAAGTCAGGAGATGGAGACCATCCTGGCTAACATGGTGAAACCCCGTCTCTACTAAAAATACAAAAAATTAGCTGGGCACAGTGGCGGGCGCCTGTAGTCCCAGCTACTCGGGAGGCTGAGGCAGGAGAATGGCATGAACATGGGAGGTGGAGCTTGCAGTGACCCGAGATCGCGCCACTGCACTCCAGCCTGGGCAATGAGCGAGACTCCGTCTCAAAAAAAAAAAAAAAGAAAAGAAAAAAGAAAAAGGCAACTGTGACAGGACTGTGGAATAGATAGTTCACTTCCCTGTTTGGGAAGCCTCCTTACCTCCTCAGAGACTGGGAAACTGGTGCCCAACAACACTGGCCAGCAAAGGATATGCATGCCCATTTTCTTTCCAGCTTGAGTTTCTCCCCTTTTGGGAAATGCCCCTTCCACCACTCCTCCTTGCCTTTGGTCAGTGGCAGCCACTGCCCTCCATTTAAAAGAGACAGAGAAGTTAACCTTTGGGCAATCCCTAACCATCTGGACTCCCCATTACCCAGACCCTCATAAAGGAAAGGGGGGCAGAATGACTGTCCCCAGGCAGGGCTCTCCAGTAACACATAATGCTTATTGAAAACCCTCACATAACTTTTTTCTTTTTTGAGAGGGAGTCTCACAGTGTCACCCAGGCTGGAGTGTAGTGGCGCCATCTTGGCTCACTGCAGCCTCCACCTTTCAGGTTCGAGCGATGCTCCTGCCTCAGCCACCTGAGTAGCCAGGACTACAGGCACACACCCCAACACCTGTCTAATTTTTTGTATTTTTAGTAGATACAGTGTTTCGCCATGTTGGCCAGGCTGGTCTCGAACTCCTGACTTCAAGTGATCTGCCTGCCTTGGCCTCCCAAAGTGCTGGGATTACAGGTGTGAGCCACCGCACCTGGCCGACCCACATAACATTGAAGGTGTGTAACATCTTGAAGCCAGACATCCTCTTTCCATATGAAGACAGTCACTTATCTCTTGACTGCTTAGGGGTGATGGAGGAAGTGTACCCTAGTGGACCAGACCATAAAAGTGAACCTGTTAAAAATTCTAAAGCCAAGATCTTCACTGATGGGCACAGCTATATGCTGGAGGGACAGTGGAGGGCAGGATAAGCTATGGTCCTTCTCAGTGGGGTTGCAGAAGCTGGTGCTCATCCACCAAGATGCTATTTGCATCTGTAATAAACAAGCCCAGGTGGCAGTAATCCATTGCTACAGCCACCAGAAGGGTGTTGTTGAGGTAGTTAAAGAAAATAATAAAGCTGATCTCCTGTCAAATCATGTGGCTTTAGGGAAGATCACTTTTCAAATGCCACTTTTTCCTTCCCCCCCATGCCAATCCTACTTTTTTACCCCACTTTACTCTCGAAAGGAATGGGAAACCGCCTCCAAATGGGGATATACCAAAAGTCTTACCATCCGGGAGGGTTAATCAACCCTCATGGACAACTTTTCCCAGAAGCAGTTGCATTGCAGGCTGTTAAAAAGCCCATACAAATGCTCACTTTTGTCAGGAGGCCCTGTGTAACTGGCTTTTCCAGAGCATGACTGTCCCAAACTTCAGGGAGCTAATCAAAGAGGCGGTTGAGACTTGCTCCACCTGCTATGTTAATAACCCTAACATCCACCCCACAGGGGAGTGCAGAGGGGGCCATTCAGCTGGTCCAGTACCAAAGTAGATAACCAGGGAAAGATTGACAAATTGATTCCGCAGTTATGTCCAGAGCCTTGGTACCTCCTGGTCCTCACTGATAGCTTTTCTGGATGGGTAGAATTTTTGCCACCCTCACTGAGATGGCACGTGAGGTAGCAAAGGTGCTGTTAAAGGAAATTGTTCCCAGATTCAGGTTGCCTCAGTCAATCCAAAGTGATACCAGACCAGCATTCATATTTTCCATTACTGAGGGTACTTCTTGGGACCTAGAAATAAAACGGTGCTCACATGTCCCCTGGAGACCACAGTCTTCCAGTACAGTGGGCTAGCCAGACCCTTGAAAGAACCTTAGTTAAATTACGCCAGAAAACTCATCTCCCATGGATTTCATTACTCTCCATGGCACTGTTAAGAATAAGAATAGCTCCAAAAGGAAAGATCAAACTGGGTCCCAGTCTGGCTAGGTGACCAGGAGGTCCTCAGAGCTGTGGGGAAAAAATATGGTATGCCACCCAAATTGGAGGAGTAATGAAGGCCCTTCAGGCCTATGGAAATCAATCATTACTTTCGCCATCTGACATAACCCTCCATCCTTTCCAACTCAGGGATTGGGTTTACTTAAAAACCTAGAGAGAAGGGGAACCGCAGTCATTTAGAACCTAAATGGAAGGGCCCATATCTTGTGGTTCTCACAAAAAAATTCTGCCTTAAAATTACAGGGAGTTTGCCGGGCACAGTGGCTCATGCCTGTAATCCTAGCACTTTGGGAAGCCGAGGCAGGCAGATCGCTTGAGCTCAAGAGTTCAAGACCAGCCTGGGTAATATGGTGAAACCCCCATCTCTACTAAAAATACAAAAAAATTAGCCAGGCATGGTGGCGCACGCCTGTAGTCCTAGCTACTTGGAGGGCTGAGGTGGGAGGATCCATTGAGCATAGGAGGCGGAGGTTGAAGTGAGCCGATATCACACCACTGCACTCCAGCCTGGGCAACAAAACGAGACTCTAGTTCAAAAAAGAAAAAAAAAATACAGGGAGTGACGCCTTGGATACACCACATCTGGGTCAAGGCAGCCATGGAACCTAAGGAAAAAAGCCGCATGTACCCAGCTAAACCACTCTCAGATCTAAAATTCCTGTTGAAAAAGACAGACTTATCCCCAGCCAGATGAGCAACCTTAGGCCTACATGCATTTCCTGCCAGGACTTAGTCTATTAGCCTTGCTTATAGGTATTCTCATCTTACTCCATCAAGAACCTACCCCTTATTTAGGGATTTGCCTCCTCCTATCAGTCACTACCATATTCACCTTAAACCTCATCTGTGCACACCTGGGAACTACAGCGCAGTGGTGCATTTATCAACATGCCCTGTTCTTCCTATTGCTATGGGTTGAGATATGGGGAGAGTTATCAGAATAATGGAGTGAAAATAACCTTGTTAAAATTATAGCTATTATAGCTAAAGGTTCATTAACTGCTGGATTTTCCATCTACACCCCTAAGCCCAATCTCCTTGGCCCATAGCTTGATCAACAGCCTGACCAATAACTGTGATCAATCATCTAACTTTAATCCATCTTGCCTGGACCCACCTGAAGTCCCATTAGTGATCTTCCTGGAACAAGACTTTTTATTATCTTGGCCTTGTGTAAACCTCACTGGCAATGGAATCTGGGTCAGTCTCCCTTTAACCTGTCAAAAGGATGGCTATATTAAAGTAATCTATGATCAGGCCAAGTGTTTATACCAATTTAACCCTTCCAGGGCCCTGTAGCTTCTACCCTTGATTTCTTGGCCCTGTCTCCTAAATTTCTGGTCTTGTTTGTGTCTAAGCAAACTGAGGTCGTACAACTACAAATGACAGTTACTCAGGGATATAAACATCTGGGCTTGCACCCAGGAGATAACCAGTCCTAGCTAAGACCAGCTAGGGAAAAAATTCACCCTTCTAATGGGCCCTATATCAACACCCAAATTCAGCTTGAAGAAGCTATAGAAGACAGACCTTGGCCTGTCAGCACCCTTCAAGAATGAGGAGTGAATATAAAGATAGGGGAGATTTGTTACCCAGTGTAATGCCTACATGACAGCTGGATTTCTACCCCACTCTGACTGCTTATCTTTAAGAAATAGGATGTCTACCTTAAAAAGTTCCCTTTGTAACCAGACCAGCTGAGACTGTCTAAAACCAAGATAGCTGACCGAATGACTTCAAAAAGACCTCAGGCTTCATTATAATCTCATTCCCATGCTAAATAACAATTCTCAACAGTGCCATAACCATTGACAACCACCATGAAAACAACTGGAAGAAGCCATAAAAGGAGAGAAAGGAAAGCAGCACTCCAGTTCTGAGAAGATCACTGCCCATTTCTGGAAAAGGCACTTTTAAGGCTGAACCCCTTCATTATAGAAACCCTATATTTTAACCCCCTCTTCCCTACTAGCAGATAAGTTGATTTATGAGCCACACTCCCACTTCTCCATTGTTTGGCCATCAAATAAAGCTTACTCTGCTTGACACTCACTTTCAGTGAGTGTACTGGCTCAGTGTCACCCAACAAGAAAATATTCTATCTTTTAGGGTTACTGAGTTTACTGGTAACATAAGAGTCTCATGGCAAAAAGCCAAGAAAATGTCCCTCATAGCTCCAGCAGATGGAAAGGAAAAGTAACTCTTTCCTGAGTTACTGAGAAATAACTGAGAATTGTATATTAAAGATTCAAATGGAAAAAGTAGTCAACTTGCAAGAGCAAATGCATAATGTGAGCAGAAATATGGAAACTATAATATACATGTAAAAAATGCTAGCAATCAAAGCACTGTAATGGAACTGAAGTGTGCCTGTGATGGAATCATCTGTAGATGGAACATGGTTGAAGAAAGAATTGCTGATCTTGAAGGCATGTCAACAGAAGCTACTCAAACTAAAATGCAAAAAGAACAATGGGAAAAACACAATAGAACATTTGAGAATTGGTGGACAAAGTTAAAATCTG
Source organism: Homo sapiens (assembly GCF_000001405.40). NCBI lineage: Eukaryota > Metazoa > Chordata > Mammalia > Primates > Hominidae > Homo > Homo sapiens. Next base: position 23,707,587 of record NC_000015.10, on the reverse strand, counting down.
TCATATACACATAGTTGGAATACAAGAAAACAAAGAGACAATGGAGCAGAAGAAATATTTGAAATAATAGTTATCAAGAGTTTACAAAATTAATGACAAACACCAAACCATGGATATTAGAATAAATACTAAAAAATTCACATTTAGGCATACCATATTAAAATTGAGAGAACCAAAGACAGAGAATATTCTGAAAGAAGAAAGAGAGGAAAAAGCATGCTAGCTATAGAGGAACACGGATCAGAATTACACTGGACTTTTCATCAGAAATCACGCAAGCAAGTACAAGAAGAGAGTAGAATGAAACATGTAAGATAGTGAATGAAGCTGGGTGGGGTGGCTCACACCTGTAATCCTAGTACTTTGGGAGGCAGACCAAACCTCGAGCTCTTCATCTCTAGAGTCTCAGAAGCAAAGAATGGGTATACAACTGAAAAAGTATCTGAAAAGTTCATGTCATTACCCTTTCTAAATTTGGAAAAATACACAAGTATATGAGTTCACGATGCTAAGAAAACCTCCAGAAGGAAAAATTCAAAGAAATCCATACCCAGTTACATCACAATCCATTTATTTGAAAACTAAAGGGCTGGGCATGGTGGCTCACGCCTGTGATCCCAGCACTTTGGAAGGCCAAGTTGGGTGGATCACTTGAGGTCAGGAGTTTGAGACCAACCTGGCTAATGTGGTGAAACCCCATCTCTACTAAAAATGCAAAAATTAGTTGGGTGTGGTGGCAGGCACCTGTAATCCCAGCTACTTGGGAGGCTGAGGAAGGAGAATCACTTGAACCCGGGAAGCGGAGGTTGCAGTGAGCCAAGATTACTCCATTGCACTCCAGCCTGGGCGACAAGAGGGAAATTCAGTCTCACAAAAAAAAAAAAAAAAAAAAAAAGAAGGCAGGGCGCGATAGCTCACGCTTGTAATCCCAGCACTTTGGGAGGCCAAAGAGGGTGGATCACGAGGTCAGGAGATCGAGAACATCCTGGCTAATATGGTGAAATCCCATCTCTACTAAAAATACAAAAAATTAGCCAGGCATGGTGGCAGGCGTCTGTGGTCCCAGCTGCTCAGGAGGCTGAGGCAGGAGAATGGTATGAACCCGGGAGGCGGAGCTTGCAGTGAGCCGAGATCGCGCCACTGCATTCCAACCCAGGCGACAGAGCAAGACTCCGTCCCCACTCGCCAAAAAAAAAAAAGGAAAAGGAAAGAAAAGAAAAAGAAAACTACAGATGTAGAAAAAGGTCTTGAAAATACCGTGGATTTCTATGTGAAACCATGGAGATCAGAAGGAAGGGGAACGCCAGTGAAAATATCTTTCAGAAATAAAGGTGAAAGACATACATTCCCACCTAAAAGAAGTGATAAAGGAAGTTCCACAGACAGAATGGAAGGAAGATAAAAACAGAAGGAAATGTGCAGCATCACCAATTAGACAAGAGTAGTATAAAGATTTAAGGAATAAACCACACACACACACACTCACACACAAACACACACACACGAACCAATCTAAAAGAGCTGCCAAGGGCCAAAGCTGAAGTAACTTAAACAACAAAATAAATTTCACATGTGTTAATTTATAACCCAAAAGATAAAATAAGTATCCATGAGTCCATACTGATATAAATGTATGCTTGAATAAATTAACAAATGAGGAGAAAAAGACAAATCTTATGCATAAAAGAATTTTATTTAATAAATGTAGAAAAATATATGACAACAGAAAACCACCACTAAAATACCACAGTAAAAAATGCTGCAGGCAAGACTCATGATACATGATAAAATTCCTGGGTGAGACTTTAAAAAGAAATAGAATAACAGGTTATTCACATGGCCTCGAATAATTTTCACTAAAAAATGTATCAGTTAATGTGGTTATTTTAATATATGTCCATACATACTTTCATATCATTCCCTCCAATAAGTGAAACTTAGTTCCTAGTCATTGAGTGTGGTCTGGAGTTAGTGGTTTCCCTCTACCAAATGGAAAGAGAAAATAGTAACTTTACAGTCAAGAATCCAGCAGACATCATCCTATGTGATTCAGCTTAATATTAGCAATAGATAAAGTTGATAACACATACATTCTAATATGATATGGTGAGAAGGACACCTGACTTCCATGTTATTCTTCCCCAAAATCCATGGCCAAAGCATAATCATGAGAAAACATCAGATGAATATAAGTGGGTAGATATTCTTCAAAATGCCTCACTTGGACCCTTCAAATGTGTCACAGTCACATAGGAGAAGTGCAGACTGAGAAACTGTCACAGATGGGGGCTAAGAAGAAAGGGTGACTGACGCAGTGTGTATCCTTGATTAGACTCCGAAATGAAAAAAGACATTAGCAAAAGAATACAAAGTGGATGAAATATGTATACAGTTTTTAGTTTTGTTATTAGTATTTCACCAATATTAAGTTCTTAGTTTGGGTAAATGTGGCATGATTATGTAAGATGCTAGCCTTAGGGGAAACGCGGTGAAGGGTGTACTCAAATTCACTGTACTATCGTTTTCACTCTTCTGTAAGTCTAAAATTATTTCAAAATAAAAAAATTAAAATTGCGAACATTGTCAGATTGGATATAAAAAGCAAGATTCAACCATATGTTACTTATGAACATAATACTTTTTTTTTTTTTGAGACCAAGTTTTACTCTGTCTCCCAGGCTGGAGTGCAGTGGTGCAATTTCAGCTCACTGCAATCTCTGCCTCCTAGGTTCCAGCAATTCTTGTGCCTCAGCCTCCCAAGTAACTGAAATTACAGGCATGATCCACCACGTCCGGCTAATTTTTGTATTTTTAGTAAAGACAGGGTTTCAATATGTTGGCCAGGCTGGTCTCAAACTCCTGACCTCAAGCGATCAGCCTACCTCGGCCTCCCAAAGTGCTGGGATTACAGGCCTGAGCCACCACAACTGGCCCAAACATAATACTTTAAATATAATGACATAAATAAGTTAAAAGGAAAGGATGGAAAAATATAGATTCCATGCTAGTACTAAGTAAAACAAAACTGTGGTGCCTATTTCAATATTGGACAAAGTCGATTTCAGAGGAAAGAAAACTTCCAGAAGATAATTTTACAAATACAAACATAAATACAAATATAAATATACTATTTATCCAGAAAACAAATTAACCCAAGATGAGAATCTGCAAGAGGACATGCATAAAACTATATTTATAATTGACAATTTCAATATTTTTCTCTGAATAATTGATGGAAAAAGCAGACAGACAAATATCCAAAGTACAAAAAGCATTGAATAACATTATAAACCAAATTGACCTACCTGACATTTATATAACATGTCATCAAATAACACCAACATTTCTATTATTTCCCAAAACACATTTAACATGTGCAAGGGTCCTTGTTCTGGGCCATTAAAAAAAAAAAAAAAACAGGATTCAAGAAGTACAAAGTATGGTTATTCTCTGACCTCAAAGGAATTAAATTAAGAATTCACAATATTCCCTACTCTTTTTAAAAGTAAATCCCACACTTCTAAATAACCATGGGCCACACCAAACAAATATCAATGGGGAAAAATCAAAATGTATGGGATATCATTCAAGAAGTCTTTGGGAGGAATATTATAGAACTAAGTGCCTATATTATGAATAAGAAGGGTCTCAAATCAATGACCTTAGCTTAGGAATACAAAAAAGGAATAGCAAATTATACACTTAGAAAGTAGAAAAAATGAAATAATAAATGTCATGAAGAACACTGAAAAACAATAGAGAGTGTCAATGAAACAACAAAAAAAGAAAAACCTGGTTTCTTGAAAAATTAAGAAAATTGGTAATTATCTAGTCAAACTGCTCAGGATCAAATCAGAGAAGGATCAAATAATATTACCAATATCAATAATGAGGAAGGCAGCAGCACTAAAGGTTAAAAATTATTAACCGGATCGTAATGAAATAAAATGAATAAACTTCACAATTAAGAGATGGACAAAGTCCTAGGGTGACAAAAACTAGTAAACCCTATTCAGTATATGTATATATATATATGTATATATCCATTAAATAAGAAGAATTTTTAGTTAAAATAATTCCGACTAAGGAAACTGTTAGAGATCAATAAGAGAGAGATATCTGTAAGGTTTTTGTAACATTTGAAAATTGATTAATGTAACCCACATTAGTAACAAAGTAACAAAGAAAAAAAATCATCCCAGTAGGGCAGAAAAACACGATACTTAACGGTGAAAGCTTGCATCATTTCTCATAATATAATAGTGGTGAAATAATAATTTTTTTAACAGGGTGAACTTGATTCATAACTAATATTTTATACAAAATTTTATCAAAAATAGATAATTATGAATGTACTATGTGCATTGTAATTGTACCCAAATATTCAAGCTAAAACTACAAAATCTCTCAAGGAAAACATAGGAGATATTCTTTGAGACTTTGGGCTAGCAAAATATTTTTTAGCTATGGCATCAAAAGGCAAAATACATTAATGTACACATTGTTGAATTTTATCAAAATAGAAACATTCTGCTCTCAAAATATACTGCTAAGGGAATGAAAAGGCCACAAATTGGAATAAAATATTTGCAAAGCACATTTCACCAAAGATTATATGTTCATGATGAGAAGCACACGAAGGGTTGTTCAATATCATTAGCCATAAGGTGAATACAATCAAACTTTGAATGAAATGCCACTACTATCCTATTAAAATGGCTAAAATTAAGAAAATTGACTGTATCCACTGTTTGTAAGAATGTGGAGGAAGTAGAACTCTCATTCATTTCTGTTGGATTTAAAATTTTACAATAACTTTGAGAAAAAAAATTTTTTTTAGTTTCTTTAAGAGTTAAAAATTCACCCACCATATGATCCAGCCATTTGATTTCTAGTAAGAGAAATAAAGACATTTTTCCATACAGAGTATTTTACATGAATGTTCTTAGCAATTTTATTTGTAATAGCTCCAAAGTGGAAACAATCAAAACCTCATCAATAGAAAAATGGCAAACAAACTGTGGTATATTTCTACAATGAAATACTGCTCAGCAATAAAATGAATAACTCTTAGTATATGCTATGACATGAAAGAGTCTTAAAATAACTATGCTGAGTTAAAGAAGCCAGATAAAAAAGATTAAGCACTGTAGGATTTCATTATATAAAATTCTAGAAAATGCACACTACTCAATTGTGGCAGAGAGCAGATCGCTGGTTACTGAAAAAGTAGGATAGAGTGGGTGGGGGAGAAATTACAGAGGGGCATGAGGAAGCATGTGGGGGTGGCGAACATGTTCATTATCTTGATGGGGGTAATGGTTGCATGGATTTATATGTCAAAAGTTGTCAAATTATACACATTAAATATGTGCAGTTTATCATATATCAATTACACCTCAATAAAGCTGTTAAAAATAAGCTCTGGAGCTTCACCTGTGGGAAGTGTCAGTGGTGAAGAAAGTAAGACACAGGAAAGTCAAGGTTTTCAATGGTATATATTAAACAGCATCTATGCCTGTTTATCTCTGCCCTGTAATGAATGAACAGGGTTCCAATGCCCCTAAGGGAGATGTGTGGTTCTAGACCCTTATGTTCTATGAATAGTAAAGTCTCTTCTCTGTTGGGAACAGGCCCTCAAATCTGGCCATAAACTGGCCCCAAAACTGGTCATAAACAAAATCTCTGCAGCACTCTGACATGTTCGTGATGGCCATGATGCCCACGCTGAAGGTTGTGGGTTTACTGGAATGAGGGCAAGGAACACCTGGCCCACCCCGGGTGGAAAACCGCTTAAAGGCGTTCCTAAGCCACGAACAATAGCATGAGTGATCTGTGCCTTAAGGACATGTTCCTGCTTCAGATAACTATCCAGAGCCCATCCCTTTGTTTCCCTTAAGGAATACTTTTAGTTAATCTATAATCTATAGAAACAATGCTTACCACTGGCTTGCTGTCAATAAATATGTGGGTCAAACTCTGCTCGGGGCTCTCAGCTCTGAAGGCTGTCAGCCCCCTGATTTTCCACTCTGCACTCTGTATTTCTCTGTGTGTGTGTCTTTAATTCCTCTAGCACCACTGGGTTAGGGTCTCCATGACCAAGCTGGTCTTGTCAAGGGGTGCCCATACCTGGGGCTGGAACCCGGGTCGAAGGGTTGCTGGAGCGATGGTTGGAGAAGGTGGAACTAAGCTGGAGGACACCCGAGTACTCTTAAGCAATCCCCATGGTGAGTAAGAAGGGGAGCTTGGAAGCATCAGGGTAACAATGGGACAAGTGTGGGATCTGGTTCGTTCCACCTGGGAACCTTTTCACACTGATGAGGAGGAGGAAGGAAAGTATAACTAAGTAAAAGAAGAGGTAACAGAGAAGGTTTGTTTCCCAGCTAAAGCTAAAGCGGCAAAGGAGGAAGAGATTCATCCCTACCCTTCTGCACCCCCTCATTATTTTGAAGAAAAAGAGTGGCCTGACCCTCCAGATCTTTCTTTTCCGGAGGACACGGGGTGAAAGGTGCCCCAGTGACTGTTTGAGCAGTGCCTCGAGTACCGCTCTCAGTTCTATTCAGGCAGGAATCCAGCAAGCTAGATGTGAGGGTGATATAGAGGCTTGGCAGTTCCCTTTTGGGATACACCCCCCAGATCAACAGGGAAATATTATAGCTACATTTGAGCCTTTTCCTTTTAAAATACTTAAAGAATTTAAGCAAGCCCTTAATCAATATGGACTATGTTCTCCTTTTGTAATGGGACTGTTAAAGAATGTTACTGTCTCCGGTCAGATGTTGCCAGTGGGGGCAATAGGATTACGTCTAGGTATATATAGTTTAAATTTATTTATTTATTTATTTTTGAGAGGGAGTCTCACTCTGTCACCCAGGCTGGAGTGCAGTGGTGCAATCTCGGCTCACTGCAAGCTCCACCTCCTGGGTTCACACCATTCTCCTGCCTCAGCCTCCACAGCAGCTGAGACTACAGGCACCCGCCACCACACCCGGCTAATTTTTTGTATTTTTAATAGAGACAGGGTTTCACCGTGTTAGCCAGGACGGTCTCGATCTCCTGACCTTGTGATCCGCCCATCTCGGCCTCCCAAAGTGGTGGGATTACAGGCGTGAGCCACAGTGCCTGGCCATCAAGGTTAAATTTAAAAGGAGCACAAATACATACAGGAGTAATTGATTCAGATTACAATGGGGAAATTGAAATTGTTATATCTACTGTTCCCTGGAAAGCAGAGCCAGGAGAGCATATAGCACAGCTCCTGATTGTGCCGTATGTGGAAATGGGGAAAAGTGAATTAAATGAACAGGAGGATTTGGAAGCACAAATCAACAAGGCAAAGCAGCTTATTGGGTGAATCAAATTACTGATAAATGTCCTACCTGTGAAATAACTATTCAGGGAAAGAAATTTAAAGGTTTGATACATACAGGAGCAGACATTTCAATCATTTCTCTACAGCAATGGCCGTCCACGTGGCCAATTCAATCCACTCAATTTAACAGAGTTGGAGTTGGTAAAGCCCCTGAAGTATATCAGAGTAGTTATATTTTGCACTGTGAAGGGCCCAATGGACAAACTGGGACTATTCAACCAATTGTAACTTCTGTACCTATAAATTTATGGGGGAGAGATTTATTACAACAATGGGAAGCACAAGTTCTAATTCCAGAACAATTATATAGCCCTGAAAGTCAACATATGATGCATGAAATGGGGTGTGTCCCTGGTATGGGACTAGAAAATATTTGCAAGATTTGAAGGAACCACTTCAAGTGGAAAGACAAAGTTCCCGCCAAGGTTTAGGATATCATTTTTGATGGCAGACATTGTTAAGCCTCCAGAACGTATACCTTTAAAATTGTTAACAGATAAGCCAATTTGGATAGAACAATGGCTGCTAAGTAAAGAGAAACTGGAGGCTTTAGAGGACTTAGTTACTGAACAATTAGAAAATGGACACATAGCTCCAACATTTTCCCCTTGGAATTCTCCAGTTTTTGTAATTAAGAAAAAATCAGGTAAATGGAGAATGTTACCTGACTTAAGAGCCATTAATTCACTTATACAACCTATGGGGACATTACAGCCAGGATTGCCTTCTCCTGCTATGATTCCGAAAAAATGGCCTTTCATAGTCATAGATTTAAAAGACTGTTTCTTTACTATCCCCTTGGCTGAGCAAGACTGTGAACAGTTTGCATTTACAAAACCTGCAGCCTGCTAAGCGTATTCATTGGAAAGTGTTGCCACAAGGCATGTTAAACAGTCCAACAATTTGCGAGATGTTTGTAGGGCAAGCAATTGAACCTACTCATACAAAATTTTCACAGTGTTACATTATTCAGTATACGGATGATATACTTTGTGCTGCCCCCACTTGAAAAATATTACTCTAATGTTATGATCACTTGCAAAATTTGATTTCTCATGCTGGTTTAATTATAGCTCCTGACAAAATTCAGACTACTACTCCTTACTCCTACTTGGGGACCTTAGTAAATGACACTACCATTGTGCTACAGAAAGTAACCATACGTAAGGATCAATTGAAAACATTAAATGACTTTCAAAAATTACTAGGGAACATTAGTTGGATACGACCTGCTCTAGGCATTCCTACCTATGCCATGAGTAATCTATTTTCTATCCTTAGAGGAGATCCTAGTCTCACTAGTCCTTGACAATTAACAAAAGAGGCTGAGGCAGAGTTACAGCTGCTTGAAAAGCAAGTCCATAAGGCTCAAATAAATAGAACAGATCCAGAGAAGACTCTAGATTTGCTAATTTTTTCAACTCATCATTCACCCACTGGTGTTATTGTCCAAGAGCAGGACTTAGTAGAATGGCTTTTTCTTCCACATGCTAATTCATGGACTCTAACTCCTTATTTGGATCAAATCACTACTATGATAGGAAATGGGAGAACTCAGATTGTTAAATTACATGGATATGATCCTGGATAAATTATAGTCCCTCTCATAAAGACACAAATACAGCAAGCTTTTGTAAACAGTCTTACTTGACAAACCCATTTAGCTGACTGTGTGGGTATTCTAGATAATCATTTTCCTAAAATGAAACTGTTTCAATTTTTGAAATTAACTAATTGGATTCTCCCTAAAATTACTAAATTTAAACCAATTGAAGGTGCTGAGAATGTTTTTACAGATGGGTCTAGTAATGATAAAACTTCTTATTCTGGCTCAAAAGGTAAAGTTTTTCAGACACCCTATACTTCAGCTCAGAAAGCAGAGCTTGTAGCTGTAATTGAGGTATTTACTGCTTTTAATATACCTATTAATGTGTTTCTGATTCTTCATACATGGTTCATTCCACACAATTAGTTGAAAATGCTCAGTTATGATTTCATACAGATGAACAACTGATGACTTTATTTACCCAATTGCAAACAGCAGTCTGGAGTAGAATGCACCCTTTTTACATCACTCACATTAGGGCTCATACACCTCTTCCAGGACCTTTAACTGAAGGGAATCAAATGGCTGATCGCCTAGTTGCTACTGCAATATATAATGCCAGACACTTTTACAATTTAACCCATGTTAATGCCTCTGGTCTCAAACGCAGATACAGCATTACCTGGAAAGAAGCTAAAGCTATTATCCAGCAATGCCCAATTTGCTAAATGGTACATTCCTCATCTTTCACAGGAGGAGTTAATCCTCGAGGATTGGAACCTAATTCTCTTTGGCAAATGGATGTCACACATGTTCCCTCATTTGGAGACTAGCTTATGTACATATATTTGTGGACACCTTTTCTCACTTTGTCTGGGCTATGTGCCAATCAGGAGAGTCTTCTGCCTGTGTTAAACATCATCTTTTGCAGTGTTTTGCAGTGATGGGCATTCCAGCTTGTATTAAAACAGATAATGCCCCAGGCTATACTAGCAAAGCTCTTGCTACATGTTTCTCTATATGGAATATTAAACACATTACTGGTATCCCATATAATTCTCAAGGACAAGCAATAGTGGAATGAATGAATCTCTCCCTGAAACAGCAGTTGCAAAAGCAAAGTGGGGGGAAACAGGGACTGTGGGACACCCCATATATGCAATTGAATCTAGTATTATTGACTTTAAATTTTTTGAGCCTGCCTAAAGGCCAGATGCTATCAGCAGCTGAACAACATCTACAGAAACCAGCTGCAAAGACAGAAGCAGAACAACTGGTTTAGTGGAGAGACCCGATAACAAAAAGTTGGGAAATAGGTAAAATAATAACTTGGGGTAGAGGTTATGCTTGTGTTTCTCCAGGCCAAAACCAGCAGCCGATTTGGATACCATCAAAACACCTGAAACCTTATCATGAGCCAGATGCTGAGGAAGAGATTCCAGGAGGATTCTGAGGACCCCCTGGTTGCAGCCATGTCGAGACTGATGCTGAGAAGGACCCCAACTGTCATGAGCAACATCTGTCAAACACAGCCACCTATCTGGGGACAGATCAAGAAGCTGTCACAGATGGTGGAAGAAAACCTGAGGAAAGTGGGACAACCAGTCACAACGAGTAATTTAATTGTAGCTATGATAGCGGTGATCACCACTGCCATGAGTATTCCTTCAATGAGGGCTGACACAGAGAACAATTATACTTATTGGGCATATTTATCAATCTTGAATGGCAATAATGCCTGGATGTAATCACTCTATAACACAGTTACACATGCTTTCTGATCTCAGTATTTACCATAATAAATCTGCTCCTATAATTGAGGGATACCACCCTCAAAAACCTATTTGTAAACAGAATTGGACCTGACCAGAAATAATGAACGTGCTTGTTTGGGAAGATTTCATTGCAGAACAGGCAGAGGTGCTGGCAACGAATCCTATGGAATCATTATTGATTGGTCCCCTAAGGGGATGTTTAGCTTGAATTGCACCTCTCAGTCTGCATCCCACGACCACACTATGTTCAGCTGGTCTAAACAAAATGGTCAGATGGTAGAAATGGTAAGAAACACGGCAAGAGTTCCTATTATCTGGAAACATGGCAGTATAGTGGCACCTCAACTTCAAATGATATGGCCCGCTGTAGGAGCTAAACATAAGAATTTGTGGAAACTATTAATGGCACTTAATAAGATCAAAATTTGGGAAAGAATAAAAAATCATATAGAAGGACACTCTACAAACTTGTCTTTAGATACTGCAAAATTAAAAGAACAAATATTTAAAGCATCCCAGGCACACCTGACCATTATGCCAGGAACTGGAGTGCTTGAAGGAGCTGCAGATGGATTAGCAGCTAGTAACCCAATAAAATGGATAAAAACACTTGGAGGCTCTGTGATTTCAATGATGATTGTGCTTTTAATCTGTGTTGTTTGTCTTTGTATAGTCTGCAGATGTGGATCCCAATTCCTGCAAGAAGTAGCTCACTGTGATAAGGCTGCCTTTGTCCTTTTATCATGTTGCAAAAGCAAAAAGGGGGAATGTGTTGGGAACAGGCCCCCAAATCTGGCCATAAACTGGCCCCAAAACTGGCCATAAACAAAATCTCTGCAGCACTGTGGCATGCTCCTGATGGCTATGATGCCCACGCTGAAGGTTGTGGGTTTACCAGAATGAAGGCAAGGAACACCTGGCCCACCCAGGGTGGAAAACAACTTAAGGAGTTCCTAAACCACAAACAATAGCATGAGCGATCTGTGCCTTAAGGAAATGTTCCTGGGACAGATAACTAGCCAGAGCCCATCCCTTTGTTTCAGCCCATCCCTTTGTTTCCCATAAGGAATACTTTTAGTTAATCTATAATCTATAGAAATAATGCTTATCACTGGCTTGCTGTCAATAAATATGTGCGCCAAACTCTGTTCAAGGTTCTCAGCTCTGAAGGCTGTCAGCCCCCCGATTTCCGACTCTGCACTCTATATTTCTGTGTGTGTGTCTTTAATTCCTCTAGTGTCGCTGGGTTAGGGTCTCCATGACCAAGCTGGTCTTGGCGCTTCTCAGCTTTCCTTTGAGGGTACAAACTTCTGTCCAAAGGAGCCTACAGTAAGCATCAAATAGAGGAAGCTAGAATACCAGGAAGCAGGGTGGATAAATTCAAGTCATCTTATCAGAGCCTGTGTTACAATAAAAAATTTACCTGATCTTTGTCCTAAGTTCCTTGCTTATAACCTTTGGAATTTCTTGAGTGATAGGAGTGTCTTTGCTATGCTAATAAGGTAACTCATGATGGATCAATACAAAACTTTAAAATGGGGCTGGTCACAAGACTAAATATATGATTACAGAGTTGGGACTTCAGTTGCCTGACCTTCTGAGTAGTAAGGGGACCTGGTGGCTGAGTTCAATCACATGGCCCATGATTTAAGCAATCATGCCTACATATGAAGCCCCAGTAAAAACTCTGAACAATGTAGCTCAGTGGAGATTCCTGGTTTTTGTGAACAAATGGATGGTCCTAGAGAGTGGCATGCCCTGATCCCACATGGAGAGGTCATAAATCTCTGCTGTTCCTCCAAGACCCCCTCCCAAACATGTTTCTTTTCTAAGAAAGTGATAATCATAAGTACAGCACTTTCAGTGAGTTCTGTTAGTCAGTATAGCAAATTATTAAATCTACTAGGGTCATGGGAATCTCCAAATATGTAGGTAGTTAGTTGGAAGTGTGGGTGTCCTGAGGGCCCCTGAAGTACAGCTGGCATTGGAAGAACATTCTTGTTGGGGGTCACACACTTCAGCTTGTAGGATCTGCACTAAATTTGTGTGATTACTGTAAGATTTGAATTATGGTACACCCAGTTGGACCATAATTCAACAAAGTAGAAATGACGCAATAAACTTAAAGCAGAATGGAGCTCATTTATTTCCCTAATTGACACATTAGTAATAACTGGGGGGGGGCATATAAGGCCATGATTATAAAAATTATTTCACATAATTTTATGTAATTATAAAAAATTAATCCCTGACAACATCAGCAGGTGGAAGCAACTAACAAGTCTGATCCAACTGGGGATGATGGGGTCCCATCTTAATGAACCTAAGAGCCTTCCATATTCCAAAAGCTGGTACCTGAATGCATGCTCCTGACTTTTCAATGGATAAGTGGGATTTGAGGCTATTTTTCATGAGACTCCAGAATATAGCCACCTGAACCTAACAATATTGAAACAGCAAACATCCTTTCTCTTGAGACCAGCCTATTGTGGATCAATATGACTGTGCTGTACCAGTAACCAGGAAGTTAGGAGAAACGCTAGAATTGGACTTTATTTAGCAGTCTTTTCCAGCCTCATTGACTATGAATGTGAAAAACCCTGTGGTTACTTAGAAATCCCACAGTACTCTATGCCATTTGTGAAGATCCTTGTGAAGATGGGTAGAGATTGGAGTTATTTTGCTACCAGTCAAGGAATGCCAGAAGCCTCTAGATGGCAGGAAGGGCAGGAACAGATTCTCCCTTAAAGCCTTTGGTAGGAGCATGGCCAAACCAACACCTTGATTTAAAACTTCTGGCTGCCAAATCTACAAGAGAATACACTCCTGTTATTTTATGCCACCCAATTTGTGGTGATTTTTTACGGCAGCCTTAGGAAACAAATATGGGAGAAATGTTTTAATTTCAGAAAATGTACTGGTTTCAGTGTGCAAAGTAAACTGCAGTGAATAAACTAGTGAGAAGGCACAGAGGGTGTCCACGGTGGTGATCCAATTGTGAAAGAGCGGTGGAATATAGTCGTGGATGGCAGTAAGTGGCTTACAGAAGGTGAGAATTATGTGATTATCTAGATATGAAGGATACAGGAGAATCAGTGGTGTCCTCTTTTCTTCCTCAGGACCCTGGGTGGACAGCTATGCCATGTACTGTGAGGTAGGGAACACACTGGCAGCAGAAGGTTTCAGGCAGACACTGATGAAGTAGAGTAAAATGTTGAATTTAAAACTCAGACTGGGTGTGGTGGCTCATGTCTGTAATCCCAGCACTTTAGGAGTCTGAGGCAGGTGGATTAGTTGGGTCCAGCAGTTCAAGACAAGTCTGGGAAACATGGTAAAACTCCATCTCTAAAAATATGAAAATTTAGCCAAGCGTGGTGGCACACACCTGCAGTCCTGCTACTCAGGAGGCGGAGGTGGGAAAATAACCTGAGCCTGGGGGATTGAGGCTGCAGTGAGCTGAGATTACACCATTGCACTCAAGCCTGGGCAATCAGAAGGAGACTCTGTCTCAAAAATAAAATAAAATAAAATAAAATAAAATAAAATAAAATAAAATAAAACTCAAAGGCACAATGTTAAGATGACATTTAGGCAGTTGGATATCCAGTTATATAACATAAAAGAGACATCTGAGTCTGGAGAAATGAATTTTGGACTCATTTGTGTATAGATGTAAAATTCAAGCTCTGGGAGATGGTGTTGCTCAGAATACAAGGTGACAGGAACAGAAGAGGTGAGATAGGACCACCAGAAACTTCAACTTTTAGAGGATGGCTGGAGAAAGATATTTCAAAAGATCTGAAAAGGTGAAGAGAGTTCTCAGCAATCCCTGAAGTCTATGGTATACCCTGAGGACTCAGGGCTATCTGGAGGAATAGCCATGACATGGGTGGTGCATGTGTGTGTGTTGCGTATTTGCACGTGTGTGTTCCCAATATAGATAAGGAACCCAAGACTGCTTGGTAGATAATTCTATCATTAAAAGGATAACAAGAAATACGCAAACACCAGGACACACATAAATTTGACAAATTAGATTAAATGGCCAGATATGGTTTGGATTTGTGTTCCTGCCCAAATCTCACCTCTCGTGTTGGAGGAGGGGCCTGGTGGGAGGTGATTGGATCATGGGTTGGTGACTGGACTTCCTCCTTGCTGTTCTCCTGATAGTGAGTGAGTTCTTACGAGATCTGGCTGTTCAAATGTGCGTGGCACCTTCTTCTTGGCTTTCCTCCTCCTGCTCTGGTTATGTAAGATGTGCTTGCTTCCCCTTTTCCTTCCACCATGACTGTAAGTTCCCTGAGGCTCCCCAGTCATGTTTCCTGTACAGCTTGCAGAACCATGATCCAATGAAACCACTTTTCTTTATAAATTCCCCAGTCTCAGGTAGCTCTTTATAGTAATTCCAGAATGAACTAATACATGAGCCAACACCCTAAGACCACAAAGTACCAAAACCCATCCATTATGAAAAGATAATCTGAATAGGCTTACAATTAAAACAAATAGTTACAAACTATCTGAAAAAGAAAACTTCAGGCACTGATGGTTTCACTGAAAATTCCTACCAAGCATTTGAAGAAGAAATAAAAACAATTCTACACAATTTATTCCATAAAGCTGAAGAGAAGGAGGGACCAGTAGTTTTATGAGGTTATAATGTCAAAACCAGATACAGACATTACAGAAAGTGAAAACTATAGACCAATATCACTGTTGAGCATATAAATAAAAACTCTCAGCTAAATATTACCAAATTAAATTCGGTGACATGTAAAAGGAATAATACAGGACAAACTGGAACCCAACATCTTCTTGAATAGAGTTTATCTTAGAGAAGAGTGTTTAAGATGAGGCAAGCTATTTTAATATGTCCCAGAAATAGCTCCAATTGGATGGTCATAGGATAGTCTGCAAAGAGGCTTAAATCACCTGGGCCTATTGCTATGCCTGTCTCTCCTCACTCCTCTCTGCTTGTTATTTTCTGTGGTTCTCAGTTGGGGACCGCGCTGCCCATAAAAGGGCTTTTGGTGGTGTGTGGGCATGGTTCCTTTTCTCTTTTCTCCACTTTCCTGTTAGTTTTCCCATGTCTGGAGGGCATTTATGTGTGCATGTGAAGGGAGACAGCCTCTGTGGCATGTGCTATGTTCTCACACAATGAAACATTACGCCATTCTCAGATCATTAAAGAGCCCTGCTCCAGACACTCTCAGGGTGATGTGATTTATCTTCTTTACCTTCCAAACTTAACTTTCCAGCGCAGGCGTTTTTGCTGAGTTGTGTCAATCCAGATATCCGCTGGGTAAGACCGTTCGGTCTTCCCACAATCTTCTGGTCCTTCTCTCTGCATGGTTTCAGGAAATGGCACCTGCATCTCATAGCTGCACTGTCCTGCTCAATTGGCTGCCTGAGACAGAATCCTGGATGTGCCTGTTATTCACAGTCTCCCCTCCCCTTCCATTGCTGTTTATATCTTTTGAACCTGGCATTTCTATTGAACCTCGGCTCCCTCTGTCCCACTCTTGGTGATAATATTGCTTCACAATATGCATCATAACATATGATTTGATCAGGCATTTGTTTTCTCTTTTAACGCTCTTTTTCTCCACCACTTTCCCTCAGTACAGATTACAGAGACCATGTCACTTCTCATTGTATCCCCAGGCACAAGGCCTGAAATGTAATGTTAGTAAACAGTTGGCGAATGAAGATGAAATGCAAGCCATCACCCATTTTCACATGGAGTCCTGGGAAGGGACCCCTAATGAGACTCCCTGCCTCTGCTTGTCCACCTGCCCCAAACTCTAATCTTACTCTGTATGCAGGTGACTTTTCAGAAGACACCCTAGACTCCTTAACTATCTGAGAGAGCTGCTCCTTGGGGCTGTGCAGAACAGAAAATTCTCCCATTTCAGTGCATGCGATGGACCTTGAATGGATGAGCATGAGCAGTGGCCCCCTAGGGAGGCTGGGGATGAGGGGCCAGGGTCCAGTCCCTCCCTACACCCTCCCAACTTTGGAAAGCAGCACTGCCTGTCCTAACTTCTTAATGTTTTCTAACAAAAAAAGGGGCCCAGCTGCCATGGGTTTTTCCCTCAGACTGAGACTTTTCTGAAATGCAAATATTTCAGGCACATGACGGATATTGCTCAATATTTGCTGAACACATTAAAGTGAATTCCGTTTAAGATCCTTGGCCTGAAAGGCATTTGGGGCCCATTTAGGGGCTCCAAGGTGGAGGTTGCTGCCTATGTGGACAGGGAAGAGCCAGAGGATTCACATTTCATCCAGGGCCTCTGGGCCCCTGCACTGCGAGCATGCGCACTTCCCACTAGAGGCTCTGGGGTGACCCCCCTTCCTCCGTTCACTATGGAAACCAAGGCTGGGACTGGCCTCTCCTCCTGTTCCTGGGTCTGCCAAGAACAGCCTATTCCACAGCTGTGTAATCTGTTCCGTATTACAGAGTTCGAAGTAACCCACCAGCAAAACTGTCTGCTCCAGAATATTTTAAGTTACAGCTTCTCCGTATATTTTCTGTGTCTATTCACAGAACTTCTATTTACAGAATTTTGATTTAATGAGTAGTTGAGATATATTTTTGTAGTCTTCACACTTTTCTACTAAGCTGCTGGCCCTGAGAGGACTTATTGCCCAACTCAAATAGGGGCCCCCCTGGAGACACCCAGCAAGATTTATTATCCCCATGACTCTCAGGACAGCATTAGAGCTCCATCCCAGATCTTGAGCCTTGGGTCAAGGTAGTTGTGGATGCCTTCCAAGTACTAGCTTCGTCTCATTTCTCACAGTGTCTTTGGTCCTTTTTGTTATTACTCTGAAGGTCGGAATCTCTGGTTCGTGGGCACACACCTTATTAGGCAGCCATCAAGCTACTGACCCGTCTATCCCATTGCACCTGCGCATGTGTGCTTTCCCCACTAACAGGCTATCCCAGGCTTTATTTTGTCCCACTACCCCACCTACCCAAACTTCTACTCCCAGTAATTTGATTTTGGGGGGGAATTGAACCTCTTCATTCTTCAGGAAGAAGATGATATCATTTTAGCAGGTGTACAGTTGGGCTCCAGGTCTAGCCTGTGCTTCATTTCAGACTTGTGCATCAGACCTAAGGCTTTAAGCCTTCCAAGTGTAATCTCTCAGGGTGGTCTTAATCGACAGGCCCTGGTACAGCATTGGACAACCCTTCTGTCAGAAGTGTAGTGTGTTGTGTGCTGCAGGAGAGGCCTTCTGCACAGTCTGCTTGATGCTGGCAACTTCACTAGAATGAAGTCCAGGTAGAAGTTATCCAGTCCTGCCCAGGCAGCAACTGAAGTCCAAGCAGCTCTCTGGCCAGAGCGCTGATACTCACTTCAGCAGAGCCACCTTTTATTGTTGTCATGCCCCAAGCCTGCACTTTAATTTCAAGAATCCATTACATCTCGGAGGGTGACATGTGAGAATGCAGTTTTAATGAGATCACAATGTTAAAAACCATAGCCTATGGCCAAAGCCAAGTTGAGATTTAAATAGTAGGTTCAAACACTTTTCTTATTAAAAAATATATCAAATGAACTAAATATTTTATTTCTTTATTTATTTAATGTTTGAGACAGTCTCGCTCTGTTGCCCAGGCTGGAGTGCAGTGGCATGCTCTCAGCTGACTGCAAACTCCACCTCCCAGGTTCAAGCGAGTCTCCTGCCTCAGCCTGCCAAGCAGTTGGGATTAAGGGTGCCCACCACCACACCCGGCTAATTTTTGTATTTTTAGTAGAGACGGGGTTTTGCCACGTTGGCCAGGCTGGTCTCGACCTCCTGACCTCAGGTGATCTGCCCGCCTCACCTTCCCAAAGTGCTGGGATTACAGGCGTGAGCCACCGCACCTGGCCTAAATATTTTATTTAAATAGTTAGAAAATAATACATACCCAAACAAAATAAAGAATAATATTGATGGAGATTTAAATGCAATAAATGAGGATTATATTTATGAAGCATGGGGGTAATAAGTCTGTTCAAGAGACATTCTTAAAAACAATGAATATAATTAGCATATTTCTGTAAGATGTTCCCAAGAAAATGGTAGATATCTATAAATAGAAGAAGGAGAAAAAGGAGAAGTAGATGGAGAGGAGAAGGAGGAGGTGGAGGAGGGTGAGGAGGAGGAGAAAAGTGTTGAAATAATTCCAACTAAGACTGATATCTAGGAATTACCCTGGTGAAGTGGGAAGCTTAAGAGTCCTGTTGGAGGGACTGGTGTGGTAATGGCTCTGCCAAAAGTGTTATGTGCGTGCAAACCCAAAGAGAGAAAGCACAGAAAACCTTTCAACATCAACCTGCTTGAGGAAAAATAAAGTGGGAAAAGATACATACTCACAGTGAGGACTCTAGACATGTCAAGACAATTTTTAAATATGCTTTTGGCTTCGAGTGGCAATAACTAGATTCAAGACAGCATATTTAAGAAGCTGCTGATGAGAAGAAACCCGGGAAGAGCTGAAGGACCACATCAGCCCAGACCAAGGATGCTGAAGCAGCATTAAGGTCCCTGGTTTCAGATGCTCAGGCAATGACCCTTTTTTTCATGGAGAGCCTGTAGGAGTGACAGTTTTGTCTTTGCCCACTGGGAATCTGTTTTCCATACCTGGAAAACAGGGTTACCTATGTTTCCCCTGCTACCCTTTGGTCATCTCAGAGACACTACCAGATATTACCCATGGGACCTATTTTTTTTTTAAATCTCAGGAAAGACTTGGGTGTGGCTTCCAACGTGGAGGACTCAGTAGCTTCAGAGAGGGTCCTGAGAGAAGGTGAATTGAAGAATGAGGGTGCTGGGCAGAGGGAAAAGACATTATCATACAAGTTTGTGCTAAAAGATATAGCAATCCTTCTGCTATGGACTAAGTATGGAAAAAAATAAAATGGAATCAAAGTTACCCAAAGGAAGTGTAAAACCCAAATTTATGCCCGTTAAAGCATTAATGATGCTCTAAGTCCACTGCCTACTTAAAAAGTTCATAGTTCACATGGGTTGATAGGAAATTACGTTAACGACACACTGCATTTCCCCTTTTCTTATAGCCTATCTGATTTGGTAGGGAGTCGATCATTTTTTATTGGAATTTCTCAGGATTCCAACCTCAGACATCCACTTTACAGTTTACACATTTTCTTGGACAAGCCCGACTGTTCCTCTCACTGGTTCGCATAAAGCTCATGTTTACAAAGCCGCCCAGACCTTTCTCTGGGACTCTCATATTTAACTTAATTCTGGATATACCCAGGTAAGCGTTTCCCAAGAAACTTGACCCCAACATCCCAAAAACTTAAGGTATCTTTCCCTTAAACTGGCCCCTTCTCCAGTACGCATCCATCTCACTTCTCTCCTGCCCTAGATCTTCTCAGCCCAAACAGGAAACCCCGGGATCGCTCTCCCAGCAGGTGAAGCCTCGCCATGGACCCTCCCCGTCGGGGCCCCGCGCTGCCCCGCCCGCCCCCAGCCGCTGGCCAAGGCCGCGGTCGCGCAGGCGCAGTGCCGCGTCCCGCCGCCGCCCCGCCCTGCCCGTCGCTGCGGAAGGCGCCGCGCGCAGCAACGCGCACTTCCTCTCCAGGAATCCGCGGAGGGAGCGCAGGCTCGAAGAGCTCCTGGACGCAGAGGCCCTGCCCTTGCCAGACGGCGCAGACATGTCAGAACAAAGTAAGGATCTGAGCGACCCTAACTTTGCAGCCGAGGCCCCCAACTCCGAGGTGCACAGCAGCCCTGGGGTTTCGGAGGGGGTTCCTCCGTCCGCGACCCTGGCAGAGCCGCAGAGCCCTCCTCTAGGCCCGACGGCCGCTCCGCAGGCCGCGCCGCCTCCCCAGGCCCCGAACGACGAGGGCGACCCGAAGGCCCTGCAGCAGGCTGCGGAGGAGGGCCGCGCCCACCAGGCCCCGAGCGCGGCCCAGCCGGGCCCGGCACCGCCAGCCCCGGCGCAGCTGGTGCAGAAGGCGCACGAGCTCATGTGGTACGTGCTGGTCAAGGACCAGAAGAAGATGATCATCTGGTTTCCAGACATGGTGAAAGATGTCATCGGCAGCTACAAGAAGTGGTGCAGGAGCATCCTCCGGCGCACCAGCCTCATCCTCGCCCGGGTGTTCGGGCTGCACCTGAGGCTAACCAGCCTGCACACCATGGAGTTTGCGCTGGTCAAAGCGCTGGAGCCCGAGGAGCTGGACAGGGTGGCGCTGAGCAACCGCATGCCCATGACAGGCCTCCTGCTCATGATCCTGAGCCTCATCTACGTGAAGGGCCGCGGCGCCAGAGAGAGCGCCGTCTGGAACGTGCTGCGCATCCTGGGGCTGCGGCCCTGGAAGAAGCACTCCACCTTCGGGGACGTGCGGAAGCTCATCACTGAGGAGTTCGTCCAAATGAATTACCTGAAGTACCAGCGCGTCCCATACGTGGAGCCGCCCGAATACGAGTTCTTTTGGGGCTCCCGGGCCAGCCGCGAAATCACCAAGATGCAAATCATGGAGTTCCTGGCCAGGGTCTTTAAGAAAGACCCCCAGGCCTGGCCCTCCCGATACAGAGAAGCTCTGGAGGAGGCCAGAGCTCTGCGGGAGGCTAATCCCACTGCCCACTACCCTCGCAGCAGTGTCTCTGAGGACTAGCAAAGTCTGGAGGCAGATGAATGGTTTCTG
Organism: Homo sapiens; assembly: GCF_000001405.40. Lineage (NCBI taxonomy): Eukaryota > Metazoa > Chordata > Mammalia > Primates > Hominidae > Homo > Homo sapiens. The sequence continues at coordinate 23,686,221 of NC_000015.10, read as the reverse complement.
ACCCTCACCAGGGCTGTGGAAGGGTGGGGGTGGGTCATTATAGTATTCAGGATTTACAGTGCAGTATTCACGTGTAACTTTTAAGTTTTCAGTACAGTGCTTTTATACCTTTAATGCAATGTTGTATTCATTTGGGTACTATTGTGTAGTATTTAGGATGTATGCATGTTTGTTTATATGTAAGCTTGGTTGGTGCTTTCGCTTTTGTGCTACCTTTCTTGGATTTTTGTACCAGAGATGTGCTAAACTGATGAAATACATTGAGAAAGTTTCCATCTTATTCTTTTATATGGGACTGATGATGTGTGTTGGGGTAGACTGCTCCTGCAGAGTTTGGAAGAAGTCACCAGCAAAGCCGGCCTAACCAAGAAAAGTCAAGGCCCTTCATGACCTTGCTGGGCACAGAAAACACCCTCGTGGAGTACACTAATTTGAACTGGACTGGTCTCAGTGTGAGCACTTGGCACACTTTACTAAACACATATACAACCCCACCGTGAGTCAACTTTAAAGTAAACATTAAAGATTCTTGTGATACAATCATTTTTGGAAAAGTGTACTTTATCATTTTAACAAAGCAGTATGGTTGGGAATGAGACAATTCTCTATTTTACAGTGTATACAGATACAACTATTTCCCCTAATAGGGTGGGAAAAATCGCTACTCATGATTACTCCTAAATTTGTGAAGTTTATAGTTCTATTGTCTTTAAATGTAACTCATGTTTATTTCAAAAACATTCACAAATATAGAAAAGTATACAAAACAAAACAGTAAGATTGTCTGTAATCACATCATATGGGAATAAAAAACAAAAATAATTTCCTTCCCTTAAGTTTCTACATTTTATCAAAATTAATAGATGTCTTGTGACATCTATTAATATACATATAACATATTTATAATATAAAAGAGTGAGACATTGTGCTAAGCCCTAACATGTATTTTTCTCCTTTAATCCTTGCAACAGGCCTGTCAGGCAGGCACCTACTGCCTCTGCACCATGGAGGAAACACAGGAATAATGTAGGTAATGAACTTTCCATAGCTCATAAAGGTTAATAAGAGAAGGAGCTAGGACTTGAACTCAGAATGAATCCAGAGCCCACATTTGTCTCCACCTGCCTACGACTGCCCTATACCCCGTGGCTTTTAGGTTATTTATTTTTAAATTTATTTTTACATTTTATGTGGGAGCCTACAATCACATGGGTTCATGGGCCACACATACAAAAAGGCTAGGAATTTTATTTTTCTAATTCTCATGATATTTTGGAGAAAGCAATATCATTCTGATTGTGCAAATTAAGAAACTTACTTTTGGAGAGGTTAATTAACCTAACAAAGTGATATTCCTATTTAGCAGTGAAGCTAGGATTTGAAACAATCTCTCCTGAGGGTTGGAGGTGAAGGCACCTTCTCTGACAAACACACAAGACACCTGAGAGAGGGAGGTGGGTTGTCCATCAGGATGTCTGTGGCCTTGCAGCCCTTCAGTTGCGGTGAGCCACTAGGTAATCCTCAGAGGATGGGGTGGGCTGCGGGTGGGCATTAGGGGCAATGCCTGAAGAAAAATCTCACTGTGAATTTTTAGTCCTGCAAGGGGTAGCGGGGAGAAAGGGGGCTTTAATAAGACTAGAAGTCCTTTAAACTACAAAAGAGTGGGAAAGACCATTTGGCCAAAGCCAGAAACTTTTCTGTGGAAGATGGATAATGAAGAGGACACATGTCACATAACACCCCAAAGAAGTAAACTGGGAGTCCTATTAGGGTGAGGGAATTATAATTTGGAATTGCCAACACTTACTGGCATTACTTAACAGGTGGGGGCAGGTGCTGGAAATGCTTAGGAAGCCCCTGTTCATGCTGAGATGAAATCCATCCCGGTTTAAAAGCTTCCTGTGAAGATTTTCAAGGGGGTTCTGCAGAGAAAGGGGGACATTTCTGCAATCACCCAGGCAGGGGTGACCTGGCTTTGATGGCACCTCTTACACAAAACCAATGTGAGTGTCTCACCTGTTCAGAAGTGTTAGGATTGTTTGGAAATCTTACCTCCCCACAACCCATCGAAAAGTTTCTCCAGAATCAAAATAAACCTGCCCGTTATCATTTAAAATTGTGGGGATATCCAGGATGTTTCATTTCTGGAGTAGGACTGTGGGCTGTTGTTCCTGCCACACATGGTGCTGGTCATCTTCTCTAATGCCTTAATACTTCCCTCACTGCTGGATTGATGCCTTGCAGGAGCAGTAACCCCTGTGCGCTTCTTGCAGTCAAGCCCAGAAATCACCAGGCAAACAGTCTCCTTACATCCCCGTTTAACTCCTTATGTTGTGTCCACTTTCCTCTCTGCTGTCAGAGGCAGGGAGAACCACCCTTTCCAAAGCTGTCCCAAGCTCACTCACACAGGCACCCTAGCCAGGCCATAGAGGACCTAGCCCTTGCAGGAGAAACAGAATGTGAGAATGTGAGAATGTGAGAAAGGAGTAAGGCATGGGGCAGAGCGACTCGTCCCTAATGCTGCCTAGGAGGCAGCCAGACCTAGAGAAAGAGGCTTCCAGATGTGAAATGAGTTTACTTCATGACACCTGATCCTGCAGAGATAGCAGCTTGGGGCATGGGGAGAGAGAACCCAGCAGCTCTCTTGGGTTTTCATGCTGGGCTCTAAATAGAAAGACTGGAGGGTTTGTCAAATATTTACCAAAAGATTCACCTACAAGGTCCTGGGATAGGTCAATCAGGAAGGGGTCAGCTGGTCCTCAGTGTTGCAGTCCAACATGACAGTGTGCTGAAGCCCAGACTGCTGTGGGTGGGAGAGACTTTCCTAAATCCCCATAACATGTCAACTTTTACCTGCCAACTGGAACCTCATTTCTTCACAAACACCTGCAAACATATTTTGATTTGTTAATTTCATTTTATGAAAGGAAGGGAAAAGGGATCTTTATAAATTTAATATAAAATATAAAGACACCTGGTGTAAGTTGTCCTGAGAGGAAATAAATAACTTTAAGCAGTATCATTATTAAATAGAAATGTTTTAAGTGAACTTCTTATGCAGTTAAATATTTCCTCTGCTTGAAAACCCTTTTATGTCCTTCTCCAACCTGAGTCTTACCTGACCAACTCATGAACACTATTTCCTGGGAGAACACACTCCCTAACCTCTAAGCACAGCCATGTTCTAAATGCACCCAAAATACACCTGCTGTTTATAATTATGTGCCTTTTATTTCTCTCCTCCTGGATTGTTACATACTTAAGGGTTAGAATTGTCTTTATCCTGTTCATTATTTGCTTGACACTTGAGGTAAGGATGGGGCATAAGGGCTGCACTTGATACATATTTGTTATATAAGTTAAGTAACTCAACATATTAGAAAAGACCTACCCATCCACACAAGAAAACAAAACCATATGTGGCTGACAAAAATTAGCCAATTTAAAGGGCGCGGTGGCTCATGCCTGTAATCCCAGCACTTTGGGAGGCCGAGGCAGGCAGATCACGAGGTCAGGAGATGAGACCATCCTGGCTAACATGGTGAAACCCCGTCTCTACTGAAAATACAAAAAAATTAGCCGGACGTGGTTGCGGGTGCCTGTAGTCCCAGCTACTCGGGAGGCTGAGGCAGGAAAATAGTGTGAACCCGGGAGGCGGAGCTTGCAGTGAGCTGAGATCCCGCCACTGCACTCCAGCCTGGGGCGACAGAGCCAGACTCCATCTCAAAAAATAAATAATAATAATAATAATAAAATAGAGGTAACGTAGGACGGGCGCGATGGCTCATGTCTGTAATCTCACCACTTTGGGAGGCCGAGATGGGCGGATCACTTGAGGTCAGAAGTTCAAGGCGAGGCTGGACAACATGGTGAAACCCTGTCTCTACTAAAAACACAAAAATTAGCTGGGCGTGGTGGCACGTGCCTGTAGTACCAGCTACTCAGGAGGCTAAGGCAGGAGAATCCCTCGAACCCGGGAGGCGGAGGTTGCAGTGAGACGAGATCATGCCACTAAACTCTAGCCTGGGTGACAGAGCAAGACACCGTCTCCAAAAAAAAAAAAAAGCAAAGTGGAGGTAATGTAGATAAGTTGAAATTAGTGAAAGAAAAAAAAACAGAAGGCAGAAAAACAATGGAAGCAAAAACTTGTTTCAAGAATCACTGCTACAAACACTCTAACAAAATAACCCAATATCTAGTAGTTTTTTTAGAAAGGAAAAATAGTACAAAGAAACAACTTATTTCCTGACTTTTTAATGATCGCCATTCTAACTGGCGTGAGATGGTATCTCTTTTCTTTCTTTTTTTTTTATTTTTTATTTTTGAGACAGAGTCTCTCTCTGTCACCCAGGCTGGAGTGCGGTGGTGCGATCTCGGCTCACTGCAAGCTCCGCCTCCCGGGTTCACGCCATTCTCCTGCCTCAGCCTCCCCAGTAGCTGGGACCACAGGCGCTGCCACCGCGCCTGGCTAATTTTTTGTATTTTTAGTAGAGACGGGGTTTCACCGTGTTAGCCAGGATGGTCTCGATCTCCTGACCTAGTGATCCACCCGCCTTGGCCTCCCAAAGTGCTGGGATTACAGGCGTGAGCCACCGCGCCCGGCTGGTGTGAGATAGTATCTCATTGTGGTTTTGATTTGCATTTCTCTGATGACCAGTGATGATGAGCATGGGTGAAGCTGGAAGCCATCATTCTTTATATATATATATACATATATATATATTTTTTTTCATTATACTTTAAGTTCTAGGGTACATGTGCACAACGTGCAGGTTTGTTACATATGTATACATGTGCCATGTTGGTGTGCTGCACCCATTAACTCATCATTTACATTAGGTATATCTCCTAATGCTATCCCTCCCCCCTCCCCCCACCCCCAACAGGCCCCAGTGTGTGATGTTCCCCTTCCTGTGTCCAAGTGTTCTCATTGTTCAATTCCCACCTATGAGTGAGAACATGCGATGTTTGGTTTTTTGTCCTTGCAATAGTTTGCTGAGAATGATGGTTTCCAGCTTCATCCATGTCCCTACAAAAGACAGGACCTCATCCTTTTTTATGGCTGCATAGTATTCCATGGTGTATATGTGCCACATTTTCTTAATCCAGTCTATCATTGATGGACATTTGAGTTGGTTCCAAGTCTTTGCTATTGTGAATAGTGCTGCAATAAACATACATGTGCATGTGTCTTTACAGCAGCATGACTTATAATTCTTTGAGTATATACCCAGTAGTGGGATGGCTGGGTCAAATGGTATTTCTAGTTCTAGATCCCTGAGGAATTACCACACTGACTTCCACAATGGTTGAACTAGTTTACAGTCCCACCAACAGTGTAAAAGTGTTCTTATTTCTCCACATCCTCTCCAGCACCTGCCGTTTCCTGACTTTTTAATGATTGCCATTCTAACTGGTGTGAGATGGTATCTCATTGTTGTTTTGATTTGCATTTCTCTGATGGCCAGTGATGATGAGCATTTTTTCATGTGTCTCTTGGCTGCATAAATGTCTTCTTTTGAGAAGTGTCTGATCATATCCTTTGCCCACTTGTTGATGGGGTTGTTTGTTTTTTTCTTGTAAATTTGTTTGAGTTCTTTGTAGATTCTGGATATTAGCCCTTTGTCAGGTGAGTAGATTGCAAAAATTTTCTCCCATTCTGTAGGTTGCCTGTTCACTCTGATGGTAGTTTTTTTGCTGTGCAGAAGCTCTTTAGTTTAACTACATCCCATTTGCTAATTTTGGCTTTTGTTGCCATTGCTTTTGGTGTTTTAGACCTGAAGTCTTTGCCCATGCCTATATCCTGAATGGTATTGCCTAGGTTTTCTTCTAGAGTTTTTATGGTGTTAGGTCTAACATTTAAGTCTTTAATCCATCTTGAATTAATTTTTGTATAAGGTGTAAGGAAGGGATCCAGTTTCAGCTTTCTACATATGGCTAGCCTGTTTTCCCAGCACCACTTATTAAATAGGGAATCCTTTCCCCATTTCTTGTTTTTGTCAGGTTTGTCAAAGATCAGATGGTTGTAGATTGTGGTATTATTTCTGAGGGCTCTGTTCTGTTCCAGTGGTCTATATCTCTGTTTTGGTACAAGTACCATGCTGTTTTGGTTACTGTAGCCTTGTAGTATAGTTTGAAGTCAGGTAGCGTGATGCCTCCAGCTTTGTTCTCTTGGCTTAAGATTGACTTGGCAATGTGGGCTCTTTTTTGGTCCCATATGAACTTTAAAGTAGTTTTTTCCAGTTCTGTGAAGAAAGTCATTGGTAGCTTGATGGGGATGGCATTGAATCTGTAAATTACCTTGGGCAGTATAGCCATTTTCACGATATTGATTCTTCCTACCCATGAGCATGGAATGTTCTTCCATTTGTTTGTATCCTCTTTTATTTCATTGAGCAGTGGTTTGTAGTTCTCCTTGAAGAGGTCCTTCACATCCCTATAAGTTGGATTCCTAGATATTTTATTCTCTTTGAAGCAATTGTGAATGGGAGTTCACTCATGATTTGGCTCTCTGTTTGTCTGTTATTGGTGTATAAGAATGCTTGTGATTTCTGCACATTGATTTTGTATCCTGAGAATTTGCTGAAGTTGCTTATCAGCTTAAGGAGATTTTGGGCTGACAAAAACCACCTGATTATCTCAATAGATGCAGAAAAGGCCTTTGACAAAATTCAACAGCCCTTCATGCTAAAAACTCTCAAAAGTTAGGTATTGATGGGATGTATCTCAAAATAATAAGAGCTATTTATGACAAACCCAGAGCCAATATCATACTGAATGGGCAAAAACTGGAAGCATTCCCTTTGAAAACTGGCACAAGACAGGGATGCCCTCTCTCACCACTCTTATTCAATACAGTGTTGGAAGTTCTGGCCAGGGCAATCAGGCAGGAGACAGAAATAAAGGGTATTCAATTAGGAAAAGAGGAAGTCAAATTGTCCCTGTTTGCAGATGACATGATTGTATATCTAGAAAACCCATTGTCTTTTTTTTTTTCTTTGAGACGGAGTCTCACTCTGTCGCCCAGCCTGGAGTGAAGTGGCGCGATCTAGGCTCACTGCAAGATCTGTCTCCCGGGTTCATGCCATTCTCCTGCCTCAGCCTCCTGAGTAGCTGGGACTACAGGCGCCCGCAACCACGCCCAGCTAATTTTTTGTATTTTTAGTAGAGACGGGGTTTCACAGTGTTAGCCAGGATGGTCTCGATCTCCTGACTTCATGATCCGCCCGCCTTGGCCTCCAAAGTGCTGGGATTACAGGTATGAGCCACCGCGCCCGGCCTGGAAACCATCATTCCAAGCAAACTATCACAAAGATAGAAAACCAAACACCGCATGTTCTCACTCATAGGTGGGAGCTGAAGAATGAGAACACATGGACACAGGGCAGGGAACATCACACACCGAGGCCTGTCGAGAGGTGGGAGGCTGGTGGAGGGATAGCATTAGGAGAAATACCTAATGTAAATGATGAGTTGATGGGTGTAGCAAACCAACATGGCACATGTATACCTATGTAACAAACCTGCACGTTGTGCACATGTGCCCCTAGAACTTAAAGTATACAAAAGAAAAAAAGAAGCAACTTATTACTAGATAAATGGGCCAAGGACACAGAGAGGTCAGTGCCTTAATAGGAAACACAAACATCAAATGAGAAAATGAAAAACAAATACAATCTCACTGATTAAGTAAAGATACTTTGTGTATATGAATTGATCAAAGATACAATAAAAATGAATATCCTGTACTAGCAAGAGTGAATTGAAATTGGCATCCTTGGACCCTGCTATAGTTGTATAAATTACTACATGCTATTTTATGCATTCATTCAGAGTGCTTACTGAGTACCTAATATGCGGCAGATGCAGGGCTAGGAGTTAGGGATGCAAGAGTGAACAGAATAGACATTGTCCTGTGCTTGCCGAGCATTCACTGAATTGAAAGAAGCAGGTGAATAAAAATAATTACATTTCAGCGCAGTGAGTGCCATCCTAAGAGAAGTGTGGGGCCTAAAGAGGCACAAACAGGTGCACACGACTCAGACTGTCCTAGAGAGGTGAGGCATAAATTGGTTCTATAGGATGAGAAGCAATTAGCAACGTGAAAACGGTGTGTGGAAGGGTGAAGTTGGGAGGAGGCTCTCTTTGTGTCCCGGGATCTGCTGTGTGACCACACACACAAGCATACGGGGCTATATAATGAGTTTCTCAAAATAAATAGAGTAAAAAGGAGAAGGGAAATAAACAAATTTCAGAATTGGCTAGAGGCTAGGAAAAAAAAACATGCTGGCTGAAGATACAGTCAATTTCCTCAAGGATGTGACAAAGAAGAGGGCTCATATGAATCACATGAAAGGCTAACAGATTTAGAAGAAGCCATGCTGAAGGATAGCCTTCTTTTGAACAGACACCTTTGTTTTTTTATTGCTGCTGTTGTTGTCTGCTTTCTGATGAGGGGTCTAAAACATCCCTCCTTATCTCTTTATTTGCCCAATTATTCTTGGGTTCAGCTACTCAGGGTTTGGAGCCCTTAACTATATTACATATTTTCCCATATCTAAACGGTTTCATGTCTCTTCTATTAGCCCACCAACTTTATACTAAAAAATCTTTAAGATTCCTGTTTGCTGTATAAATTAGTTTGTTTATGTATTTATTCAATAGAGATTTCTTGAACTTCAACTATATGGCTGACTTGTGCTAGGAACTGGTACAATTTGGTGAATTAAACAAGATGGCTCTTGGCCTCAAGTAGTTTGTTTATAAACTTTTTTTTTTTTTTTTTTGAGATGGAGTCTGGCTCTGTTGCCCAGGCTGGAGTGCAGTGGCGCCATCTTGGCTCACTGCAAGCTCCACCTCCTGGGTTCATGCCATTCTCCTGCCTCAGCCTCCCCAGTAGCTGGGACTACAGGTGCCTGCCACCACGCCCGGCTAATTTTTTGTATTTTTAGTAGAGACAAGGTTTTGCCGTGTCAGCCAGGATGGTCTCAATCTCCTGACCTTGTGATCCACCCGCCTCGGCCTCCCAAAGTGCTGGGATTAAAGGAGTGAGCCACCACACCTGGCTTATTGATAAATTTTGCATTGATAGAGCACAACAAAGAGGTACAAATGAAACTTCAAATACAAATTATATGATTGGATAAGATATATGAAAAAAATGGGCCAGGCAGAGTGGCTCACATCTATAATACCAACACTTTGGGAGGCCAATATGTAAGAATTGCTTGAGGCCAGGAGTTCAAGCCCAACCTGGGCAACATAGCAAGACCCCATCTCTACAAAAAAAGTTTAATTTAAATAAATGACGTGGTTAAATTGATAGAGAATGGTTGAGAAGACAAACTAAGGCAGGAAGCCCAAGAAATAATTTTCTGAAAAGGTGAAATTTAAGCTGATAATTAATTGAAGGATAACAAGAGAGTTAGCAAAGATCAAAGGGAAGATCAAGATAAATCCAGGCATGTATGTATGTATATATAAATTACGCATGTATACATATATGTGTGTAATATATATACATATATATGCACATCATCCCATCTGGGCCTTCATATATATGTATATGTGTATAATATATACATATATATGCGCATAGATGTGTATAATATATACATATATATGCGCATAGATGTGTATAATATATACATATATATGCGCATAGATGTGTATAATATATACATATATGTGCGCATAGATGTGTATAATATATACATATATGTGCGCATAGATGTGTATAATATATACATATATGTGCGCATAGATGTGTATAATATATACATATATGTGCGCATAGATGTGTATAATATATACATATATGTGCGCATAGATGTGTATAATATATACATATATGTGCGCATAGATGTGTATAATATATACATATATGTGCGCATAGATGTGTATAGTATATACATATATGTGCGCATAGATGTGTATAGTATATACATATATGTGCACATATATATGCACATATATGTGTATAATAAGTACACATATATATGCACATATGTGTGTATAATATATACATATATATGCACATATGTGTGCATATATATACATATGTGCACATATGTGTGTAATATATACATATATGCACATATATGTGTGTAATATATACATATATGCACATATGTGTATTTTATATGCACGTATGTGTATTATATATACATATATGCACATATGTGTGTATAATATATACATATATGCACATATGTGTGTATAATATATACATATATGCACATATGTGTGTATAATATATACACATATATGCACATATGTGTGTATAATATATACATATATATGCACATATGTGTGTATAATATATATACATATATATGCACATATATGTGTATAATATATATACATATATATGAAGGGCCAGAGTGAATCACCTAGATTTTTCTGGTGGCCTTTACCATGAGAAATAGCATTATAAATGGGCTGAGCAGCATGTGACACCCAGTTGTCTTTTCTTGTCTGTCTCCACAGTTGAGGCTGCACAAGTTAAATATTTAACTTCTTGGTTTTTCAGCTGTGTTCCAGTCAAGAGATGTACAGAGAGGTTTATCTGTGCTTTTCCTTCCTACATCCTTTTTCTCTTTCAGGGAATGTATAAGGAAAGTCAGGAGCTATTGTTGCTCGTATGATGGCAGTATAAAAACAGCTAAAGAAATCATAGAGAGGTTGAGCCTGACATCTACAAACTGCTGGACAAATACCAATAGCCACCTACTTGTATCTATAGTTTTTGGCATGTAGAATAAAATCTCATTCTTTAAGCTATTGTCTTGTGGGTTTTTTGCTTGCTTTGTGCAGCTCAAAGCATCCCTAACTGGTAAAGTCTCCAAAAAATTCTTTTCTCGTCTCCCATTCTGTGTCTGGTACTCACATGAGGGTATTACTGACCATAGGTGGACCCCGATTAGGTTATGACAAGCAGAGTAATTCTATCTCCTTGCTGCAGTTCTTAGATCAGATATGAGAACTTAATCAGTTCTGGGCAATCAGGTCATGTAGATTAGAACTTCCATTCATTTCATGGCAATGTTCATGAGAATAGAATTAGGGCTTCTGGCTCTGAAGTTTGTACCACTTTGGCATTTAGAGTTATCTCAGAAAAATGTATAATTTTTTTAAAAATTCAGCTTGTTATTTATAAGCCAGTTTTGTTATTTGCTCAAGAAATCATACTAATAATGGTGGTGCTTTCTGGGGTTGCGAAGGGGAAAGAAAGGCTCAGAACCAGGAGAGAGAGGAAGGTATCAGGGCAGCCCTGTAGGCAATGGTAAGCAGGCAGATTGTATTTAAAGAGTAAATGGAAACCACTAACGACTTGCAGACTCATCTAATTGACATTAGGCTTTTAAAATATTGCCCTCCTTAGTATACTCAGAATGAATTGAGAAGGGAAAGCATCAAAGTTGAGAGTCTGCTAAGAGATGAAGATGATGTAGACATGATGAAGGAGGGTATATTTGTGGCTCAATTGAGGAATGGAGGATGGATAGGTAAGGGACATGGAAGATTAGATCTGGATTCTCAGGTTTCAGGCTTGAGCACTCGGTGAATAGTGTGATTTTTTTTTTTTTTTTGAGACAGAGTCTCGGTCTGTTGTCCAGGCTGGAGTGTAGTGGCACAATCATAGCTCATTGCAGCCTTGACCTCCTAGGCTCAAGTGATCATCCCATCTCAGCCTCCCAAGTAGTTGAGACTATAGAAGCACACCATCACACCTGGCTAATTTTTGTATTTTTTGTAAAGGCGGAGTCTCACCATGTTGCCCAGGCTGGTCTCGAACTCCTGGGCTCAAGCGATCCTCAGCCTCCCAAAGTGCTGGGATTATAGATGGTGAGCCACCGCACCTGGCCATAAGTGTGATTTGATGAAATGGAGAAGGGAGGTGAAAAACAGGTTTTGGATGAAAACAGTAAAGAGTTCATACAAACACTCAGTGACATGTCCTAAAAGAAATATGAGGTTCACAATTATTAAAGATGCCTAGCTCAAGATAGAGAATCATAGCCCTGCACTGGAGCAACCCATTTATCCAGAGTGAAAGCACAGAGTAACTAGAAGCGGATATTCTGGGAAACTAAGACATTACCACGTGTAGTATTGAAGGAAAAGCTGCTACGGAGACTAAAAACAGTACCTGGTTAAGAGATAGAAAGTAAGCCAGGAGAGTGATAGAGATGAGAATCAAAATAGCAGCATTTCAAGCCAAAGGAAGTGGCCAATAGTGTCAAACACTGTTGAGTTATTAGAAGTATTTGAGGGGTTTATTTGCATTTAGTAGGATCTTTGCTGATAAGAGAAGGGAATAAAGGAGATTAAGTTCAAAGGCATGACGCGTGTTCACCCTTCACTCAGGTGAGAGATAATGGTAACTTTAACTAGGGAATGAATAATGAAGATGGAGATTAATTGAAAAATTGAGAAATAATTGGGGGTTACATTGCCAAAAATGGATGATTGATGAAATGCTAGAAATAAAAACAGGGAGGAATCAGGTTTATGGCCAGGTTTCTGACATGCACAATTTTGTGTGTCGTATCAGTTACTGAGTTTGTGAGAAAAGAGAAAGCAGATTTACGTGGGAGGAGGATGAGTTCAGTTTTATATATTTTGAGTTTAACGTAAATGCCAGGCATCTAAACAGAGATGTCCATTTGATTAGGGATAAATGCATAAGAAAAGATGCAGATTAAAATGTCATGAACCTATGGATGGGAAGGGATGGATTTGCAAAGGTATTCTCTGCTTCACCTGAGCAGTTTAGGCAGGACAGACACTCTTCTGCTTAATCTCAGACACTTACACCAGCTATCCACACTTGATCTTAGCCAAAAGGCCGAGAAGCAATACACCAGCTATCCTCAGGTACTTACATTACTTTTTGTTCCTAAAGGCATATGAGTTTGGGAATCTCGGAGAGTGAGAGGGAAGAGGTGCAGGATGGAGCATTGAGGAGAACAAATATTACATGGAAAAGCAGAAAGATAACTCTCAAATAATATCAAGAAACAGTGGGAAGAGATTAGGAATAAGTGAGATTTAGAGAATGTAGTTTTAGAAATGCCAAAGGAGGGATTGGTCAGTTGTTAAATTTAGTTGAGGCATGAAGCAATAAAATAACTAAGAAGTGTTTACTGAAATTACTCATAAAGAGATTATTTTCATTTTATGAAGAACAATTTCAATGGGATAGTTGTCAACAGAAACCAAACTTCAGCGAATTAAGTATGGAGCAGGATGTGAATATAAATGATGTATATATTCAATGGTTGATGGAGAGATACCAGTATTGAAGACATGGCGAGATCTATATTATAAAATGGAGTTACTATACAGGATTGGGAATGCATCGTCCATAGGAATGAGACAGAAGTATGAAATGACTGATTGATGTATACCTGTTGTATCTGTGGCAGAAAGTTGATGGTGCTTCTATTTTCCCAGAGGAGTGTCAGGGAAAGTCAAAATTTAAGACAGAGAAGGAAAGTGATGAGAGAGAAAGACAGTCCCAGATGTGTCCCATAGAATGGAGAAGGCAGGGGATCTTCCCAGGAGAATCTCTCATGGGAGACTCCAGCAGATATTAGAAAATTTAATTTACCGATATGTACAAGGTACCACCACTGCATTTCTTATTTGTTCCACAAATGCAAGACTGTCTCAGTATATTCATCATATCTGTAATCTTAAGAAAAACCACATGATCATGTCAATGCATGCAGGAAAGGCATCTGACAAAATTCAACTCCCATTCATAACAAAAGCTCTCAGCAATCTAGGCACAGAAAAGAGCATTACCAACCTGGTAAAGCACATTATAAAAGAAACAACAACTACTACTATAGTTAACATTGCTTAGTGTGTTTAATGACCAAAAACTGGATGCTTCCCTCTAAGATTGGAGGGAAGGGTAGAGTATGCTGTCCACTCTTATCACTCCTTTTCCACTTGGTGATGAAAGTCCTAGCCAGTTCAATAAGACAGGAAAAGGAAGTAAAATGCTTACAGGCTGAAAATGAAGAAATAAAGCTACTTCTATTTGCAGATGGCATAATTGTCTATGTAGAGAATCTCAAATAATGTCCAAAAAACCATACCTGAATTAAGAAGAGACTTTAGCAATGTCACAAGATACGGGGTCAACACACAAAACCAATTACATTTCTATATACCAGCAATAACTCTTGGAAACAGAAATTTAAACATTTAAAACTCAGTACCATTTATAATAACTCAAAAATACTTATGAATACATACATCAAAACATATAGGATCTCTATTTTGAAAAGCTTATAAAGCACTGATTAGAAAATCAAAAAATACCTAAATAAATGGAGAGAAATATCATGTTCATAGATCAGAAGACTCAACATGGTAAACAGATCAAACAGACATGTAGGATTCATGCAATTTTTATCAAAATCCCAGCAGTTTATCTGGAATTGTCTTGATTTTGGCACCAGAAGTCCCACTTTCTAGGAATCCCCTCTGTGGGATGTGAAAAACCCCAAATTTTTGGCCATGAGTAAAGAAGATTGGAGAAAAAACTAGAAAACCCATATGGCATCACCCAAACAAGGGCTGTATGCATTTTACTGCCAAATGGAGACAGCACATATTATCTGTTTCTTGTAATTGCTGTCACTGTTTTTTTCCTGACCACTAATGCGTATAACCACGATTTGCAGTTCACAGTGATCAGTGAATTACTGTGAGCTGCAAATCGTGAATCATTCTAACTCTTGTGACTTAAATATGTAAATGAAGCATGTTGTAATCATGAGTGTTTGTCTGTATTTGACTTTAGCTGTGGATTAACTGTTCTACTTTGAATCAATTTTGTGCTAGTTCAGTTTTTAACTTTACAAACCTTGAGACCATATTTTCTAATAATTCAGATAGTAAAAACACAAACAATTACAATACCAATGCAGCAAGGCCCAGAAGGCTAAATGATTGTGTTATTTTAATGGTACATGAAGGACACAGACAACTGTATTACAAAGGTAAGTAAACAAAACAGAGCATATTGCACAATAGGCAGAAAAATAATGTGGGGCTGGGTATGGTAGAGGAGGTTACATGATCTGTGTGACTTTGCTAGGGCTGCCGTAACAAAGTACCATAGATTGGGTGGCTTAAGCAACAAAAATCTATCTCCTCACAGTTATGGAGGTTGGAAGTCCCAGATCAAGGTGTCAGTGGGTTGGTTCCTTCTGGGGGCAGTGAGAACATGATCTGTTCCTGGTCTCTTTGCTTGGCTTGTAGATGGTGCAGATGACTGTCTTCTTTTTGTGTCTT
The DNA here is from genome assembly GCF_000001405.40 of Homo sapiens. Classification (NCBI taxonomy): domain Eukaryota; kingdom Metazoa; phylum Chordata; class Mammalia; order Primates; family Hominidae; genus Homo; species Homo sapiens. The sequence continues at coordinate 23,670,906 of NC_000015.10, read as the reverse complement.
TTCATTATCATCCCTCTGTGTGAAGACTAAATTTTACCATTTAAGGATGATATAAGCACGTAATTCTAAAAGGAACAAAAGTTTCTTTTCTCTTTTTCTTTTCTTTTCTTTTATTTCTGTTATTTTTTGGATTTTTGGTCTCCTAAACAAACACTGATGTTCAGTTGAAAATGGCAGCCACTGAATTACCTTTGGTATACCAAACAAACCAGCACACATCATTATATCATTTTATTGATTTCTATTTGAAAATGAGTAAAGTTACATTACCTTTAAAATTATTCGAACATTCAGTGACATATCCTACAAGAGATATGAGGTTCACAGTTAATAAAGATGCCTAGCTCAAGACAGAGAATCATAGCCCTGCACTGGAGCAACCCATTTATCCAGAAAGTGCAGAGTAACTAGAAGTGGATATTCTGGAAAACTAAAACATTGTATTAGTTTTGGTATACAATACAAACCAGCACACATCATTATATCATTTTATTGATTTATGTTAACCTACAAGTTGCATTGAAAATGTCTTTCAACAAACAAAATGGGAAATTTTGATAATAGATACATTGGTTCTTTACAGTGTAGAGCTGACTCTGACAAGTCTTACTGTCAATCATGCTGCCTACAATACAGCAAGTGATGCGTCAAATAATGATAACCAAAAAAAAAATGCACTCCACATTTTAGACATGTTTATTTGAAAAATGGAGCTTTAAATTATCTTTTGGTTTCTATGAAACTTTTCATTAAACCACAGAAAACATGAAACAAAAGATTATTAACATCTTTTCCAAATCTGAACTAGAATTTGCTCATCTATATGCATATCTGGCAGACAGCACAAATGTAAATTTGCCAGACTCCATTCAGTCTATGAACTTCTTATCAAAGAAAAGATATTACCTACTAAATGCCTCACACACATTTAATATAGAACTGCTAAAAAGGGGCCTGGTGTGCTTACTTGTGATTTTAAGGCTTTCATAATTAAAATTTTTCACCACTTTTCAGTTTTCTTAAAACATACAGAAACAAGAATCATAACTTCGGCTTTATGGAAATGGAAGGAGATAGCATCCTTACACCTATGCCCACAAGACAGCTTGCATTGCGGCCAGCCGTAGAAAAGATACCAAAATGTTAGCCTGCCATAAAATCATGTTTTCAGAGTATGAAAGAAGAAGAATGTTCTCTAATCTGAAAGCAAATTAAGGATGAGAATAAAGAGAAGGGGAGAAAAATGCAACAGAAGTGAATATGCTTTTTTCCCAAAACTGTTGGTGATCTTTGAAGAGGTCATATGGAGCCTAGAAAATGATAAGCTGGCTGCATTTGAGTTACGTGATGTTGTGTTCTGGTTGCAACAAAAACTAATACAGCAAAAACAGGATGAACAAAAACCCTCATGTTTTAGGGAAATGATACTATTTCAGAACACGAGAAAAGGTCATCAGAAAAGATCAGCTAAGTTAAATAGAACTTTCTCTGAGATGGAGTCTGGCTCTGTCACCCAGGCTGGAGTGCAGTGGTGCGATCTCAGCTCACTGCAACCTCTGCCTCCCGGGTTCAAGCCATCCTCCTGCCTCAGCCTCCTGAGTAGCTAGGACTGCAGGCGTGCACCATCATGCCTGGCTAATTTTTGTATTTTTAGTAGAGATGGGGTTTCACCATGTGGGTCAGGCTGGTCTTGAACACCTGACCTCAAGCAATCTGCCTACGTCAGCCTCCCAAAGTGCTAGGATTACAGGCGTGAACCACCACACCAGGCCTGTTTTAAACAGAATTTTCTCAATTTCTTTTTAGAAATTGTAAATTATTTAGAATACAAATTTGATTTCACAACTTCAAATTACCTCTGTGCTTTGAAGCCATTTTCATGACAAAGAGGGTTAACTTATGATAGCATCCAATACACTTATGAATGTTCATAAATCATGGACTTTTTTACATGTCAGCAGCCTATATGATGGATCTCTAGATGCAAATGATCTCATTAACAAACAGATAGTCTACGAAAATAACCCTTTAAATACAAAGTGAGTGGTGTTTTTTTGAAAGCTGGACATGAATTTGGTCAAATTCAAAACTCTGCTGCTGCTGGTAAGTAAAATCCTAAATATCTTATGTCCAAACACTCTTTTTGTAAACATATTTAGCTATGTTTTTACATCAGACTTACCACTGGAATCAATGTAATGTGGACTTGATGAGAACAGAGCAGCAAGTCAAAGTGAATTATATGTTTGACTGTACTCAATTTTATCACCACATAAAATAAAAGAAAGATATCATGAAGGCTGTAGGCAGTATAGAGAAATATTACTAAAAAGGAAACAGAAGAAGAAAAAATATATATATCCCACTGTATCACTGGACAGAAATAAAAATGTCATTCTTACTTTTAAATTGAATATTAGAATATCCTATAGTCATTTTTAATTTACATTCTCCTCCTAAAAGTCATATGATTACATATTTTAAGAATAACTGAATATAGCCTACAATATATAAGTATGCAATTGGGAATTAAAATAAATTGCTGTAACAAGAAATATAAAACATTGTTATATTTTTCATATATATTACTTGTTTATTAATCCTATCATTAATTACTACTAATTAGCACTGTTAATTAGTCTTTGTTTTGTGTAAAAAATGTCAGGAGGCTGAGGCAAGAGGATCACTGGAGGCCAGGGGTTCAAGCCCAGCCTAGGCAACATAGTGAGACCCCATCTCTACAAAAAATTTTAAAATTAACTAAGTGTGGTGGCACATCTTTGTAGTCCCAGCTACTCCAGAGGCTGAGGTGGGCAGATCATGTGAGCCTGGGAGGTTGAGGATGCAGTGACCCATGATCGAGCTGCTGTACTCCAGCCTGGTGACAGAGTGAGAACCTGTCTCTAAAATAAATAAATAAATAAATAAATAAATGCAGTTCGTGTAACATAAAAATAAGTGATATAGAATAATAGATATTTTCAAAGAAACCTCTATTTTATATGTTATATTAAAGTAATAATGTGTATAATTATTATATGTTACATTATTATGATTTATTCTGTCTGGGTTAACTCTAAAAAGTTGGCCACCTTAGATATAGACAAGCTGATTCTAAAATTAATATTGAAAAGCAAAGGAACTAGAACAGCTAAAGAAAAAATAACTTGTAAAAAGTGAATTAAGTTAAAAAAGTGTGCTCTACCAATTTTAAGGCTTAAGGCACAATTCAGCAATCAAGACAGTGGTATTTAGCAGAGGGATAGACACATAGATCACTGGAGCAGAATAGATAACTCAGAATTAGAACCACACAAGTACAGCCAACTGATTTTTGACAAAGGTGCAAAAGTAATTCAATGGAAGGATAGCCTTTTCAACAAATGATGTTGGAGCAATTAGACATCAGCATGCACCAACAAACCCCCAAACCTTCAACATAAACCCCACACTTCATACAAAAATAAATTCAAAATGGATTACAGCTCTAAATGGAAAATGTGAATCTATAAAACTTTTAAAAGAAAACACAGGGGGGAAATTGTCATAAAATGGTGTTAGATGCAGAGATCTTAGGACACCAAAAGCATAATCCACCAAAGAAAGAACGGATCAATTTGACCTCAACAAGATTAAAAGCTATTATTCTCTCAAAGACACTGGGGTTTTTTTTGTTGTTGTTTTTTTTTTGGTTTGTTTCTTTTTCTTTTTGAGACGGCGTCTCGCTCTGTTGCCCAGGCTGGAGTGCTGTGGCACAATCTCGGCTCACTGCAAGCTCCGCCTCCCAGGTTCACACCATTCTCCTGCCTCAGCCTCCCAAGTAGCTGGGACTACAGGCGCCCGCCACCACGCCCCTCTAATTTTTTGCATCTTTAGTAGAGACGGGTTTTCACCGTGTTAGCCAGGATAGTCTCCATCTCCTGACCTCGTGATCTGCCCGCCTCAGCCTCCCAAAGTGCTGGGATTACAGGCATGAGCCACCACGCCCTGCCGAAGTCACTGTTAAGAGAATAAAAAGACACAGACTTGGGGAATGTATTTGCAAACCACAAGTCCACAGAAGGATTTATATCCAGAATATATAAACAACTCTCTAAACTCAACATTAAGAAAACAAACAATCCTATTAGAAAATAGTCAAAGATTGAACCAGTAGATGGAAGGCAAACACATAAACAACAAAAAAAAGATGGTCAACACCATTAGCCATTAGGAAAATGCAAACTAATGTCACAATAATGTATCACTATACACAGAAATGTAAAATATAATAAAATATGCTGTAAATTATGACAAAAGAAAATATACTGTCGGCTGGGCACGGTGGCTCACCCCTGTAATCCCAGGACTTTGGGAGGCCGAGGCGGGCGGATCGCGAGGTCAGGAGATTGAGATCATCCTGGCTAACACGGTGAAACCCCGTCTCTACTAAAAATACAAAAATTTAGCTGGGCGTGGTGGCGGGCGCCTGTAGTCCCAGCTACTCGGGAGGCTGAGGCAGGAGAATGGCGTGAACCCGGGAGGCGGAGCTTGCAGTGAGCCGAGATGGTGCCACTGCACTCCAGCCTGGGTGACAGAAGCGAGACTCCGTCTCAAAAAAAAAAAAAAATGAATAAATAAAAATAAAAAAGAAAGGAAATATACTGTCCATATCCAAGAGAGGATATGAAGTAAGTGGAACTCTCACATAGTGCCAGGGGAATGTACAAGCATACATACACCATTCTGCAAAATGGTTTAGCAGTTTCTTACAAAGTTATCACATCCTTAAGCGTAACCCAATTATTCTATTCTTGGTTATTTACTGTACAGAAATAAAGGCATATGTTCATACCAAAACTACGTTGCAATGACCTACAATTAGAAACAAGCCATATATTTTCCAACATGCAAATGGATAAACTGTGGTACATATATTCAATACAATATTACTCAGCAACAGAAAGGAACTAAATATTGTTACACATAGCAACTTGAATAAATCTGAAAGACCTTATATGTATTCAGAGCAAAAGAAATATCAAAGGGTTGCATACTCTACAATACCAATTTAATAACATTCTAGAAAAGACAAAATTATAGCATTGAATGTAACAGATAAGTGGTTTCCAAGATTAGTGGGCAGCTGTGACTGAAAAGGGGTAACAGAGAATTTCTTTGTGAGGATGGAACAGCTCTGTATCCTATGTTGATGGTTACACAAATCTATCCATGTAATATTTCATAGAACTATAAGCTCCCTCAGAAATGAGTGCATTTCAAAACTGGCAAAATCGGAACAAGGTCAGTAGTTTACTTAGTAGTATTATACCAATGTTAATTTCATAGTTTTGATTATTTTTACTATGCTTATGTAAGTTAGCATCACTGGAAGAAGCTAGACAAAACGGACATAGGAACTCTCCATACTATTTTTTCAACTTCCATGTAAGTCTAAAATTATTGCAAAATGAAAATTTAAAATAAACGAGTGCTAATAGTAGTGCCAGAGATAGAACTATATATTTTTTTTTCTTTTTTTTTTTTTTTGAGACGGAGTCTCGCTCTGTCGCCCAGGCTGGAGTAAAGTGGCGCGATCTCAGCTCACTACAAGCTCCACCTCCCAGGTTCACGCCATTCTCCTGCCTCAGCCTACTGATTAGCTGGGACTACAGGAGCCCGCCACCACGCCCGGCTAATTTTTGCATTTTTAGTGGAGACGGGGTTTCACCGTGTTAGCCAGGATGGTCTGCATCTCCTGACCTCGTGATCCGCCCGCCTCAGCCTCCCAAAGTGCTGGGATTACAGGTGTGAGCCACCACGCCCGGCTGAGATGGAGTCTTGCTCTGTCACCCAGGCTGGAGTGCAGTGGCGCGATCCCAGCTCACTGCAACCTCCGCCTCCCGGGTTCAAGGGATTCTCCTGCTTCAGCCTCCCGAGTAGCTGGGACTACAGGCGCACGCCACCATGTCCAGTTTATTTTTGTATTTTTAGTAGAGAGGGGGTTTCACCATGTTAGCCAGCATGGTCACAACCTCCTGACCTGATTCGCCCGCCTCGGCCTCCCAAAGTGCTGGGATTACAGGCATGAGCCATCGTGCCCGGCCAGAACTACATTTTTTAAATAATTATTTTTAAGGGAAAAGTATGGCATTCATCCTCTTGAATACATGATGTGCCAGATAATGTGAGAAAACTAAAATCCAACATTTTACAATAAGCAGATTATAAATGCTATGTCATAAAAAGAGAAAGGATGCACTTTTATAAGTCTGTAAAATCATAACTGTCTTCATGATATGATAGCATAGTAATTATCATATGAACCACAATGGCTCATGCTTACAAAACACTTAATATGTGATCCTTTCAACAAGCAAGAGTACGTGTTATTATTACCAGCATTTTATAGAGGAGGAAACTGAAAAACATAGATGTTAACTCATATTCTCTTGATCACTAGCTTGTTAATGACCTCACTGGGATTTTTCATCCAAGGTGGTCTGGCCCTAGAAACTGTACAGAATTTAGAAAATTATGTAAAATAAAATTCTGAAAGGTGTAAAGAGAACCCACTTGCAGGAGGAGAAAATAGCCACTCTCAGCATGTTGGTGTGTTTTCTTTTTGTGTGTGTGCTTTCATGCATTTATTGATTAATAAATAAAATAGTGACTGAAAATGTATGTGTGCCAATATTTGTTCTAGAAACATGCGCTACAGCACTGAATGAAGGATTCGAAGTCCCTGCCAGCATGGACCATAGAGTCTAGTGGGAGAAGATAGGTAATGCAAATTTTAAAAGTACAAGAAAACTTCAAGCCACAAGTCTTAGAGTAGAATAAGGGACTAACATTAACAGGGTTGTCAGGGAAGGCCTCTCTGAGGAGATGACCCTTGGGCAGAGCCCTGAAAGACACGAGGGAGTGAGCCACACGAATTTCTTCGTGAAGGAGTAAAGCATTTGGAACAGAGGACATTGCCTCTGCAATTGTCCAGGTGCTGGGACTGGATCCAAGGTCTGCAAGGAGACCCATGTGGATGGAATTGGGTGAGGGAGATGGAATGTAGCAGAGAGCTGCCCAGGGTCACGTCCTTCTCCCCAGCCGATATGGCTCATTCAGAAACTCTCTTTACACACCCATCAGCTTCCATTCCATGTTTATTTTATTACTTGTTTGTTTACTGAGGAATTCAATATTCCCTTATCCAGGCAGAACCGAATGTGCAGGTGATACTGCTCTGTCCACTCCCCTTCACCTTTCACCAGGCAAATTTCCTTGGGTGTACTTGGAAGATGCATTCTCATGGGCACCCCCGCTGGAACCTCATCCCAGCCCAGCCTTGAGGGAGCTCAGTAGAGCTGTTGTCAATGCTCATTCTCCATTCTTAGTAGACCCAGCAGAACAAGAGGAACCTCAACCCCAAAACCCTCCACATTGGTTCAAGAAGAAATTGAGGTCTCTCCAGGCTGTTAGTGAAGGGTGTGGCTGAACTCTGCCACCTTGTGACTGATTCCATTTCTCCCTTCCCATCAGATGCGTGGTTCTCCAGAAACTCTTGGGATGGGAATTTAGTTTTCAGGAGATGCTCATGACAGAACCAAAGAATGTGGGGATGAGAAGCCACAAAGAACTTTTCAACATATAGCTAAGCCCAAGGATGTCCTTAACAATGCAATGGAGGGCAGATAGTGAGAAGCAGGCCTGAGAATACTGTATATTTCAAGACTGTCTGAGAAGTAGGGTGGCAAAAAATAAATAAATAAATAAACAAGATTGGGTGTGGAAAGGAAGAGCTAAGGGGTTAAATCACACTTAAGAACTAAGGGGTTAAGTGGTATGCTCTATGCACCCTTCCTCCATGTAGCTCCTCTCAATTGCCTGTGACTTGCATATAACAAATCCCAAGCTCCAATGAGTCCAATATCTCCTTCCTTCATCTGTCCACTGGGGATCAAAACTTCTGCACATTTGTGTACTCCTAACTCATTGGGAAATGCATCTGCCAGACCCTAGTCAAATCTGCATCCTCTTCCCAACAGCACACTACAATCTACCCTCACTGTCCTCAAGCTCACCCTGTCCTATTTCATGAGGAAATCTAGACAACGTGAGAAGTCGCTTCAATGTTTTGTCCTTTTACTGTTCATAGGTGGTTCCTAGACGCAGTCTCTCTGCATTTGTGCATTTTATTAAGTAAAAATACAACTCTTCCACCACCACATCACATCTCCTTGTAGACAGCAACTTTCTCTCAGCTCATCCAAATATCCTTCCAATTGCTCCCTCTCTCCTTTGTAGACTCATGCCCTGAATATACTTAGTGATTTTCTGTACTGGCAGTAACAACAGTGCTCTTTGTCACACATTTCCTATTCTGTGCTGCCCTAAGCGTTTCACAACTTGGGGCACAGATATGTAGTTCCCAGACTGATAGTAGAGTGTAGCAGAGTTAATCAAAGTGTTTTTTACACTGAAATGAAGTGTAAATGAAGTTTTTTACACTGAAATGAAGTTTTTTACACTGGCACCTTTATTCTTTGACCCTGTCATATTTTGAAGTAGAATGTCCACTTTGGGTAAACTTTTAATATAAATCATCAGATGTCAAGGAAATTTCAGGGGTAAGCAGGGTCATTACAGTGGTATCTCCAGTTCTATTTCACAGTGATGAATCCTCTATGCCTTTTGGGGATTCTTTGGATAAAAGGTTTGGAAAGGACTTCTGGGTTGGAAGCTAAAAGTTCCACACTAATCATAAGATAAATATGGATAAAGCATAAAATTATCAGACAGCAAAGAGCCTTGTTGCTACTTTAATCCCTTCTGGATGTGATGCAGAAATAGGAATCTACTCACCATGGATGGCTCCATTGAGGAAATGGCCGAACTATTAACTAATTTATATTGACTGCGTGTTATTTAGCATGACAGATTAGAATTACAAGGAGTCTGAAGGAAGTTGAAATCCACCTGCCAAATCACTCCTTCAGGGCTTTCACTAACTGCATAAGAGGAGCACACCAATGGCTGAAAGCAGGGCTGGGGAGGTGAAGAGTCATGGACTCTTTACTCAACGCAAGGTAGTGGCTAGGGGAAGGCTGCCATGATACAGGACGCTGAGAAAGACCTTGTAGGGTGCACAGATGCTACCTAAGTGCAAGGTGGCAGCCCGTAGGGATTTTGTGCAGAAAAAGAGAACTGAAGCAATCCTCCCAGGGTGCACAAAAGCTTCCTTGAGTGCACATCAATGGGCCGACAAAGACTAGAGGCAGAGAATTAGGAAGAAGAATAATCTCCTAAGGCTACAGGACAAGCCAGGAAAAGAGCTGGAGAGTAAAGAAAACTCTCCATTGAACAATAACAACAACAACAACAAAACTAGCAAGTGGGTTTAAAGAAAAAAAATACAAGCAGGAGAAAGGAGAGGACAGCAAAACACAGAGACAGAGAGATTCCCTATATTCATAAAACATAAAACAAGCCGCTGGGGCTAATGCATACAGAGATATCTGAAGTCTCTCTGGTCTTAAATTTGAAGCTCCGCTTAAAGGAATGTCTTCCTCTCACCCTCAAACTATGTGAAATTCTCAGTGTGGAGCTGAATCTAAGTATACTTGCAAAAAAATATCTTATCTAACTCAACCGCGTATTAGATTGTTTCAGTCCCACGTATTATTGGTCTGATAGAAGAAAGCTTGCACTTTTTCTGGGAGTAAATATCACTTTCTTCAGTCTCTATTTGTTCATACACATTATCTCCTGATAAAAAATATTAAGAAATATAGGAAGAGGCAGAAAAATGTGAAGCATGAACAAGCAAGAAAACAACCAGTAGAAGAAGTCTTAGAGGTAATCTCAATGTGTGAATTGGCAAGGAAAAACTTTAAAAGAACTATGATAAATATGTTTAAGTATCTGGTGCAAAAGGTAGACAAGATACATGAGCAAATGAGGATTACGGCAAAAAGATAACTACAAAAAGGACAAACAGAAATGTTATTAAAGAAAAATACAACATCAAAATGACTAATTCATTCAATAGGCTTCATAGCAGACTGGATACAGCAGCAAGAGAGACAATCAGGGAACATGAAGGCAGAATGAAAAGCATCCAAATTGAAACACAAAGGAAGAGAGAGAGAAAGAGTGAAAGCACTGAAGAGCCATGAGGCAATTTAAAAATATAGTCATAACACATTTGTAATCGGAGGTACAGGACAATAGGAGAGAAAATAAGCGAGAAGAATTCTTTGCAGTGATAATGGCCATGGATTTTGTAAAAATGGTGAAATGTATTATCCTACCTACCCAATACGCTCAGTGAATCCCAGTCAGGATAAATACATAGAAACTCGCGCTTTTGCTTATTTTTGTCCAACTGCTGAAAATCAAAGATAAAATCTTAAAAGTAGCTGAATGGGAGAGAACATTACAATACAGTGAAACAAAGAATAATGATGTCTTATTGCAAGGAGACAATGACAAAACATCTTTGTTCATTTTCAAATTTATTTTACTTTTGAAATTGACAGATAAAATTGTATATGTTTATCCTACACAGCATACTGTTTTGTTTTGCAGTATATGTCTACATACGTAGATAACACTGTGGAATAGTTAAATCTAGCTAATAAAGAAATGCATTATCTCACATAGTTATCATTTTTGTGATGAGAACAGTTAATATCCACTCCGTTAACCATTTTTCAAGAAAACAATATATCACCATTAACTGTAGTCACCATTTTGTACAATAGATCTCTTGAACTTATTCCTCATATCTAACTGTAAATATGTATCCTTTGACCAACATATCCCTAACCCTCCCTTTCTTCTAGCCACTCTAGCCTCTGATAATCACCATTCTACTCTCTACTTCTATGTGATCTTTTTAAAATTCCACATGAGTGAAATCATACAGTATTTGTCTTTCTGTGTCTGCCTAATCCCATTTAACGCAATCTCCTCCAGATTCATCCATGTTGCTGCAAATCACAGGACTTCCTTCCTTTTATGGCTGAATAGTATTCAGCTGTGTATATAAACACATTTTATTTATCCATTTATCCATTGATGGACACTTAGGTTGATTCCATATCTTGGCTATTGTGAATAACACTGCAGTAAACATGGGAGTGCAGCTGTCTCCTTGACATCTTGATTATATTTTTAAACATACGCTTAGTAGTGGATTTACTAGATGATATGACAGTTCAATTTTTTAATTTTTGGAGAAACCTTCATACTATTTTCATTATGGCTATAATAATTTACATTCTCACCAAAAAAATGTAATGGTTTTCTTTTCTACACATCCCTGCCAACATTTGTTGGTTTTTTGTTTGTTTGTTTCTGCCGGGGTGCATAGTCTTTTTGATAATAGCCATTCTAACTGGAGTGAGATATTATTTCATTGTAATTTTGATTTGCATTTCCCTGATGGTTAATGATGTCAAGCACTTTTTCATATGCTTGTTGACCATTTGTATATCTTCTTTTGAGAAATATCTATGTATGTATGTTGCCCGTTTTTAAACCTGATTATTGGGATTTTTGCTATTCAATTGTTTGAGGTTTTTTTTTTTTTTTTTTTTTTTTTTTTTAGATGGAGTCTTGCTCTGTCACCCAGGCTGGAGTGCAGTGGTGCAATCTCAACTTACTGCAACCTCCGCCTCCCGGGTTCAAGCAATTCTGCTGCCTCAGCCTCACAAGTAGCTGGGATTATAGGTGTGTGCCACCATACCCGGATGATTTTTGTATTTTTTAGTAGAGATGGGGTTTCACCATGTTGGCCAGGCTGTTCTCGAACTCCTGGCCTCAAGTGATCTGCCCACCTTGGCCTCCCAAAGTGCTGGGATTACAAGCATGAGCCACCACACCAGCCTCTTTGAGGTTCTTATAAGTTCTGGATATTAACCTCTTGTCAGATATATAATTTGCAGATATTTTCTCCTGTTCTGTAGGTTGTCTCTTCAGTTTGTGGATTCTTTCCTTTGCTGTGCAGAAGCTTGTTAGTTTGATATAATCCCATTTATCTATTTTTGCTTTTGTTGCTTGTGCTTTTGAGGCTTATCCAAAAAATCAGTGCCCAAACCAATGTCATAGAGCTTTTCCCCTATGATTTCTTCTAGTAGTTTTATATTTCCAGGTCTTACGTTTAAGTATTTCATCCATATTAAGTCAATTTTTGTATTTGGTGAATGATAAGGGTCTAATTTCATTTATTTGCACAAGGATATCCAGTTCTTCCGACAACCTTTATTGAAGAGACTGCCCATTCCTCATTGTATATTTTGGTACCTTTGTTGAATATCAGTTGGCTCTAAATGAGTGGGTTAATTTGTGTGTTATTCATTCTGTTCCATTGGTCTATGTGTCTGGTTTAAGGAAAAATAGGATTGTCTGTTTATAATTCTATATCCAACAAAATTTCTTTACAAAATGAAAGTGAAATAAAGTCATCATCAGACAAAGACTGAGGGGATTTGTTTCATGCAGATCTACACTATGAGAAATGCTAAGGAAAGTTTTTCAGGCTGAAAGAAACTGAGAGGTGATGGAAACCTGGATATGCAGAAGGTATGAAGGGAGCCAGAAAGTACATGATGTGTGCATGTGTGTGTGTGTGTGTTTCTGTGTGTGTAATAAAACGTGCCACTAGTAGGCATTTACAATTATTTAATATGCATTATACGAGTATGAAGACATGTTATGTGCTTAGTCTAATTATCTTCTTAAAAGCACAGTATGAAAAACAGCTGAATCTTCCCTTCATTACACCCAACTGAATTTAAAGAATGAACAAGAAACTGCCAGAAAGAACACTGAGTACCCAGATATGAGTACAGAAACCCCACATGCCTTTCTTTCTGATTGTCTATTATACAAAGCCTCCATAGGATTACTGGGACACTTCCTCCAGACTAGTGAGTAGGATCTAGAGATAATCCACCACTGCCCTGCATCCACTGTACAAGATCATCCAGGTGAATAGAGTGCTGGGACCCAGTTTATCATTTCTTAATCCATTACCTCAATGAACATGGCCACTTTGCTTACTTCACTTCTGCTTTGGATGTTGCCACTTGAGTTTCCTTTTCATCAAGTAGCCAGGTGCTAGTCATTGCCCAGTGAATCTCCAGGTCTCTAGGCTTCTCCTAGAGATAGCTGAAATGGGTTCCTAGTCACTAATGCCTTTAATCAGATTTTCTCATATGGCAACCCACTTTTTGCCATATGCTAAAATATATCCCTCCATGAATCTTAATGTTGCATCTAGCCTGCCTCTCCTTCAAGACTTTGCAAAATGTCATATTCTCTGCAATGACTTCCTGTTTCTTTATCTCCATAGCTTTCATTACCTTATAGCATGTACTACAATGTGCTTGTTATACTTATTGTCTCTCTCCCTATACTAGAATATGAGCTCTCGAAGGGCTGAGATTTTTGCCTGTATGCTTCAATGATGTATTTCCAGAACCTACAGGACTGCTTGTTATATAGTAAGTGCTCAGTAAATTTTGCTTAATGAGAAGGTATATACAATGTACACACAATTATGTTTATATTAGTTTAATATATTTGATATAATATGCTTTACATATATTACATGCAAATATTTATATAATTAAAATTAAACACACACATATATATAATGCAGGTAGTCCTCATTTTGCGCAATAGTGTGTTGACTGCAACTCATGCGTGTTTTGCTTTGCAGAAGATCTCAGCTACCACAGAATTGTGCAAAGTAAGTTACACTTTTCCTGTGTGTGTAAATGTCAGTTAAATATTGTTTTGTTTAAAGCAAGGACTTCATAGACATAGATAGATAGATGATAGATAGATACATAGATGGATACACAGATAGATACATAGATATCTTCATATGTATATATACATATAATTTTTTAAAAGCTCACTGGCTATTTAAAGTAAAAGGAATAGCTACCTATTGTGGGGTTTTAAAGCAAATATAGATGTAAAATAAATGACAATGAGAACACAACAGTTGTAAGAAGTTTAACTGGAATTATACATTGTAAAGCTCTTATTAATGAAGTAGATAGTATTTTTGAGGTAGACAGCACTAAATTAAATATGTATATTATATAATGTGTAACCATTGAAAAAACAAATAAGATATAAACCAAAAGCCAATGCAGAAGATAAAATGGAATACTAAAATACTTAATTAGCCATAAATGTGAAACAAATGATAACACACAGATAAAAGAAGTACCAATACAGTCAACTTATACTCTACCCTATCAGTAATTACGTTAAATGTTCCATGAAAAATGGAAGACATTTCTAAAATAGATTTAAAAATTATAACCTCAGTGCGATGATTAAATTTATGTGTGAATTTGGCCCATGCAGTGCCCAGATATTTGGTTAAACATTATTTTGTGTGTTTCTGAAAGGATATTTCAGATGCCTAATGTCCTTTTAACTGAGACATCAGGTGTTTTCCTGTCTTTGGATTGGAACTGACATATTGACTTTTTTATGGTTATGAGCCTGCCAGCCTTTGGACTTAAACTACACCCTCAGCCTTCCAAGTTCTTAGCTCTTGGGCACATACTGGAACTAAACCAGTGGCTGTCCTAAGATTCCAGCTTGCTGAGTCTCACGGTGTAGATTTTGGGACTTGCCAGCCTCCATAATCACATGAGCCAATTCCTTATAATGTCTTTCTCTCCCTTTCTTTCATATATATATATATATAGAGAGAGAGAGAGTTTGGCAGGTTGATAGTTAAAAGGATGCAAATAAACAGAGGACATAATTACAAAGCTTAAGAAAGCTGGGGTGGCTCTGCTAGTATTAGACAAAGTAGACTTCAAAAGAAGGAGTATGAGCAGAACTAAGGGAGATATTTTGTGAGAATGAAGAACCAATTCACTAAAAAGACATAGTCACACATGTAATGTGTATGACCTAATAAAAGAGATAACACTAAGTTAAATTGCCAAACTAAGGAGGGAAAATAGATAAGTCTACAACTGTGTTTGGAAATGTTAACATACTTCTTTGAGTGATTGATAGAAGGACCAGATTTTAAAAATCAGTAAACATACTGAAGATGTGAACAGTATGTTCAACCAACTAGACCTAGGCGACATTTATAGATATATCTCACTACAGCAGAATGCATTTTCTTTTCAAGTGCTCACAGAATATTTTAAACAGACTCAATGCTGGGCATTAAACCAGGTTCTAATATAAAAATTATTCAAGCCGAATCGGGCATACTCTTATCATAATGGTATTATATTCATAATTAATATTATTAAAATTTGTATAAAATATCCTAATGTTTGGAAATTAAACCAAAAAATAAAAACAGCCCATGAGTCAAAGAAGAAATCACAGTAAAAATTATATTTTGAAATAACTGGCCGGGCGCGGTGGCTCACATCTGTAATCCAGCACTTTGGGAGGCCGACGCAGATGGATCACGAGGTCAAGAGATCGAGACCATCCTGGCCAACATGGTGAAACCCTGTCTCTACTAAAAATACAAAAATTAGCTGGGCATGGTGGCGGGTGCCTGTAGTCCCAGCTACTCAGGAGGCTGAGGCAAGAGAATCACTTGAACCCTGGAGGTGGAGGTTACAGTGAGCCAAGATTGCGCCACTGCACTCCAGCCTGGCAACAGAGTGAGACTCTGTCTCAAAAATAAATAAATAAATAAATAAATAAATTATTAAAAAATAACAAACCATAATGTGTAAGATGCTGCTATAATAGGGCTAAGAGATAACTTTATAGCTTTAAATATCTGTACTACAAAAGAGAATATATTTAAAATCAATGACATAAGCTTATACATTAAGAATGCAAAAAACAGGAATAAAATAAAAAGAAACTAGAAAAATGTACAGAATAGGCCAGGCGCAAGGTAGCTCATGCCTGTAATCCAGCACTTTGGGAGGCTGAGGCAGGCGGATCACGAGGTCAGGAGATCGAGACCATCCTGGCTAACACGGTGAAACCCCATCTCTAATATAAATACAAAAAAATTAGCCGGGTATGGTGGTGGTTGTCTGTAGTCCTAGCTACTCTGGAGGCCGAGGGAAGAGAATGGTGTGAACCCGGGAGGCAGAGCTTGCAGTGAGCCAAGATCGTGCCACTGCACTCCGGCCTGGGTGACAGAGCGAGACCCCATCTCAAAAAAAAAAAAAAAAGTAACCTGCACATGGATGTTTATAACAGGTTTGTTCGTAATGGACAAATCTTGGCAGCAACCAGGGTGTCCTTCATCAGGTGAATGGGTAAATAAACTTCGGTACATCCAGACAATGGAATATTATTGAGCATTGAAAAGAAATGAGCTATTAAGCTATAAAAATATATGGAAGTTAACTAAAATGCATGTTATTAAGTGAAAGAAGCCAGTCTGAAAAGGATACATACTATATGTGTCCAACTAGTTTACATTCCAGAAAAGATAAAACTATGGAGACAGCACAAAGATCAGTGGTTGCCAGGTATCTGCAGGGGAGGGGAGGGGATGAATAGGTAGAACATGGAGGATTTGGGAGCTAGGAAACTATCCCGTGTTATACTATAATGGTGGATGTATTACATTAGACATTTGTCAAAACACAGAATGTACAATACCAAGAGGAAACTTAATGTGAACTCCAGACTTTGGGTGATAATGACATGTCAATTGATGTTCATCAGCTGTGAGAAGCATACAATTTTGCTGGAGGACGTTGACATTGGGGCAGATCGTGTGTGTGCTGGGGGAACCAAGGGGTGTATGGAAACTTGCTGTAGTTTTGGCTTAATTCTGCTGTGAACCAAAAACTGCTCTACAAAATAAGGTCTATTTGATAAGAAGAAAAACATGAGTTACCAGGCCACAAAATTAGGAATATTAAATGTGTATTGCTAAGTGAAAGAAGCCAATCTGGAAGGCTACACATTTTATGATTCCCACTACATATGATATTCTGGAAAAGGCACAACTATGGAGAAGGTAAAAAAAATCAAAATTTGCCAGGGGTTTGGTAGGAGAAAGCACAGGTTTTTTAGGGCAGTAAAATTCTTCTATATAATAATGCAATGGTGGACACAGAAATCTGTTATCACACAATTGTGATAACCCATTTATCACACAATTGTGTGAAAACCCATAAAATGTATACATAAAGAGTGAATACTAATGTAAACTAGGGAGTTCAATTAATGATATTGGCTCGTTGACTGTAACAAATATACCGCTCTAACGCAAGACATTAAAAATAAGGGGCATTGCCAGGGGTAGGGGGACAGGGATGGTGGGAGAGGAGAGGGGATACATGAGAAGTCTCTGTACTTGCCTCTCATTTTTTCTGCAAACCTACAACTGCTTTAAAAAATAATCCATTAATTAAAAAGAAAAGACACAAACAAAACTCACAATAAATGACATACCATTTCTCATTTACTGAACTGCCTAAAATACTGAAATGCCTAAAATAAAAATGGCTGACTGACTGTATCAATTTTGCAATGATGTGGATCCATTGGAACCCTCATATTTGCTAATTGCAGTGTAAAACTGCAATCACCATTTCACATCCAGTTGAATAACAAAAATCAAAAAAGACTGACACTACAAAATTTTGCAAGGTTGTCAAGTACCTGGAATTCGTATGCATTCTTAATTCTTAACATTATTCTTATGTTAGAGTGTAAAATGGTCTAACCCAACTATGGAGAACTCTTACAGTTTCTTATAAACAGCCGTCTATCCTATGACCCAGACATTCAACTCCCAGGCATTTACCCAAGATAAATGGAAGCATATATTTACAAAAGGCTTGTAAAATAATTTGTAATGCAGCCTTTTTCTCATAATAGCATCAGATTTTAAATGTCTCACATGCCAACAGGTAACAGATAAATTATGGAGTTATAAATACAATGGAATACTTTTCAGCATAAAAAATAGCAAACTTCCAATACTTGCAACATATTTACATTAAAAAATGTTGAACAAAGGAATATTGACCTCTATCTGTGTGTCTTTCTCTCTCCCTCCCTCCCTCCCTCCTACGCTGATTCCATTTTATGAATTTTTAGAACAGGCAAAATAATCTAGGGTGAGAGAAATAAGGAAGTGTATGTTTTTGGAGATAGAATAATTGACTGGAAAAGGGTGCACGGTAATTTTGTTTGATAATAAAACTATTATTTATATTGTTTTGAGTGTTAATTACTCAGTGGCAAAGCTCATTAAATTGAATACTTTAGATCTGTGCATGTTGTTGCATGTTAATTATATCTAACATATTTTAAAAGGTTTTGGCAGCCCTGGTGTAATGGTAAGAGTGATGGGCTGGGCACAGTGGCTGATGCCTACGGTCCCAGCACTTTGGGAGGCCAAGGTTGGGGGCTCACTTAACCCCAGGAGTTTGAGGCCAGCCTGAGCAAAATAGTGAGACCCCATCGCTACGAAAAACAAACGAACAAAAATCACCTGCGTGTGGTATGGCCTGTCTGCAGTCTCGGCTACTCAGGAGGCTGATGCAGGAGAATGGCTTGAGCCCAGGAGTTTCAGACTGCCGTGAGCTATGATCATACCACTGCACTCCAGTCTGGGTGAGAGAGCAAGACCCTGCCTGGTGGTCAGCGGCAAAAAGAAAAAAAAAGAATGCAAGCTCTCACAACGAATAGATTGGGATTTAAATCTGAATTCTGATATGTATTGCTAGATCTTCTGAGCCTCAAATTCTTGCCATGTAAAATCAAGCCAAATACTTATGGATTTTGTGAGAAATCAATGAATAGAGTCTATTATACTCTGAGGATGGTATTTTATCAAATAATAAATTGTTGATAACTAGTAGTTACACTATTTTAATCCTTCCAATTCTTTTTTTTTCAAACCTCATACTTATGATATCTCCTATGCTTTTTAAATAATTTTTCTACTTAGACTGTCTATCTGGATCACATGAATCTTTCACAGCCTCAGGTTTGTTTTCTTTCTTTTCACTGCTACAATCAGCATCACAGCTCCCCTCACCCCATGTTCCAAGCAGAAGTGAGTATTTGATTATTTTCATCCTCTATGACCAATATGAGGTTTAAACAATGCGACAACACCTTATTGTACTAAAAAACCATATGAATATCCCTATATGACTAACAATAGATTCGTGAAATGTCCCTATGTGACTAACGATAGATTAGATTAATGTCCCTATGTGACTAACAATAGATGTAAATAGGACTTGCATCAGATTTTTCTCTGTAGTCTTATCTATAGCACAGTGCTGGGCATATAGTGAATGCTTAATAAAAGGTATTTCATAAATAAGTAATTTTAGAGTTTATGAAAATCATAACTGATTTTGTTACTCACTTATGAATATTTACACAAAGTCTAACAGCTACAGAAGATTGGAAGACAGGCAGTTCTGGTGCTAATCTTACCATTTCATTTTGTAGCTCCTTAGTGACCACTCAATGCGAGCTGGGGATACCAAGGTGAGCAAAACAGGCTCCCGTCTGCTCCTAGTTCCGCAATTTTCCTACTCCCATCACAATACTTCAGTTCTCCCTTCCCTGTTTTTAAAAATCATTTTGTATACTGCTGTTATATACTGACGTAAGCCATTAAAAGTCCTTTCTAATTAGGGAACAGAGGCCAACATTTCATGGATGTTTTGTATGTTTTTCCCTTTTGTTTTCTACTCACCTTGAATTTTCAAGCTGTTTCATATAAAAGTGAGGAAAGGGAATTTTGACAACACTTGGTTCAAAGGTGTTGAGGAGGAAGAACATATGCACAGAAAGGGAAAGAGGGCTTCAGGAAGCAGGAAGGTTTCACAGGAGTGATTTGGGAAGACCCAACACTTGTGGTCTAATGCCTCACTAGACTCAGGGCAATATTATGTTTTGCTGTGATTAAGGCAGTCAGTTTTCAAAAACGACCCGTATGTCCCTGTTTCCTCAGGTGAATTTTGCTCACAAGTAATTTGTAAATAGCTAGGGAGAGCCCCAGGAACAGCCTGGGTCTGAGAGCACTGACTATCTGAAATAAGCAGATGTTTCTTCCAGGGAGAATAAACTGGGTTTACCCTCTTTACTTGTTCCTATAGAATCAATGGATACATAATCTCTGATTTTTCCCTGCCGGTTAAAGAATGTTTCCAAGCAGTGGCAATAGTGCTGGTGTAGAAGTTATTCATCTTCCATTTCTAACTACTCCTACGCACCTGTTTTTTCCTTTGTATAATGCCTAATCTTTTCTTTCTGGCTTTGGTGTTGCCTCTTAACATAAACCGGACCTCTTTTCATAGAACAGATTCGGTGGGAGTTGACACTGTATGTCAGTGCTATTCACTGACCTCCAACATCAGTGAGAATAGCCAGACCCTAGTGGGAGCCATTCATTGTGTGGGATGACCAACAGCATGGTGGACGGCAGGACAAACCTGTCATAATTCCCGAAAATAAACGGTTAGTGGGAGAACTTAATCTCTGTGTAGTTTATACATTTGCATTAGAGTGGAAAAAAAGTATGCTTTAGAAATGCCCTAGGCTAAAAAATAAACTGATTTTTCCAAAGCCATCCATAGCCAGTAACAGCCATGTAGCAGAGTTGATAATAGCAGGTCCTGAGGGTTAGGCATTTAGAGTTTGTCCTTCTACAGTGTTTCCAAACCCCCATGAAACTGAGAAATCCTGTGTGGATCTGGGCCATTAACCCAAGGGAGAAACGAAAACCATGAAACACGGTAGTATCCATTCTGCAGAAGCTTTTTGTGTGCTGTGGTAGATGGCCTTCTCTGGGGATACACAGGAGTGATGTCCAGTAGTCCACCCTTATCCTTGGGGGATATATTCTGAGACCCCCCTGTGGAGGCCTGAAACTGGAAATAGTACTGAATCCTATATGTACTACGATGTTTTCAACTGATAGCCGAGACAGCTACTAAGTGAATAACAGGCGGGTAGCATATACAGCATGGATACACTAGACAAAGGGATAATTCATGCCCCAGGCAGGACGAAACAGAACAATTTCATAATACTACTCAGAATGGCATGCAATCTAAAGCTTATAAATTATTTCTGGAAATTTCCATTTAATTTTTTGGACTGCATTTGATTGCAGGTAACTGAAACCACACAATGTGAAACTGCAGGCACAGGAGTGCTACTGTATTCGCTACCTGCTCATTAACCACTTAGTAGCTGCTTCAGATATCAGATCTACCATCGGTTTCCCAGTGTTTGTGTTCAAGGAACCCTTGTTTTACTTAGTAATAGCCCCAAAATGTAAGAATAGTGATCCTGGCAATTTAGGTATGCCAAACGGAAGCTATGAAGTGCTTCCTTGAAGGAAAAAGGTGAAAGTTCTTGACTTAATAAGGAAAGAAAAAATCGCATGCTGAGATTGCTAAGATATATGGCAAAAACAAAACTATCTGTGAAATTGTGAAGAAGGAGAATGAAAGGGATACATGGTATATATAAGGTTTGGTGCTGTCTCCAGGTTCGGGCATCGAGAGTTTTGGAATGTATCCCCTGCAGGTAAGGTGGGGGGGGCTACTGTATCATCAAGCACCCTTAAAAATCTGACTGTTTTGAAAAGAGTTTCCTGGGAATAACAACATCCCTTAAGTGTCCAGAAAATCACTGAAACTTTACCCCCAAATTCTTCTATTATTGTTTAAGGCAATAATAACATTGGGAGTGTGTACATACCTTCTCTTGGGTCCATAAATTACCAAATTTGAGGACCCCTGGCTAAGGGTACCTGGGAAGGAGTGGGGTGTACCCTTCATCGTCCTCATCTGCCCCCTGGTGGCACGTTTTGTCACTCTGGACTCCTGCCGTAGGCTGCCAACAGCCTATTTAAACGAAACATCCTTGATATTTAGTGCTTTGTATATTTCCAGAAAGCTTTTCAATTACTGAGATTATCACTTCCTCTCACCATAAAGTTGTATAGCATTGCCCAATAATACTATTGTCATCTGCTTTATCTGTTAATACTTGATTTGTCTCATATTTAAACTGATTTTTGTCACGAGAAGTTTCCCCAGAAATTTTTTTATTCTTTGCCTGTTTTTCCTATATATCCAAATATATCAATTTTTGATCTATTTATATACCCATTTTGTTATCTTCAGGTGCGTTATTTGGTTTTCATTTTTTAAATTTCTTTCCCATTCTGCAGATGAAAAATACTGAGAAACCTACTCTGTTCCTGCATCCGAGCCATTCCACAGGCAGTTTTCCCATACTAAAAATGCTGTCTTCCACTGATGTGTGGCATGTCTCAGTTCCGTGACTTCTTTTCCTCTCTCTCTACTCGCTGCTGTCCCTTTTCTCCATGTGTCTCTAACATGCCTGTGTTCTTCAAGACCCAGTGCAACCACATTCCCTCCCACAACTCTATTTTCATGAGGAATAGCCAAGCAGGACTCCCAAGACATCATACAGGAGTGCCTACAGGGTATCTCTCCTTGGCAGTCCCACAGCACCGCAAATGCCCTGTGTCTGCCAATACTCATCAGCCTCTCTTCCCGTGTGCCTCTCCTGGGACCCTAAGAGAGTAACAGTCCCTGCAACTTCCCACTTTCTCCAGGCAGGGACTTGTGTGCCTTTTCCATGTCTTTGACTCCTTTATTCAATTATAATACAGGTATCTGTCTGCTATAACTCCTGGAACTCTCTTATGTAAATGCGCTTTTTTCATTCTCCGCCTCACATCTTAGCCCAGACCACACCATCTCCCCCCGCCGTCTTGGATACCTTCCATGTTTCCAGTGGTCTGCTCCCACTCCACACTGCAGTACAGTGATTTTTCTAAAACATGGATGGGTTCCTGTCACTCCCCTGTGAAAAGTCATCCATGTGGAGTCTGACTGGTCTGCATTTGGGGACTGGACAGAGTGAGAAGGGATCCTGTGTCAGCCAGGACTCCGGTAGACGCCCCTATGCAATATCCACTTGTGGTGGTCGGGGGCGGGGAAGGGGCGGGATTGAGCCCCCTTCCCCCCTCCTCCTTACTGCGGAAAGCTGCGGAGCGAGCAGCACTCACTTCCTATTCAGCATTCAGCAGGGAGGGAGCCTCTGAACAGCCACGTAGGCATTCTCTTCTCTCTGGAGGAAAAGGCCCAGCAGCTGTCCGAGGAAAAGACCCACCAGCTGTCAGCAAAGGGACATGTCGCAGCTAAGTAAGAATCTGGGTGACTCGAGTCCTCCGGCGGAGGCCCCGAAGCCGCCTGTCTATAGCCGCCCTACGGTTCTGATGCGGGCCCCGCCCGCTTCCTCCCGGGCTCCGCCAGTCCCTTGGGATCCACCTCCAATTGACTTGCAGGCTTCATTGGCCGCTTGGCAGGCACCTCAGCCTGCCTGGGAGGCCCCACAGGGCCAGCTGCCCGCCCCGGTGGTTCCGATGACCCAGCCTCCTGCCCTAGGGGGCCCGATAGTCCCGGCTCCCCCGCTGGGGGGCCCGATGGGTAAGCCTCCGACTCCCGGGGTCCTGATGGTGCATCCTCCACCTCCGGGAGCCCCGATGGCCCAGCCTCCGACCCCGGGAGTCCTGATGGTGCATCCTTCAGCTCCCGGAGCTCCCATGGCCCATCCTCCTCCTCCGGGGACCCCAATGTCCCACCCTCCCCCTCCGGGGACCCCAATGGCCCATCCTCCTCCTCCGGGGACCCCGATGGCCCATCCTCCTCCTCCGGGGACCCCGATGGTGCATCCTCCTCCTCCGGGGACCCCGATGGCTCATCCTCCCCCTCCGGGGACACCGATGGCTCATCCTCCCCCTCCGGGGACACCGATGGCTCATCCTCCACCTCCGGGGACACCGATGGCTCATCCTCCCCCTCCGGGTACACCGATGGCCCAGCCTCCAGCTCCGGGAGTCCTGATGGCCCAGCCTCTGACTCCGGGAGTCCTGATGGTCCAGCCTGCTGCTCCGGGAGCACCGATGGTCCAGCCGCCTCCAGCAGCCATGATGACCCAGCCTCAGCCTTCAGGAGCACCGATGGCCAAGCCTCCAGGTCCAGGAGTCCTGATGATTCATCCTCCAGGTGCGAGAGCTCCGATGACCCAGCCTCCAGCTTCAGGAGCACCGATGGCACAGCCGGCGGCCCCACCTGCACAGCCGATGGCCCCACCTGCACAGCCGATGGCTTCTTGGGCCCCGCAGGCTCAGCCTCTGATCCTGCAAATCCAGTCTCAAGTTATAAGGGCTCCTCCGCAGGTTCCCCAGGGCCCGCAGGCACCCCCAGCGCAGCTAGCCACACCCCCGGGCTGGCAGGCGACCTCGCCAGGATGGCAGGCCACGCAGCAAGGCTGGCAGGCCACTCCCCTGACTTGGCAGACCACGCAGGTCACCTGGCAGGCACCAGCCGTTACCTGGCAGGTGCCGCCGCCCATGCGCCAGGGGCCCCCGCCCATCCGCCCTGGCCCACCACCCATCCGCCCTGGCCCACCACCGGTGCGACAGGCCCCACCGCTGATCCGCCAGGCCCCACCGGTGATCCGCCAGGCCCCACCCGTGATCCGCCAGGCCCCACCCGTGATCCGCCAGGCCCCCGCTGTGATCCGCCAGGCCCCACCTGTGATCCGCCAGGCCCCACCTGTGATCCGCCAGGCTCCACCTGTGATCCGCCAGGCCCCGCCGCTGATCCGCCAGGCGCCGCCGCCCATCCGACCTGCCCCACAGGTCCTGGCCACCCAGCCACCGCTCTGGCAGGCCCTGCCACCCCCACCTCCACTGCGGCAGGCCCCGCAGGCTAGGCTGCCGGCCCCGCAGGTGCAGGCGGCGCCGCAGGTGCCTACGGCCCCACCTGCTACGCAGGTACCCGCGGCGCCGCCCGCTGGCCCGCAGGTGCCCCAGCCTGTGCTGCCGGCCCCGCTGTCTGCCCCACTGTCTGCCCCGCAGGCTGTGCACTGCCCTTCCATCATCTGGCAGGCCCCCAAAGGTCAGCCCCCGGTGCCACACGAGATTCCAACGTCAATGGAATTCCAGGAGGTGCAGCAGACACAGGCGCTGGCCTGGCAGGCCCAGAAGGCCCCCACTCACATCTGGCAGCCCCTGCCTGCCCAGGAGGCCCAGAGGCAGGCTCCCCCCTTGGTCCAGCTGGAGCAGCCCTTTCAGGGAGCCCCGCCCTCCCAAAAAGCCGTGCAAATCCAGCTACCCCCCCAGCAGGCCCAGGCATCGGGTCCGCAAGCGGAGGTGCCCACACTGCCGCTCCAGCCTTCCTGGCAGGCACCGCCTGCAGTCTTGCAGGCCCAGCCCGGACCCCCGGTAGCAGCGGCAAATTTTCCCCTGGGCTCCGCTAAATCATTGATGACTCCATCAGGAGAATGCAGGGCCTCTTCTATAGACCGCAGGGGCTCCTCTAAAGAGCGCAGGACCTCCTCGAAGGAGCGCAGGGCCCCTTCAAAAGACCGCATGATCTTTGCTGCCACCTTCTGTGCTCCCAAGGCAGTGTCAGCTGCGCGAGCACACCTGCCAGCTGCCTGGAAAAACCTGCCTGCCACACCGGAGACCTTTGCTCCCTCCTCAAGTGTCTTCCCAGCTACCTCCCAGTTTCAGCCTGCCTCTCTGAATGCCTTTAAAGGCCCCTCTGCTGCCTCAGAGACCCCAAAGTCACTGCCATATGCTCTGCAGGATCCCTTTGCCTGTGTAGAGGCCCTGCCTGCAGTTCCATGGGTCCCACAGCCCAATATGAATGCCTCAAAGGCATCGCAGGCAGTGCCCACCTTCCTGATGGCTACAGCAGCTGCCCCCCAGGCAACTGCCACCACTCAAGAGGCCTCCAAGACCTCCGTCGAGCCGCCACGCCGCTCCGGCAAGGCCACCCGGAAGAAGAAGCATCTGGAAGCCCAAGAGGACAGCCGTGGCCACACGCTAGCCTTTCATGACTGGCAGGGCCCAAGGCCCTGGGAGAATCTAAATCTGAGTGACTGGGAGGTCCAAAGCCCTATCCAGGTCTCGGGTGACTGGGAGCACCCAAACACCCCCCGTGGCCTGAGTGGTTGGGAGGGCCCTAGCACCTCCAGGATCCTGAGTGGCTGGGAAGGGCCCAGCGCATCCTGGGCCCTGAGTGCCTGGGAGGGCCCGAGCACCTCCAGGGCCCTGGGTCTCTCTGAAAGCCCAGGGAGCTCTCTGCCCGTAGTTGTGTCTGAGGTCGCAAGTGTCTCTCCGGGATCCAGTGCCACCCAGGATAATTCCAAGGTGGAGGCACAGCCCTTGTCTCCCTTGGATGAGAGGGCAAATGCGTTGGTGCAGTTCCTCTTAGTCAAGGACCAAGCCAAGGTGCCTGTCCAGCGCTCGGAGATGGTGAAAGTCATCCTCCGAGAGTATAAAGATGAGTGCTTAGATATCATCAACCGTGCCAACAATAAGCTGGAGTGTGCCTTTGGTTATCAATTGAAAGAAATTGATACCAAAAACCACGCCTATATTATCATCAACAAGCTGGGCTACCATACAGGGAATTTGGTGGCATCCTATTTAGACAGGCCCAAGTTTGGCCTTCTGATGGTGGTCTTGAGCCTCATCTTTATGAAAGGCAACTGTGTCAGGGAGGATCTGATCTTTAATTTTCTGTTCAAGTTAGGGTTGGATGTCCGGGAGACAAACGGTCTCTTTGGAAATACTAAGAAGCTCATCACCGAAGTGTTTGTCAGGCAGAAGTACCTAGAGTACAGGCGAATCCCTTACACTGAGCCCGCAGAGTATGAGTTCCTCTGGGGCCCTCGAGCATTCCTGGAAACCAGCAAGATGCTTGTCCTGAGGTTTTTGGCCAAGCTCCATAAGAAAGATCCACAGAGCTGGCCATTCCATTACCTTGAAGCGCTCGCAGAGTGTGAGTGGGAAGACACAGATGAGGATGAACCTGACACCGGTGACAGTGCCCACGGCCCCACCAGCAGGCCCCCTCCCCGCTAATAGGTGTAGCAGAGATCTCGCTCCTGTGTTTCCCTGGCCAGAGGCCACTGACAGGGTGGGGGGACATTTTTGTTCCTGGTGTTTGTGTTCCAGTTCCACGAGTGTACGTTTGGATTTTCAACTTGGTTTCGTATCTGCCAAAGCTTTGTACATTTTTTATGTGGTGTTGATTTCAATCGGCTACTGTTCTGTTCTGTATTTTGGCATCTGTGTTTTTAAGTGAGATCTGTGGTTCTCTGTTTTGTGTTTTAATTGTTATGTTTTGGTATCAGCTTTGTGCTGGCTTTGTGAAATGAATTGAGAAGCTATCCATCTCATTTCTGGTATAGTTCATGTAGCATTGTAATCGGTTGTTCTTTGAACGTTCAAATGACTCATCAGTAAAAACTGTCTACAGAGAAGTAAATATCTATATCTATATATATAAATATACTTTCAGCATAACAGAAGTGTTTGTCTTTATTCTAATTTTTACACTAGATGGTGGAAGCCAAGTTTTGCCGTATTCTCTGAATAGACATGAATAGCAAGACTACTCTCAGTTATAGTAAAAACCACGGTGATGGAATTGTTTTCCAAGGAGAGTACTCCATTCATCTTTATAAGGATGCAGTGATTTCAGTGGGTGGTTATACATAAGATTTCTCCAGGAGATTAATTAAAGCACACACGTTAGTGCCCAGCTGGTAACGTTGTTATTAGAAGCAGAAATGTCCTTAAGGGTATGTGGAGAAGAAGGGCCATCTGCCTGCAGGACTACAAATAACCAGGTGGTCCCGCTTCATGGAGAATTTGGCCAAAAGGGTATTTGTCAATCATGTGGCCCGTGGCGGGGTGTCCAGCAGTTCAAATTTGGGTTTCATCAACACACTGCTACCGGGATGGAAACGTGCTCCCTGCAGGATATCCAGGCTTATAACAGGGAAAAGGAAAAAACAGTCTTCATTTAATTAGAAACCCTGCAGATTGCCAGCAGTAGTGGCTGGGTTAGGGGAGGGCGTGGCAGGGTGCATTCCTATCAACATAGAGTTCTAGGGGAAGGTCCTGGGGGGAAGGGTCATTCTAACTTGTAGGGGAAGGCAGCCGGCAACGCCTGAAGTTGCTGAACAACCGCGGTCAGCCCTTGGCTATGAACCTGGTCTAGGCAGGAAAGGGACAAGGGAATGAACTGGCCTGAGTGTTTTGAGGAAGGATATTCAAGCACACACCAGGCTGGTGTACACAAAAGGACGTTCTTGTGGTCATACTCTCTTCCTGTGGACAGGGGACCATCAGCCCTACTTGCCACCGCATACTGTCTTATCAGAAGGAAGAAATCCAATCCCATATCCCGCTTCTAGGGTGAAGCCAAAGTCCCAGATGCGGTTAGTGGCGATGGTGGAATTCTCCTGCCACCTAGCGGCAGATTAGAGGTGCCACCGCAGCTGCCGCAGCAACAGCCCCTCCCACAGTGCTTAACTTCACAACCATGTATATACTTGGATTGCAGCTACTCCTTGCTTCACCACTTTTGCTCATAATTTTATCTATATCTGTGCCCAGAGATTCCTTCTTTTCTCTTATAGGCCAAGGTAGCATCTGTTTTCAAGTCCAATCCGCTCTTCACTCAACAATTTCTATCCTTGGTCCTGCAGCGCTGCCACTTAGGAAGCTGACTAGGAGAGGAGCCCACAAGATGCAGACTCTACTCCTAGCACCCGCAGAACTGAGCTTTCCAGGACGATGATCCCCGCCCCAGGACCTGCCAGGCCGCAGGAGCTCTTTCTCAAGTTGTCTAAGTGGTCAGGTAGTCCAAAAACTGGGAGGCAGTTTCCTATAAACTCCTTGGGTCAGAGAGTCCTGCGCATTTGTCCGCAAGCAATGTTTACTTATTTTTACAACAACAGCAAATGTCCATTGAAGGAGACAGCAATGCCCCAGCTGAGAACTGTCCCCAAAGGAGGTTTTGCTGGGCCAGTAAAGTGGCATATTGGTCTAGTATTTCTTGTTTGTGTTTAGTTTATTTATGATTGCTTATAAAGTTTTCTCCAGACCATTAACTCATGGCGTGCCTGAGCAAGATGCTCTTTGTGGAACAAAATTTGGGACTTTGTTCCAAATTTGGGACTTTGTCCCATCATGGGACTTTGGTGCCATACTTAAGGTGGGGGCTGGCTCTGCTCCATGGTAGAGAGGCTTACTTCCCAGCTGCAAACCTCACTCTCACACGTGACATATATCTAATGGCCTTCTTTAAGTAATGCCAAGGACTTAAAGCCTAAATTTGTTTATATTGTAATGAGATATAAATTGCAACAATGAAAAATGTGTTCATTACCAATGAGTAAACTAGTTAGATATTCAACTGAAAAGTTTAAGAAAGTGCAGCTAACATGACAGTGAAAAGCAGAAAACAAAGACCAGGAATATAGAAAAATACAGGTTAAAAAACAGCGGGAACTGGCCGGGGGTGCGGTGGCTCACGCCTGTAATCCCAGCACTTTGGGAGGCCGAAGAGGGTGGATCACAAGGTCAAGAGATCAAGACAACCCTGGCTGACAAGGTGAAACCCCATCTCTACTAAAAATACAAAAATTAGCCGGGTGTGGTGGCGGGCGGGCACCTGTAGTCCCAGCTACTCGGGAGGCTGAAGCAGGAGAATGGCATGAATCATGGAGGTGGAGCTTGCAGTGAGCCGAGATCGCACCACTGCACTCTAGCCTGGGCAATAGAGTGAGACTCTGTCTCAAAAAAAACAAAAACAAAAACAAAAACAAACAAACAAACAAAACAGTGGGAACGAATTCAAATCCCACTTATTTGAAAGTGCTAAAATGTAGAAAATGTAGAAAATGTAACACAAATCTCTTTTACTATAAAATTGAGCAAAAAGCCCAAACCTAGTAATAGGCAAAATGTATCACAGGAAAAAAATGGCAAATAACTGTTGAAACTGTTACACCTCACTAATAAAGATAGAAATATTAAATCTGTATTCCAGTTTTCATTTATTAAATTGTCATAGAATAAACTAAAACCCCATGTAATGTCCAATGTCAATGATATTGTTATGAAACTGGAACCATTATACACAACCAGTGAAAGTATAAGTTATTACAATTTGCCTGGAAATCAATGCAGCCAACTCTGTCTTCAAAAGGCTTTAACATGGTAATACTATTTTACCTAGAAATTCTTCATTTGGGAATATGTTGAATGAGAACAATCCACAGAGAAGGCAAAGACTTCTTCATAGAGAAAGCTGTTCATGAACATATGGGAAATTTATCAGGGTGTGAGCAGGCCCCCCTCCCCAATATAAACCTACAGTGTCAAGGGAGTACAGTGAGTTTCTGCTGAAAAAACCACAGGCTTCCTCAGAAAACAACTTGTAGTTTGTTTCAACACACAGAAAATGAAAGACTCAGCATCCACCATTATGGGCTGTAGAGAAGTCATTGCACTCTGTGCCTGAAAATTTTAAAACTAGGTGCTAGCACACTCTCCAAAGCCATAAATGACCTCAGTAAAATATATGATTTCTAGTGAAGAAAAACTATAGTTCTCAAAGTGATGAAATTCAATGTGCTCCTATGTCGAGTGTTCAACTATAAGCAAGTTAATATTTTAGGATATTTGTCTTAAGAAGATGATCTGAATTTTGGAATAATTTTACTCAAAGACATTACTCCTGAGAGCAACAGAGAAAAGGACCGGTTGTTTCTCAAAGCCACCAGTGAATCAACCTTGTCAGCAAACGAGAGTTAAGGATTGTGGCTGCAATTGACAGAGGACTTTCAAGATTAAGGGGCCGGGGCCCTGTGGCCGCAGTAATATCCATTTTACTGGGCATGTAGCCTATATTATTGATTTGCCCTCAGAGTTATAGGCACCCCCAGAACTCAGCAATTCACCCCGATGGTCATGATACTTGAAAGGATACATCATTCTTGCACTCCTGCCCCTAGCTGCCGGGGCTGGAAGCCTGGGTCCCTTTTTCTCTCTGATTTGATCGGTTGTCAGGTCTTGCCCGTTTTGCCAATTTGTATGTCAGTGTTTTTTCTCCTCTCCATCCCTGTGGACACGGCACCCTGCCAGAACTTGGCAGTTTCCTTTTTCATGGTCTCTGCCTTCAGTACTGCCCCTTAATCAAACCTCCACATTGGCTGCACAGGGGCCTCTGTGCCGCCGCCACACAGCTGTGCACACCTCATAATGCCTCTCCCTGCCTAAAGCATTTCAAGGCCTTCAGTGTTCCTTAGAGTAAGGTGCAGCAACCCTCAGCTCACCTTCCACACGTGAGGGTCCAGGAGCGGCTGGTTAGAGTAGGTTTACCTACAGAGAAATCTACAGACCATGCCAGGGGTCCCTCTGTGGGACAGCTCAAAGAATTCCTCGGATTCTGAATTGAAAGCCTAAGCAGACCACCAGGAGGGTCCTAAAGGGAAAAAGGCCTTGATATACAGGGCCCAAGCTACATTTTCCTGTGTGCAAGCAAATTTGTTCTTTCGGATCTCCCAGAGGGTTCCATTGTGAATTCCACCAAGGGATATATACAACACTACTAGCACAGTAAGTAGTACAATCCTCTAATCTGTCGAGATTCTGAAAGTTGTACCTGCCTCTTTTTAAGAGATGACACTTACGAGGAGCCTTCTTCATTATCAGCTTCCTCCTACTCTTATTAGTGACGCTAAATAGATCATCCTGGCTGTGTCAGCGGCATGCGCTTCTCTGTGCAAATGGTCTGGTTCTGCAAGCTGCCCATTCACCTCCCAATGAGACTTGCTTTCTGTGCTATCCCTTGTTCTGAGTGAATTCAGCTTGTGAGCTGCTGTTAACAGAAGCAATCACCACAGAACATTTTCTAGACCCAGGAGACTTCCTGGAGCTTCTCTCCAATGGCTCAGAATCTTCCCCTGAAACAGCCAGCTGGATGGGGCCACAAAGCTGTGGAATCAAAATATTGGCCTTGTAACAAGCTTCTGCGAGAAAGCCTCAAAAACATTCTGTTTTGAAATAATCATAGATTCACAGGAAATAGCAAAAACTGTGCAGGGTAGTCTCATATACCCTTAACCTAGTTTCCCCCAGTGTTTATATCCTGTATAGCTGTAGTACAACATCAAGGACGTGGACACTGTACCATCTGCACGTTCAGCTCAACTCAATGCCATCTTATCACGTGTGTAGATAGTGTAACTAGCACTGCAATCAAGATGCAGCACTCTTCCACCACCACCAAGATTTCTCCCACGCTACTCCTTTACAGCTGTGTCCATCTCTTTCCCCCACATCCTTAACCTCTGGCAATCACTACTCTGATCTTCATCTCCATAACTTTGTAATTTCAAGAATGTGCTCTAAAAGCATTAATACCTTTGAGACTGGCGTCTTTCACTGAGTATCATGCCCTCGACATCCATCCACACTTTTGTATCAGTCATTCATTTTTTGATGCTAATAAAATATTTACTGTTTTGTGGGATTGGCTATTTCCATTTTTTAGCTACTGCAAAGTTGCTAGGAACATTTAAGCGCAGGTTTTTCTAAGGACACACATTTTCATTTGTCTGTGGCAAATGCCCATGGCCATAATTGCTGTATCATTTGATAGGTCTATGGTTACTTATTCAAAGAGCCTTTCAAACTATTTTCCAGAGGGACTGTAACATTTTACATTTCCACCAGCAATGTATGAGAACAAATTTCTTTCTTTTTTTTTCTTTTCTTTTTTTTTTTTTTTTTCTTTTTTTGAGATGGAGTCTCACTCTGTCGCCCAGGCTGGAGTGCAGTGGCGCCATCTCAGCTCACTGCAAGCTCCACCTCCCGGGCTCACGCCATTCTCCTGCCTCAGCCTCCCGAGTAGCTGGGACCACAGGCTCCCGCCACCTCGCCCAGCTAATTTTTTGTATTTTTAGTAGAGACGGGGTTTCACCGTGTTAGCCAGGATGGTCTCGATTTCCTGACCTCGTGATCCGCCCGCCTCGGCCTCCCAAAGTGCTGGGATTACAGGCGTGAGCCACCGCGTCTGGCCCCAGAAATCCAATTTCTCTGCAACCTCACCAGCAATTGATATAATCTTTTTGTTGTTGTTGTTAATTCGGCTGTCCTAATAGGTGTGTGGTGATATGGCATTGTGGTCTTAATTTACATTCCTCTTATGGCTGGAGTTGTCGAACATCTTTCTGTCGGCTTCTCATTTCTATATCCTCATTGATAAAATGGCTTAGTTTTTCTAAGTGACTTTTTTTTTTTTTTTTTTTTGATGGAGTCTTGCTCTGTCGCCCAGGATGGAGTGCGGTGGTGCCATCTTGGTTCACTGCAAGCTCCACCTCGTGGGTTCAAGCGATTCTCATGCCTCAGCCACCAGAGTAGCTGGGACCACGGGCGCACACCACTATGCCTGGCTAATTTTTTGTGTTTTTAGTAGAGATGGGGTTTCACCATGTTGGCCAGACTGGTCTCGAATTCCTGGCCTCAAGTGATCTGCCCGCCTCAGCCTCCCAAAGTGCTGAGATTACAGGCATGAGCCACGGTGCCCAGGCTCTAAGTGAGTTTTTTTAAAAATGTATTGGGCTTTGAGAATGATTTCTATATTCCGGATATGAGTCCTTTATTATATATGCATTTTGCAAGTCTTTTCCCCAGTGTTGAGTGTGGCTTTCGTTATCATAACCGGGCCTTTCACACAGCAAAAGTTTTAAATTTCGATGAAGTCTGATTGATTTTGTTTTTCTTTTATGGGTCATGATCATGGTGTCATATATATGTAAGTACTCTTCATCAGACCCCAGGTGCCGAAGATTTTCTGTTATGTTTTCTTCTAAAAATGTAATCGTTTTATGTTCTGTATTTAAATCTATGATCGATTTTGAGCTAATTTTGAATAAGGCGTAAAGTTTAGGCTGAGATTCTTTCTTTGCTGTGTGTGTGTGTTTGTGTTTGTGTTTTGTTTTGTTTTGTTTTTGCCTTTGGATGTCCAGTGGTTTCATTAACATTTTAACATTTGTTAAAAATACTATATACTATCCTTTCAACATTGAATATTTTCTTTTGCACATTTGTAAAAATTCAGTTAGCCCTATTTACGTGTGCTATTTCTGAGTTCTGAATTCTATATTCTGTCCCATTTGCTTGATAAGATAGGTATTTAAAAGATAGATATAGATATGTGTATTATACAGAGATATATCCCTCCACCAATGCCATACTGTCGTGATTATTGCAGTCATATAATAAGTCTTAAAATTGAGTATAGGGATTCTTCCCATATTCTTTTTTCAAAATTATGTTTAGCTATTCTAGATCTTTTGATTTTTCACATAAATTTTAAAATAAGCTTGCATATATTTACAAAATGTCTTGGTGGAATTTTGATAGGAATTGAGTTAAACTTGTATATTAAGTGGGGGAGAACTGACATTTACTGCATTGAATCTTCCAATCCATAACCACAGTATATCGCTCCATTTATTTGGATCTTTTTTGGTTTCTTTCATCAGCACTTGTATTTTTCAGCATACATGTCCTATACATGCTTATTAAGTTTATAAGTATTTAAAAATAAATAAGGTTTATTTTTGAGTGATTGTATATTATATTATATTATATTATATTATATTATATTATATTATATTATGTTTTTTGAAATGGAGTTCCAGTTTTGTCACCCAGGCTGGAGTGCAGTGGCACGATCTCTGCTCACTGCAACCTCTGCCTCCCAGGTTCAAGCAATTCTTCTACCTCAGCCTCCTGAGTAGCTGGGATTACAGACGCCTGCCACCACGCCCGGCTAATTTTTTTGTATTTTTAGTAGAGATGGGGTTTCACCACATTGGGCAGGCTGGTTTCGAACTCCTGACTTCAGGTGATCCGCCTGCCTGGGCCTCCCAAAGTGCTGGGATTACAGGTGTGAGCCACCATGCCTGGCCCTATATTATATTATAAGTTTTAGTTTCCACCTGTTCAACTCAAAACTCAAAATGGTTGAGTTTTGTATGTTGATCTTGTAGCTTGCACCTTGCTGAACTCACATATTAGTTCTAGGAGTTTTCATATATCCTTTGGGATTTTCTTTGCAGACCATTGTGTCATCTGCAAATAGAGACAGTTTTATTTCTTCCTTTCATATTTGTATCCTTCTTTTTTTTTTGAGACGAAGTCTTGGTCTGTCACCCAGGCTGGAGTGCAGTGATGCGATCTTGGCTCACTGCAAGCTCCGCCTCCCAGGTTCACCCCATTCTCCTGCCTCAGCCTCCCGAGTAGCTGGGACTACGGGCACCTGCCACCACGCCCGGTTCATTTTTTTTTGTATTTTTAGTGGAGATGGGGTTTCACCATGTTAGTCGGGATGATCTCGATCTCCTGACCTCGTGATCCACCTGCCTCGGCCTCCCAAAGCGCTGGGATTACAGGCGTGAGCCACCGCGCCCGGCCTCCCTTGGGATTTTCTTTGCAGACCATTGTGTCGTCTACAAATAGAGACAGTTTTATTTCTTCCTTTCCTATTTGTATAATTTTAAAGTAAAAAGTCCCTTATTATGCTGGATTTCCAGTGATATGTTGAATAGGAGTGGTGAGAGCAGATATGAATTCCTTGCTCCTGACGTTAGGAAGAAAACATTCAGTTTTTTGCTATGAAGTATAATGTTAGCTGTAGGTTTTGTGTAGGTACCCTATATCAAGTTGAGGAAGTTCCCTTCTATTTCTATTTTTCTTAGAGTTTTTTTTCTTTTTGTCATGAATGGGTATGA
The DNA here is from genome assembly GCF_000001405.40 of Homo sapiens. Classification (NCBI taxonomy): domain Eukaryota; kingdom Metazoa; phylum Chordata; class Mammalia; order Primates; family Hominidae; genus Homo; species Homo sapiens. The sequence continues at coordinate 23,635,257 of NC_000015.10, read as the reverse complement.
AGTTTTGTCAAATGTATTTTCTGCATTGATTGCTATGATGATGTGATATTTTTCTTTTTAGCTAGTCAATATGGTGGATTATTTTCATTTATCTTTTAGCATTGAATCAGCCTTCTATTTCTAGAATAAACACAATTTGATCATTTTATATGTATGTAATTGCTGAATTCTCTTTACTAATATTTTGTTAGGATTTTTACATCCATATTCATGAAGAATGTTTGTTCATAGTTTGGCTTTTTTGGATTGTTTTTGTCTGATTTTGGTATCTGGGCACTATTTATTTTATAAAATAAATTGTTCCCTTCTTTTCTGTTTTCTGAAAGAGATTGTGTAAAGTTGGTGCTAATTCCTTTTTAAACATTTGGTAGAATTCGCCAGTGAAACCATCTGGGCATGGAGATTTCTGTTCTTCGGAAAGCATGTGTATAATTTCTCAATGAAGCACATTTGCATCATTTCAGCATTTGTTTCTGATGACTTTCGTTTCTCATTCCAGTTGAGATTTTTGTGGTTCTTGGTGTGAAGAGTGACTTTTTATTGTATCCTAAATATTTTGGGTGTTGTGTTATGAGACTTTGGATCTAATTAAATTCTTCTCTTTCAATAGACTTTCCTTTTTAAGAGACTGTATGAGTGGGAAATAAGGACCCCACCTCAGTACCGCCTGGTAGGAACATAAGTCCGGGACCCCCAGGTGGTCTCCATGGACACCCAGTGAGCGGGAGGCCGTGCTCTCCAGCACAGAGCTGGGGTAAAAGTTCAGCTTCTGCACTCTGCCTTTGCTGACACCACCCTGTTCAGAGGGGAAGAGGCCCCTTTTCATTGCTCGCCTGTGAACTCCAAGGACAGAAAATGGGGAGGGAGGCCTCATTAGCATGGGAAGGCTTCTCACTTGCCACCCCTTAACAGCACCCCAGCAGGGAAGGTGCAGGAAGGTAAAAGTTCAAGCTCCCCAGGTTGTCTCCGTCGGCACCACACTGTGGCAGCTTGTTACTGCCTGGTGAACGTCGAAGTCCCAGATTCTCACCCTGACACCACACCAGCAGGGGAGGGCTACCTCAGTATCACCAGGCCAGGCTGGAAGTCTAGGCTCTCCCCTCTGTCCTGCTGAGTGGGTCGAGGGTGGGGCCACAAGTTTTCCTACGGGCGTTTGTCTCCAGTAGGGAAACTAGCCTCCGAAAGTTTTCTGTCTTGCTAGCTTTCTCCTTTCATGGTCTTTTGGCTAGTGATTGCAGGTTATTCAGGGGCCTTTTGTGTGTGGTCTCATAGGAGGGGATATTCATGGATTGGGAAGAAGACAATTTTAAGTGTGCCCGGAACAGAGTGAGTATCAGAGTTGAATAGGCTAGGATAAGGCAGCAGGTGTAAAAATCCAGAAAGCCGGCTGGGTGCGGTGGCTCACGCCTGTAATCCCAGCACTTTGGGAGGCCGAGGCGCGTGGATCACAAAGTCAGGAGATCAGACCATCCTGGCCAACACAGTGAAACCCCGTCTCTACTAAAAATGCAAAAAAAGTAGCCGGGCGTGGTGGCAGGCGCCTGTAGTCCCAGCTACCCGGGAGGCTGAGGCAGGAGAATGGCGTGAACCCGGGAGGCGGAGCTTGCAGTGAGCCGAGATCACGCCACTGCACTCCAGCCTGGGCAACAGAGCGAGACTCCGTCTCAAAAAAAAAAAAAAAAAATCCAGAAAGCCAAAATCTGCCTACAAAATGCCCATTATCAGTCCAATCTACCTGACGCCTTTTCTACTGAGCTTAATCTGCCTCCCCATGCATTTCCGTAAAGTAGGCAATGACAGCTATTATCATTACTTAGGCTTTTCTCTTTTGGATAGCTGCTTTATCCAACCTCCTATTCTCCAATTCACAATTGAATTGGAAACAGCGTGATCATCGGTAGAGAGTGTATTGGGGAAAAATATTCCATGCAGATATTGGATAAACAATTTTAAAATTTATTTTGCTGGTACTCAGACACCCATGCTTGTCAATTTTATGTTAGGAGACCAAACTTTTTTATCATTTAGGCAGAATCCAACTCCATCCTTCCCCATACCCCATTAATGAGTAATGCATTGGCCAGGCTTGGTGGCTCACGCCTGTAATCCCAGCACTTTGGGAGGCCGAGGCAGGTGGACCACTTGAGGTCAGGAGTTCGAGACCAGCCTGGTCAACATGGCGAAACCTTGTCTCTACTAAAAGTACAAAAATTAGCCCAGTGTGGTGACAAGCGCCTGTACACCCAGCTACTTGAGAGGCTGAGGCAGGAGAATCACTGGAACCCAGTAAACGGAGGTTGCAGTGAGCTGAGATGGCGCCACACGCCGCTGTACTCCCGTCTGGGCAATAGAGCAAGACTCTGTCTCAAAAAAAAAAAAAAAAAAAGCATTAAGTGTGTGTAGCATTCTCTATTGCTTCCCATTTCCACTCTTCCCACTTGATCCAGTCTCCTTCTTTGCTGATAGAGACTTGATTTGTAAGGATGTTTACTCTCCAATTTATTCATTAATCATAAATCCCTTCCTTCATCCAGGGTCAGCTTAATCATAATAAATTCAAGTATCACCCTCCATTCATGCACATGTGGCAAAATCTAGTCGGAAGGGTTTGTGGATATTTTCCTCCATAATAAAAGCATTGTTTTAAAAAGAGACGGCCAGGCATGGTGGCTCACGCCTGTAATCCCAGCACTTTGGGAGGCCGAGATGGGCAGATCACCTGAAGTCAAGTCAGGAGTTCGAGACCAGTCTGGCCAACATGGTGAAATCTCGTCTCTACTAAAAATACAAAAAATTTTCCAAGCGTGGTAGCAGATGCCTATAACCTCAGCTACTGGGGAGGCTGAGGCAGGAAAATCGCTTGAACCTGAAAGGCGGAGGTTGCAGCGAGCCGAGATTGTGCCAGCCACTACACTCCAGCCTGGGTGACAGAGCGAGACTCCACTAAAAAAAAAAGAGAGAGAGATTTGAAAATAGTTTGTCTTCAGCACTGACGCTCTAATATCTGCATGGGATTCCGGGAACTGCCCTAGTAAGCACACAGTCGTGAAAGAAACATCACCAAAAATCTCAGGAACAAAGGCAGAAACCACCCATGGCTTCAGTGATCCGGTTGAGCCACTGTATCAAGAAATCCTGGAATGGCCTACCTGTAGGGCATTTAAAAAGTAATTTTAGTTGGGTTGTATTTTACTTATAGCTACAAGCATCTGAATTGATCCCAAGCATTCCGCAGTCTGATTTGGGCAACAAGTTACGTGTTTCTCCTCCAAGTAGCCATAGATTCCTGGTTTCATGCACCAGCACCGCTTCTTTGACTTTTGGTAGAGTCCCCAGGTCAGGTGGGTGCTGGGGAGGCTCCAAGTAACCTCAAGACAAACATGAGATGGAATACCTCATCTCCCTAGTCAATTTTACTCAAATAGAAATTTTTTGAATGCAAAATACCGTGCAGAAACATATTACAATAACCAACGACCATAAATTACAATGAAACTTGATTCACTTCTGAATCACTATTTACTTTCAGCCCTTGTTTTCTTACATGGTATTTGGGACTCAGAGGCTTCATGGTTGCAGCAGGTGTAAGCATGCACACAGGATTTTTTTTAAACCCATCAGGGAACTAAGGTTACAGGGCAACCTGCCACCCTGAAATCCAGAGAGAAGGTTACTCCAGGGAGATACAGCATGTAAGACACAGAGAAAAAGCCACTGGGCACCCTAGGCTGGAGGAAGCCCTAAGAGCTCGCTTTAGACAGGAATACCGAAATCTCATCCCATCTTGGGGGAGGGAAGTGCACCCAGTCCAGCGTCACTCCAGCCTTCTTGTGTCATAAACTTGATGACCTAGATGAAATGAGGCAATTCTTTGAAAGACACCAACTGCCAAAACTCACTCAAGGAGAAATAGCTACCTAAAACACCAGCCCCCGATGCTTTCACTGGTGAATTCTACCAAATATATATATATATTTTTTTGAGATGGAGTCTCTCTGTGTCGCCCAGGCTGGAGTGCAGTGGCGCGATCTCGGCTCACTGCAAGCTCCGCCTCCCGGGTTCATGCCATTCTTCTGCCTCAGCCTCCCGAGTAGCTGGGACTACAGGCGCCTGCCACCATGCCCGGCTAATTTTTTGTATTTATTTTTATTAGAGACGGGGTTTCACTGTGTTAGCCAGGATGGTCTCGATCTCCTGACCTCGTGATCCACCCACCTCGGCCTCCCAAAGTGCTGGGATTACAGGCGTGAGCCACCACAACCCAGCCTCTACCAAATTTTTAAAAAGAAATAGTACAAATTAACACTTTTTTTTCTGGAAAGTTTGAGGTTGGAATACTGCTTAACTCATTTTATGAAGCTAGCATATTCATATGAACACTACCTGATTCATTTATGAAGCTAGCATTAACCAAAACCAGATAAAGACATTACCAAAAAAGGAGACTATGGAGAAATACCTCTGATTAATTGAGACACAAATCTCCCTAACATATTTTAACAAATCATATCCAGCAATATATAAGAGGAACAATATAATGTGACCAAATGGGGTTCATTCCAGGAAGGCAAGGCTGATTCAACATTTATAAATACTGATGTATATAATTTATCCTATTAACAGTATAAATAAGAAAAAATATGATCATGTCAATAGATGTAGAAGATATATTCAACAAAATTCAACACCCATTCATGATATACAGTCTTGAAAACTAGAAATAGCAGGGATCTTCCTTAACCTAATAAAGGGTTTATATGAAAAGTTTGCAGCTAATTTTATTCTAAATGACTAGAGAAAGAATGCTTTCCCTCTAAAATCAAGACCGCATGACATTGGTGAAAGAGTAGCCACATAGATCAATGGAGTAGAATAGAAAACTCATTAATGAATGAACACAAATATTGTCAATGGATTTGTGGCAAAGGTGCAAAGGCAATTCAGTGGTGAAAGAATACTTTTTTAACAAATGATGGTGGAAAAATTGGATGTCCGTATTCAAAAAGTGAACTTTGACACAGATCTCACATCTTACACAAAAAGTGACTCAAAGTGGATTATAGAACTAAATATAAAATGCAAAAGTACAAAACTCTTAGAGGAAAATATGGGATAAATTTTCATGGCTTTGAGTTTGTTGACAAATTTTTAGATATGATAAAAAATACAACCCACAAAAAAATTGATAAATTGGACTTTATTAAAATTATGTTTCCCTCTGTGAAATTAACTCTTGAGGGAATGAAGAAACAAGCTTCAACCTTGGAGGATATATTTGCACGTCACATATCTGATAAAGGACCTGTATCCAAAATACACAAAGAACTCTTACAATTCAGCAAATAAAAACAAATAACCAAACTCATAAATAAGCAAAAGAATACCTTATATAACATGTTCAAGACACCTGTAGATAGTGTACAGCAAGTCCTTGTTTTAGACTTTTTTCTTCATTATATTATTCACTATTTATACAATTCCCAAATAGGAGTGTCTAGGAGCTTTTCTCATGAAAAAGAGGGAAGTGATCTAAAATTACGAAACTGAAGCCTGAGACTAAGATTACACATTTTACACACATGCATATCACTATTTTTCATTCTAAAATGAGTGTTTTTCTATATCAGAGAAATTATATTCAATTCCATTTTGTAGGACTCTATAGCAGAGCCTCTCCGATATGAACCTGTTTAATTTGTATAATGTTGATAATTATTTTCCATTCACAATAACAACAACAAAGGCTTTTTACACTATATAGTTTTCAGCAACAAACTGCAGTCACTTCAGTGTCTAGCTCCGAGGTCTATGAAGTAGAGTTTATCGGGCCATCTAGTGGCCACTAGATCAACCAACAGTTTTTTGTATTTTCTGTTACTGTGAACAACTACAGGCTTCACTAAATTTACACTAAGTCTAAAAAAGCTAAAACTAGACCTCCCTGCAGACTGTCTACAACTGTCCTGAACATAACATAATTCATGACCCATATGTTTTGCTAATGTAACAATTGTATTGTATCTTTGTGGTATTGCACCTTACACGGGGCACCAGTTGAGGTATGGCGTCTTACCAGAGGGCATTAGCTGCGGGGGTTTGCCCGCAGACCCTGACCCAAAAGACGGATGAATAAAACGTACATTGACATACAGATACTTTGTTTCGCCAGTCCAGCTGAGCGTCCGACTGCCTGCACACCAGGAGAGGTTTGTCACTGCGGCTGGTCCTGAGCAGCTTGCACTTCAGGCATTTATTTAGTATACAATGAACAACAGAAGCTTTGAGTAAACACACTTGAGGATAATTAACATGGTTAAGAAAGTAGTTTTACAAATGATTAAAACTTAGGTACTACGGTTTAAAGTAAATACCATTAGGGGGCAATTTCCCTAGTTGACCTCCCCGCCCCTACCCCCACCCACAACCACCCAGAGGGCCATTTGGCTTAAAGATTAGTTAATGGAGGTAGGGTAAACAGAAGTAACTGGGGAATCCTCTATTGTTCCTAGTATTTACCCTATGACCTAGTGCTCTAAGGTAAGAACCGGCTGCCTTTAGCCTGTTCAATTATTACAAGCTATTTAAGCTTTTGGCCTTTCAAAAGATTTGTGATTATTTCCTATAACTTTCCCTAATATTCCCTTTAATATTTTTGCCATTATCCTAAGTGACTCACAACAGATCTTAATATAATTATTACATAAATGTATAATCCATATTTTTTAGACCTGATTAATTGAATGATTCAGTGGGATATATCAATTTTTCCTCTTTCCATTGTAATAAATCTTGTTTAAGTCACTAACATGTCTTGCCTGGAAGATTATTATCTCCTAACTGGTCCCTTGTCATCCTCTCTGGATTCTTAAAATTCATTCAACAAAGAGTAACTCAATCTTTTAAAGACCTGTGTATCATAGTAAGATCATGGATTTTCTCTGCTTAAAATTTTCCAATGAGGTTTCATCACAATTATAATGAAATGTGAACTCCTTTTCACTGTTTACACAGTCCTGTGGGATCTGGTCTCCACACTCCTCTTAAACTTCATTTCCTACCACTCTCCTCTCCATTCACTAGAAACCAGCTATATTATTTTTTGTCGTCGTTGTGTGTTGTTTCTTAAACACATTCTCCCAGACTTTGGGCTTTGGGTGTGTTGTTTGTCTAACTGGAATAATTGGTGCCCACATACCTACATGGGTTGCTTCTTCTCTAAAACCATGGGTGGTTGCAGACCAAATACCATGTCCTCAAAAATGTATTCCTTCTTAGTTACTCAGAAATTAAACACCAGCTGCAATCAAAGAAACTCGCAAATCTCAGTGGCTTAGTTATATATTACATTATATTAATCATGTAAACTTCAGTATGGGTAAAGGGGAGTGAAGACTGAGAAGTTCTGTTCCATGAACCATTCAAGGACTCACTCGGGCACCGATCCTTTTATGACTTGGCTCTCTTCCTGGTTCTCAGAATCCATGCCGTTCACCTGTCAGAGAAAGTAAAAGAGTGTGGAGGATTATGTCAGAGATTTTTATAAACTGTATTTGGGAGTGGAGTACTTTATTTCTACCTATATTAGTTGGAATTCAGTCACATGACCTCAACTAACTGCAGCTAGGGATGGTATATGTGGGGCAGCTGTGTGCCCAAGAGAAAACAGGATTTGATGCGATCACAGCGTTCTCCTCTGCCATGGTAGCCCTTGTGTTTATCAAATATCCACTTTACACTTCCTTTTAAATGTTGAACACACTCTCCCTAGAGGAGACAATCCAAAATTCACCTACGTATTGAATCCAGCTCAAAGTTCAGGATTTCAGAATTATACTCAGCCTTCTCCACCAAGTTCTGCCGTGGTTTGTCAAGGTCAGGGACCCAGGAACTAAAAAGATAAGTTATGTTTCAAACAGCCAATAGGGGGAAGCAAAAAATAACCATAATGAGAATTCTCGTTTGGAAACGAAAAGGAGGCACATTACCGTTATGGACTCACAGGAATTACGGAATCTTGCTGGTACTTGATGATGTGTCTGTGAAGCAAGTGGGAATTAGTATTCCAGAAGAGCAAATACATGGGATAGAATTTTAGTTGCCACCTTTTCAGGTAAGATGGGATAGAAATGGAGTCCCTGAAATAAGAAGTATGTTTCTGTACATTTCAATACTGAACCAAGAAAGGACATGTGGCTTGATGATACGTTGAAATATTTATCTGGGTGTTTCACATTTTTCCTCTCCCTCTTCCCATGTGTACTCTGAGGGTCAGACCACTTGCAGACATGAGTCACCTACTTTGAAGGAGCAACCAGAACTCTGACTCCAAAGAGTAAAACTTGATAACGGAAAAGACAGTGAAAAGAAATATTCTGTTTCACACTTACAGAGTTAGTTTTAAAATGGTCCTAAGAGGTGAAGAGAACATGCTGATGGAAGAAAGAACGGAATGGATAAAATTTGATCTCGAGAGGTGAGGTTAAAGCTGAGGTTGATGGTAGGATACAAATGGATGTTCTTTTACAGCACAAATCATTTTTATAGCAGGATCCTGACTCAGTGCTCAGGTCTGTTTCTCCTGGAACTTTCTCTTGGGAGAAGTCAACCCATCAGCCATTGAGCATCTTATGCTTATCTGTCCTTCCTTGTTTGTATCCAATGATTCTGGACACTTGTAGATAATTCTAGGACCAAGGGTGAGTTATTTGAATACAGTGGGAGATGATAGCAGAATAAGCACCTAGTCACAGTCAGTTTAGAATGACTCTTATAGAAAGTAGACTCTGATTCAGCATGAAGAAAAATCTATAAAGCAAATGGAAAACAAAAAAGGGGCAGGGTTGCTATTCTTCTTTCAGATAAAACAGTCTTTAAAACAGCAATGATCATGAAACACAAAGAAGGGCATTACATAATAATAAAGAGTTCAATTCAATGAGAAGATTTAATTGTCCTAAATATATATGCAACCAACACTGGAACATCCAGATTAAAAAAACATTTTGTTAGAGACCTGAGAAGACAATTAGATATCCATACAATAATAATGGGAGATGTCAACGCCCCACTGACAGTATTAGATAGATTATAGAAGCAGAAAACTCACAAAGTTATTCAGGACCTAAAACTCGACACTTGGCCAAATAGACCTAACATAACAACAACAGAATATACATTTTTCTCAGCTGCCCATGGCATATACACTCTATAATCACTCACACACTCAGCCACAAAGCAATTCGCAACAAATTCAAAATAAATGAAATCATCCCAACCACATGGTCAGACACAGTACGGTAAAAATAGAAATCAATACCAAGAAGATCTCTCAAAATCACACGATTACATGGAAATTAAAAAATCTACTACTGAATTTGGGTAAACAATAAAATTATGGCAAAAATCAAGACATTTTTTGAAACTAATGAAAACACAGATACAACATACCAGAATATCTGGGACACAGCTAAACAGTGTGAAGAGGAAAGTTTACAGCATTAAATGACTACATGTAAAAGTTAGAAATACCTCAAATTAACAAACTAAAATCACACCTAAAGGAACTAGAAAAGCAAGAGCGAACTGATGACAAGGGTAACAGAAGAAAATAAATAACCCAAATCAGAGCTGACCTGAATGAAATGTAGATGAGAAAAACCATGTAAAACATATCAAAGAAACCAAAAGCATGTTCGTTAAAATAATAAATAAGATTGGTAGACTGCTAGCTAGACAAAGAAAGTAAAAAGATCCGAATAAACACAATAAGAAATGACAAAGAGGACATTACTACTAATCCCAAAGAAATACAAAAAGTCCTCAGAGGCTATTATGAACACCTTTATGTACACAAACTAGAAAACCTAGAGGAAATGGTTAAATTCCTGGAATTGAATCTGGAAGAAATTGAAAACCTGAACATACCAATAATAAGTTTCAAAATTGAATCAGTAATTTAAAAAATACCAACCCCAAAAAGTCCTGGACCAGAGAGATTCACAGCTGAATTGTATCAGACATATAAAGAGATTCAGTAGTATCAATACTACTGAAACTATTCCAAAAAATAGAGGAGGAGGGACTCCTCCCTAACTCATTCTGTGATGCCAGCATTATTCTGATATCAAAACCTGGTAGAGACACAATGAAAAAAGAAAACTTCAGGCCAATATCCCTGATAAACATAGATGTAAAAATCCTCAACAAAATATAAGCAAAATGAATCCAGCAGCACATCAAAAGGATAATCCACCACAATCAAGTAGGCTTTATTCTTGGGGTGCCAAGTTGGTTCAACAGATGCAAATTTTAAAAAATGTGATTAATCACATAACCAACTAGAAACAAAAAACACATGATTATTTCAACAGATGTAGAAAAGACTCTCACTAAAATTCAACATCCCTTTATGTTAAAAGCCCTCAATCAACTAAGCATCGAAGGAACATACCTCAAAATAATAAGAACCATCTGTGACAAACCCACAGCCAACATCATACTGAATGGGCAAAAGCTGGAAGCATTCCCCTTGAGAACTGGAACAAAACAAGGATGCCCACTCTCACCATTTCTATTCAACATAGTACTGGAAGTCCCAGCTAGAGCAATGAGGAAAGAGAAAGCAATAAAAGGCTCCAAATAAGAAGAAAAGAAGTCAAACTATCTCTCTTCACAGATTGTATGATTCTATACCTAAGGAAACGCCATGTTATCTGTCCAAAGCTTCCTAGGTCTCATAAACAACTTAAACAAAGTTTTAGGATACAAAATCAATGTACAAAAATCAGTAGTATTTTTATATACCAATAACATCCAATCTGAGAGCCAAATCAACAACACAATCCCCTTCACATTAGACATACAAAAAATATAATATATATAGAAATCCAGCTAACCAGGGAGGTGAAAGACCTTTACAACACGAATTAAAAAACACTGCTGAAAGAAATCAGAGACAACACAAATGGAAAAACATTTCATGCTCATGGATAGGAAGAATCAATATTGTTAAAATGGCCATACTACCCAAAACAATTTATAGATTCAATGCTTTTCCTATCCAACTACCGAGGACATTTTTCACAGAATTAGAAAAAAACTATTCCAAAATTCATATGGAACAGAAAAGAGCCCAAATAGCCAAGGCAATCCCAAGCAAAAAGTACAAAGCTAGAGGCATCACTCTACCCAACTTCAAACTATACTGCAAGGCTACAGTAACCAAAACATCATGGTACTGACACAAAAACAGATACAAAGATCAACAGAACAGGTTAGGGAATCCAGAAATAAAGCCATATACTTATTTTTACAAATGTGAGAAAATATTTACAAAATATGCATCCAACAAAGGCCCAATATCCAGAGTCTATAAGGAACTTAAGCAAATCAACATGTTAAAAACAATCTCATTTAAAAATGCTGAAAGAACATGAACAGACATTTCTCAAAATAAGACATACACGTGGCCAGCAAGGATATGAAAAACTGCTCAACATCACTAATCATCAAAGAAATACAAATTAAAACATCAATGACATACTATCTCATACCAGTCAGAATGGCTATTATTAAAAAGTAAAAAAAACAAACAAACAAAAAAAAGCACATGTTGATGATGTTGCAGAGAAAAAGGATGGCTATTGAGGATATAAATTAGTTCAGCCATTGTGGAAAGCAGTTTGAAGATTTCTCAAAAAGCTTAAAACAGAACTACCATTGGATCCAGCAATCCCATTACTGAGTATATACCCAAAAGAATATAAATTTTTTTACCATAAAGGCATATGCATGTGTATGTTCATCATAACACTATTCACAATACAAAGACATGGAATCAACCTAGATGTCCATCAACTGTGGACTGGATAAAGAAAATGTGGTACATATACACCATGGAATACTATGCAGCCATAAAAAAGAACAAGATAATGCCCTTTGCAGCAACATGGATGGAGCTGGAAGTCATTATCCTAAGCAAACTAACACAGCAGCAGAAAACCTCATGTTCTCAATTATAAGTGGTAGCTAAACATTTAGTACATATGGACACAAAAAAAGGAACAATAGACATCAGGACCCACTTAAAAGTGGAGGGTGAGAGGAGGGTGAGAATTGAAAAACTACCTATCAGTTACTATGCTCATTAATTGGATGTCAAAGTAATCTGTACACCAAACCCCTGTTACACATAATTTACCCATTCAACAAACCTGCACATGTACCCCTTGAACCTAAAATAAAAGTTGGAAAGAAAAAAAAAAGGACCCTCTGATTCAGGAAAGGGGTGCATACATGGTCCATGCTATATAGGACATGCCATAACTGTTGGAGTTCTCTGATATGTAGTTGTCTTTCCTACTAGGCTATAAGCTCTATGATGGCAAAAGTAGTGTCTCCTTTCCTCATTATTTATTCCTCAGCTCTTAGTGCAGTGCCTGACTTATAGTAAGTTCTCAATAAAATGTGTTGAATAAATGAATAACTTTCCAGTAGCCATTTATTGCTCAACTCAATGAGAGTCAGGCATCAAAGCCTGTACATTTTCTGTGTTTGTACCAGGTCGGAGACAAATGTTTATGAAACATAGATGAAGTCCCTAGAACCTTCTTCAGAAATAATGAATTGTGTTAAGGTTTTTGTGCCCCAGATCTTCAAGTTGACCATAAAGATTCCACCGTGTCTAACAATTAACCCAACTTCACCATCTAGGATAGACCATTTGGTGGTTAGAGGGTGGTGGGTATCGATTCTTGGCAACCAAAGCCTAAAGTTTATGCCTCAACTGAGCTTTGAGGGAGCAAATTACATGATATAGACTTATGTACTATGCCTTCATCCTTTGTATTGGCAGCAATCCTTAGATAAGCGAGATGGCTTTTAAGTGAAAAGTCACCTAAGGACATGAATAGCATAAGGTACATGGTGAGCAAAACGACTTGATCTACGTATTTTGGAGTTCCCGGACTAGTAGGGGTGGGAAGGAAGACAGAGTAATAGGTAGGTAGACAATATAATGCAATCATAATATGATATAAGTTTAATGATACTGAAAGTACAATGGATTATAGAATCACAAATCAGCAATAGTTAATCAGTTTAAGAAGGTTAGGAAATGCTATCCAGCAGAAATGTCACTAAAATTGAAACTTGGCCAAATGAGTGTTAAAATACTGGGGATCAGATGTTCCAAACAGGAGAGCATGGATGAAGGCCCAGAGAAGAGAGAGATCATAGGGCATGGGTGGGAAGAAATGGGGGCGAGGAGAAGGCAGGGAAAGATCAAGAATGATAGGAATGATGTACTTCGGTGAAAGTATGGTGCATTTAAAGAACTGCGATAAGATCATTGTTGCTAAAGCTTCATGTGTGCTTGCATTCGTGTGTGTGCATACACGTGCGTATTCATGAGAAGGGGTTGGATATAGACAACAGTACATCTGGAAACACGAAGAAATAATACAATGAAAGAGAACATGCATTATAGTAATAGGTTTGGCCTTTGTTCATTCTAATAGCAACAGGAAGCCTCTGAAGGTTTTAATCAAATTTGCTTTTTGGGAGAGATAAAATAACAACCTTCTCTTCATTCTCCTTAAGTCGTTCCATCTTTTAGTGCTCCTTTTGTCTGGTTAAAAACTCTAGGGCTTAAGTGTAATTGATTTGGAAAAATCACCAATGAGTGTCAGTGTCATTTGGGGGCTTTGAAAGTAACCAAGAGCTTGCATGCATAGCTTCGTTAAGACCATTCGCACTAGGCTGGGTTGCCTTTGATGCCTTTGTATGGGTTCAGATTCTTAGAAAGAGAACTATCTATGGTTCATAAAGGAGACCCTTTCCTTCACTATGCTTAGGGTGAAAGTGCATCCCTCCCCTTCCCTTCCAGAGTCAGCAGACAATTAGGAAAACAAATTAACCATTCTCTCCACCAACCGCTAAATCAGCTTAAACTGAGCTGAAGCAAAAGTGACTAAGAAGCAGTGGTCATAAGAGGTGGTATAAAAGCCACTTGGTGACCAGAATCCCATTATGCAACAAGGCGAAGTGGGGGCAGACAAGGAGAGGGCAGGCACCCTGGATATAGCATTTTGAGGGAGGTGACTGTGGCAAGGGACAGAGAAAATGCGAGTTACAAGATGATGAAACCATCCCATGAGACTGCCTCTCAGATATGGGACGTGGGAGTGTGCTAATGAGACTGAAACGCACAACCCATAGTTTCTGTCCCAGATTCCAAATTTTACATCTCTTTGTGGTAACTGGCAGAACTCTACAGAAAATCGAAGTAGAAATATTCTTTGTGGTTTATTAGCTATTTGGTTTGTAGAGGGAAGGTGAGACATTATCAGTACCTGTAATGGGAATGGTGAGCTCCACTCCATGGCTGTTGCATGGCAGGAGGCTACATCCAAAACATGTCCTTCTGGGCAGAGAGAAGGCAGGCACCCTGGATACAGCATTTCAAGGGAGATGACTGTGGCAAGGGACACTGGTTACTTTTCCACCTGGATAACTGTAAGCCTACTCCAAAACATTCTATTCCTACATTCCCAGGACAGAGGGTCCTTCTCCTTAGGTTACAAAGATCATCCTGACTTGGGTAAAGTGAATGAATTGTGGTGGGGATAATTAAGACGGCAGGGGAGCCAGACGCAAGCTGTTGCAACAATCCAGTAGTGAGCAGAAGCCGGCTAAACGAAGACAGTGGCAGTGGGGTGGAGAAAAAAGGCAGAATTGGAGAATTCAAGAAGTCAGAACTTGCTAATTACCTTGCACTCCAGGTCAAGGCTGACATAGGGAAATGATGATAGAGCCAAGGTTTCTGGCTTGAGGAACTGGATGAGGAATGGATGTTTTTAAGTGGAAAAGTGAAGAAAGACAGGGAGATCTTGAGATGGCAGAGAAGGGATAAATTCCATTTGTGATATTGACATTTGCATTGCATATCCAGGAAATAATGTCACACAGGTAGATGTGGTTGTCTTTTGTTGTTGTTATTTGTTTGTTTATTGCTTCATTCCGGACAGTATTTTAGGTGTTCCAGAAAGCATTCATACATATGGTTGTGGATTTAGCTCCAAATGTGAGTGGATAGAAAAATATGGGAGTCAGCACAGACAGTGGATGAAACCCTGCATGGGACTGAGACGCTGAAGGCTGAGTAGATGGACAAGAAACAAGCCAAGGATGAGGACTCTAGAAAGCATCCCAGTCCAGGCAGGCAGTGGAAGAAAGACCTACAACAGAGAAAATTCGAAAACAAGATTCAAAAGAACCACAGAGGCACTGGGAAAACGTGATGGTAAGGAATCCAGGCAGAGAGACAATCAAGCACTGCACACAGATTTAGATGGTGATAGAAAGTCATGAATCGGGTTTAGCAGAAATAAGGTACTAGAAGGGGAATTTGATAAGAGTGATATAAGAAAAAGAAAACATGAAGAAATGGAAGCGAGGGTCTAGAAATTAATTCTAAATAGGGGACTGGTAGAGGGTAATCGAGGGAAATAGATGGAAGACAAGCAGAAGTGAGTGCGTGTGTGTGAAAAAGAATGTGTGTGTTTGTATGTGTTTGTGTTTGTGTGTGTAAAATTGTGTTCGCTTGTGTGCAAGTGTGTTCACACATGTTTGTGTGTATAGGTTTAAATTTGTGCGTTTGTGTGTATGCATGTGTCAATATGTGTGTTTGTGTTTGTTGGTGTGTATTTAAGTGTGTGTGACTTGTGACTGTGTATCTGTGTACACGTGTGAGTGTGTATAACTGTGTATGTACACATGTTAATGTGTTTGTATGTGAAACTGTGTGCACTTGTATGTGTTCTTGTGTGTTTCAGTGTTTTGTGTTTGTGAGTTGTGGCTTATGTGTTTGTGTGACTGTGTGACTTCTGGTGTGTCTCTGAAAGGGTGTTTTTCATATGTACAGTGAATGTGTATTTTGTGTGTGTTTGTGTGTACATGAGTATGTATATGTGTGTGAGTGTGTGAAAGTATGTAACTATGTGTGTGATTATGCTTTTGTGTGTGTATGTATTCATGTTAATATGTGTTGTGTGTGAAAGTGTGAGCACTTTGTGGTCCTGTGTGTGTCTATGTTTCTGTGTGTGTGTTCGTGTTTTGTATGAATGTGTGTGGCTGTGAATTTTTGTCTGTGTGTGAAATAGTGTTTTGTGTGAGTGTACACGTGTGCCAAAGTGTATTTATGTTTATGTGATTGTGTGTAACTGTGTGTGACTATGTGTGTGTAAGTGCACATGTACTAATGTGTGTGTTTCTGGGTAAAAGTGTGCACTTGTTTGTGTGTTAGTTTGTGTTTGTGTGTGAATGTGTGTTAGTGTGTTGGTGTATGTGACTGGGTGACGGTGTGAAAGGGTGTTATCTGCATGTACACTGCATGGATTGGTGTGTTTGCGTGTGAATGTTTTTGTGTGTGGTGTGCTTTTGTGTTTGTGTGTATGTATGTGAGTGTATGTTTGAGTGTTCGTGTGTCTGTGTGTCTGTGTGAAAGGGTATCTGTGTGTTTGTATGTGAATGTGTTTCTATGTGGTGTGTTTTTGTATTTGTGTTTGTGTATGCAAGTGTTTCTGTGTCAGTGTGTACACGTAAGTGAGTGTGTGTTTCTGTGTACATGTGTTTTTGTGTGAGGGTGTGTCTCTGTTCACATAGGCACTTGGAGTAAATATAGAGGTCACCTGCTTGAATCTTGCTCTACCACTCATCAGTGACATTGTAGCATTGGAGACTTTTTTTTCACTTAATTTTTTGTTTTAATTTTAGGTCCAGGGTTATTAATATATGTGCAGGTTTGTTATATAGATAAGCTCATGTCACAAGCGTTTGTTGTACAGATTATTTCATAGTCCAGGTACTAAGCCTAGTGTCCAAAAGTTATTTATTTATTTATTTATTTTTGTTTATTTATTTTTTGAGATGGAGTCTCCCTCTGTCACCCAGGCTGGAGTGCAGCGGCGCGATCTCACCTCACTGCAAACTCTGCCTCCCGGGTTCAGGCCATTCTCCTGCCTCAGCCTCCCGAGTAGCTGGGACTACAGGCGTCTACCACCACACCTGGTTAATTTTTTGTATTTTTAGTAGAGACGGGGTTTCACCATGTTAGCCAGGATGGTCTCGATTTCCTGACCTCGTGATCCGCCCACCTAGGCCTCCCAAAGTGCTGGGATTACAAGCGTGAGCCACCGTGCCCTGCCCAAAAGTTATTTTTTCTGATCCCCTCCCTCCTGTCACCTTCCCCCCTCAAGTAGGCCCCAGTCTCTGCTGTTCCCCTCTTTCTGTCCATGTGTCCTCATAATTTAGCTCTTACTTATAAGTGAGAACATGTGGTACTTGGCTTTCTGTTTCTGCATTAGTTCGCAAAGGATGGTGGCCTCCAACTCCATCCATATTCCTGCAATAGTCATGATCTTGTTCTTTTTTATAGCTGTGTAGTATTCCATGGTGTATATGTACCACATTTTCTTTATTGGAGACTTAAACTTATTCACAATTATGTCATAAATAAAATTAATCTGACAATAGCTACCTCACTATGATGATTTTAAAAGTTATAGCCAGCCGGGCGCAGTGGTTCACACCCGTAATCCCAGCACTTTGGGAGGTGATGCGGAGGGATCACGAGGTCAGGAGATTGAGACCATCCTGGTTAACATGGTGAAACCCCGTCTCCACTAAAAATACAAAAATTTAACCAGGTGTGGTGGCAGGCGCCTGTAGTCCCAGCTACTCGGGAGGTGGATGCAGGAGAGGGGCGTGAACCCGGGAGGCGGAGGTTGCAGTGAGCGGAGATCGCGCCTCTGCACTCCAGCCTGAGCAACAGAGAGAGACTCCATCTTAAAAAACAAACAAACAAAAAAAACAGTTATTGCCTAGAGTTTCTAAAATTCTACTGCATTTTTGTGTTCTTTCAAGTCTGCTAAAATTAAGAACTTCCTACAATTTCCAGGCAAGATCTTTGTTAAGATTCTTTGAAATAACTGAGAACTATTTCAGGAAAGCAAGGGTTAGGGGCCATAGAAGAGGGCTTTATTCTCCTTGATTCTCTTCAAAATGCAGTGCCACACAACTCATTCATTCAAGTACTCATTTATTAAGTAAATATTTATATATTTTATGCTGTGTTCTGGGAACGACTCCGGGAGATTTGATATATAAAATGATCAAAACATAAAAAGTAGTACCTGCATGGAGCTTACATTCTATTAGAAAAGCCAAAAAATTAGCAATATAGATAAACCTATAAATTATATAATACTTTAGAAAGTAATAATGCACTATAGAAAAAGAAAAAGCTAGATCAAGGCAAAGTAGATCAAAGTTTCCAGGAAGAGCTGCAATTTTATGTGGAACGGCCAGGGAAGGCTTGAATGAGATCAAATCATTTCAACAACGACCCCAGGATGGTGAGGTCATTAACAATATGCACCGTGCAGAGGGAAAGCCAGTGTACACGCCCGAAGGCTGAAGAATGTCCGGTGTTCAAAGAACAACAGAAGGCCATCGTGACTGAAGTGCTTTTAAAGAGGAAGAGGTGGTAGGAGATGAGGTCAGTATGTGGTAATAAAGCATTGCAAGGATTTTAGCTTTGAGATTGAGAGCTGTTGGAAGGTTTGACCAGAGGAGTCGTAAGACTTGGGTTTTGAAATAATCGCTATGCTTGCCCCACTGATGATAGACTGTAACAGCACGATAGTGGAAGCAGGGAAATTTCTTTCTTTCTTTCTTTCTTTTTTTTTTTTTTTTTTTTGAGACAGAGTCTGGCTCTGTCGCCCAGGCTGGAGTAAAGTGGCGCGATTTTGGTTCACTGCAAGCTCCGCCTCCCGGGTTCACGCCATTCTCCTGCTTCAGCCTCCGGAGTAGCTGGGACTACAGGATCCCGCCACCAAGCCCGGCTAATTTTTTTTGTATTTTTAGTAGAGACGGGGTTTCACCGTGTTAGCCAGGATGGTCTCGATCTCATGACCTCGTGATCCGCCCGTCTCAGCCTTCCAAAGTGCTGGGATTACAGGTGTAAGCCACCGCGCCCAGCCGGGAAATTTCTTTAAAACTACTGCAATGATGTAGGCTAGAAATGATGGTGGCTTTTTACCAGAGTGACAGGAATGAAGGTTTTGAGAAAGTGGCTATATATATATTATATATGTGTGTTTAGATATATATGTATATGTATATATAATGTAGAGCCTGCAAAATTTCCTACCAGCCTCCATAGATTATGCACACAAAAATAAATCACCTTATGACAAATGCAAGGGTCTGAGCAATTGGAAAGATGGAGTTGCCACCAATTGAGATGCGGAAAGTTATTGCTGATGGAACAGTTTTTGAGGGACTCATGGGGCACAAAGTGTTCTTCTTCGGACTTTTAAAGGTATCAGACATCCATTAGACATGTTAATAGAGATGCTGAATGGACAGTTGGGCATATAAGTGAAACTTAGGAACTTAGGAGGAAGGTTTGTACTAGAGATATAAATGTTGGTATCATCAACATATAGATGTTATTTAAAGCCATATAACTTGATGAGGTCATCGAGGGAGTGACTGTCGGTAGAGCAGAGCAACAGGGATGAAACCCTGGATGCACTTTTCATTAGGAAGTTAACTTACAGAGGAGATATCTACAAAAAAGGAGGAAGGAGGAACCAGAGGTAAGAGAAGCACCGAGGGGATGAGGGGTTTCTAGAAGCCAAAGGAAGAGGTATGTCATTGAAGAAGACACCATCAGATGTGTCACATACTGTGGGTAGCAAAGCAAGATGAAGACTGAGAATGGACCATTGGATTCAGCAACATGGAGATCATCCATGAACTTAGTAAGGGAAGCTCCAATAGAGGTGAGTGGTGAAAGCCAGAGTGGAGTGGCTTTAAGAGAGGACAGAGTCTGGGTGCGGTGGCTCACGCCTGTAATCCCAGCACTTTGGGAAGCTGAGGTGGGTGGATCAAGTGGTCAGGAGATCGAGACCATCCTGGCTAACACAGTGAAACCCCGTCTCTACTAAAAATAAAAAAAAAAAAAAATTAGCTGGACGTGTTGGTGGGCGCTTGTAGTCCCAGCTACTCGGGAGGCTGAGGCAGGAGAATGGCATGAACCCCGGAGGCGGAGCTTGCAGTGAGCTGAGATGGTGCCACTGCACTCCAGCCTGAGTGACAGAGTGAGACTCCATCTCAAAAAAAAAAAAAAAAAGAGAGAGAGAACAGAAAGCTGAATTGGAGATAGTGAGTATACACAATGTTTTGGAGAGTTTCACTTTAAAGAGAATCAAAGATATGGGGCAATGGCTGATAATAGAACTATGGTTAAAAGGTTTTTACTGTTGAGATAAGAAATACCAGCACAAGCACTATTTACAATAGCAAAGAATTGGAACCAACCTAAATGCCCATGAATGATAGACTGGATAAAGAAAATGTGGCACATATACCACATATACACTATGGAATACTATGCAGCCATAAAAAAGAATTTCACCGAGCACAGTGGCTCACGCCTGTAATCCCAGCACTTTGGGAGGCTGAGGTGGGTGGATCACGAGGTCAGGAGTTCCAGACCAGCCTGGTCAATATGGTGAAACCCCGTCTTTACTAAAAATACAAAAATTAGCTGGGTGTGGTGGTCTGTGCCTGTAGTCCCAGCTACTCAGTAGGCTGAGGCAAAAGAATCGCCTGAACCCAGGAGGCGGACGTCGCAGTGAGCCGAGATCATGCCACTATACTCCAGCCTGGGCAACAGAGCAAGACTCTGTCTCAAAAAAAAAAAAAAAAAAAAGAATAAGTTTATATCCTTTGCAGGGACGCGGAAACCATCATTCTCAGCAAACTAACACAGGAACAGAAAACCAAACACCGCATGTTCTCACTCATAAGTGGGAGTTGAACAGTAAGAACACATGGACACAGGGAAGGGAACATCACACACCAGGGCCTGTCGGGGGGTGGGGGACAAGGGGAGGGAGAGCATTAGGACAAATACCTAATGCATGCAGGGCTTAAAACCTAGATAACGGGTTGATAGGTGCAACAAACCACCATGGCACAGGTATACCTAGGTAACAAACCTGCACGCTATGTACATGTACCCCAGAACTTAAAGTAAAAATTAAAAAAAGAAATTCCAGCACAGTTTTATGTTCATGAGAATATTTTAATTAAGTGTGATACATTAATAATATATAGAGAGAGGGGAGAATTACTGAAGGCTACCACTGGATATGCAAGAAGGGTTGGGAACTAATAGACCAGTGCAAGGAATGGCATTAAATACAAATTTTTACAGTGTGTCTGTGTCCTCAACCTGTGGTGTGGGTATCACTGAAGTCTGTGAACCCTTCCCTCTAATCAATCTGCTGATATTTAGGTATAAGTAATGCTTTATAAAGTTCCTGAAAGTTATTTATTTTGCTCTATGGGATCTCCTTTAGCTCTTGTCTTAATCCATTCAGGCTGCTATAACAGAATACCATAGACTGGGTGGCTTATAAGCAACAGACATTTAGTTCTCATAGATTTGTAGGCTGGGAAATCCAGGGTCAAGGTGCTGGCAGATTTGGTGTCTGCTGAGGGCCTGCTTCCTGGTTCACCAATGGCTGTTTTTACGCTGTGTCCTCACATGGAGGAAAGGGTGAAAGAGCTCTCCAAGGTTCCTTTTATAAGGGCACTAATCCCATTAATGAGGCTCCACCCTCATGATCTAATCACCAGCAAAAAGCCCCTCACCTTCTAGTACCATCACCTTGGGGTTAGGTTTCAACAAATCAATTTTGGGAAAACACAAAGATTCTGACCATAGCAGTTCTCGTTTGGCCTATTTGTGTGTATGTACATATATTTACTTCCAGCCTCCATCTGTTTCCTGTAAAGTTTCCATTCCATTATGAGATGTCAGTTATAAGAATCATCCTCGCTCATCATCGTGGTGGCATCATTTCCACCATGATCACCTTTCACCCTCTCTCTGTGCACCAGCTGTCTCACCTTACGGTGGTTCCCCAAAAACACCATGCGTCCTTCAGTCACAGACACTTTTCACATGCTGCTGTTATCCTGGCTAATGCCTTCATAGCCTTGAGATCTGAAGTGATCTGCTCAGGGAAGCTTTCCTCATCTGTCTGGTGAAAATAAGTCACCCTGTGTTCACTTTTTATTGTTCTTGTTGTTGTAAAGATTTATTTTTATTGTTCAACAGTAAATTGACAAATTATATATATTTATGGAATACAAAGGAATGTTATGATGCTTAAATACAATGTGAAATAATTAAATGAAACTTAATAACGTGTGTATCAGCCCACATACCCGTTTTTTGTGGTGAGAACATTTGAAATTGACTCTCAACGGTTTTGAAGTGTACTCTACATTTTCATTGGCTGTATTCACCATGCTGTGCAATACATTCCAAAGAAAATAAAACTTACTTGTCCAATCTAAATGAGGCTTGATACCCTTTGACCGTTATCTCCCTACTAACTCTATCCCTTCATCCTCTGGTAACCACCATTCTTCTCTCTACTTCTTTGATTGTTTTATATTCCATATATGAGTGAGGTAACACAGTATTTGTCTTTCTTCTTGGCTTATTTCATTTAGTATAATGTTCTCCAATTCCGTCTATGTTGTCACAAATGACAGAATTTCTTTCTTAAGGTTTAATAATGTTCTATTGGGTATATATACCACGTTTTCTTTTTTCCCCACATTTTCTTTATTCATTCATCTGATGATGGACCCTTAGGTTGATTTCATAACTTGGCTTTGGGAAATAGTGCTGCAACAAACATGGAAGTGCACATACCTCTTTAACACACTGATTTTAAATTGTGGGGGTATATATCCAGAAGTGAGATTGCCGGATCATATGATAATTCTATTTTTAGTTTATTTTTCCATAATGGCTGTTCTAACTTTCATTCCCACCAGCAGTGCATACAGGTTCCCTTTCCTCGACACCCTCCCCAACACGAATTGTTCATTGTTTTGACAATAACCATTTTAACACGTGTGAGGTGATATTTCATTGCAGATTTTATTTGCATTTCTGATGATTAGTGGTGTCAAACACTTCTTCATATATCTGTTGATCATTTTTATGTCTTCTCTTGAGAAATGTCTATTTAAGTAATTTCTCTATTTTTAATAGGGTTATTTGTTTGTTTTTCTGTAGAGCTGAGTTCCTTATATATTTTGGATATTAACCCCTTATCAGATGTATGGCTTTCAAGTATTTTCTCCCAAACAATAGGTAGTTTTTTTACTCTATTAATTGTTTCCTTTGTTTTGCAAAATCTTTTTATTTTGATGTAATGACATTTGTCTATTTTTGCTTTTGTTGCCTGTGATTTTGGGGTCAAATCCAAAAACTCATTGCCCAGACCAATGTTGTGTAGCTTTTCCCTTATGTTTTCTCTTAGTAGTTTTAGAATTTCAGGTCTTATGCTTAAGTATTTAATCCAATTTGAGTTTATTTTTGTACAGGGTGTGAGATAAGGATCCAACATTCTTATGAATGTGAATATGCACTTTTCCCAACACCACTTATTGAAGAGACTGTCCCTTTTCCAATATGTATACTTGGCACCTTTGTTAAAAATTTATTGACTACATATGCATGTATTCTTTTCTGGGTTTTATCTTCTATTCTATTGGTTGATGAGTCTATTTTCTTTTTCTTTTCTTTCTTTCTTTTTTTGAGATAGAGTCTTGCTCTGTCACCCAGGCGGGAGTGCAGTGGTGTAATCTAGGCTCACTGCAGCCTCTGCCTCCCGGGTTCAAGCAATTCTCCTGCCTCAGTTGCCTGAGTAGCTGGGATTACCGGCATGTGCCACCATGCCTGGCTAATTTTTGTATTTTTTGTAGAGACGGGCTTTCACCATGTTGGTCAGGCTGGTCTCAAACTCCTAACCTCATGATCTTCCTGCCTCAGACTCCCAACGTGCTGGGATTACAGGCGTGAGCCACTGCACCCAGCCAACGAGTCTATTTTCATGCCAGTATCACACTGTTTTAATTACTATTGCTTTGTAGTGTAGTTTTAAATCATGCATGTGGTTGGTGCCTCCAGCTTTCATCTTCTTACTCATGATTCCTTTGGCTATTCAGAGTTTGTTGTGGTTCCACATTAATTTTATATTTTTTTCTGTTACTATGAATAATTACATTACAATTTTGTTAGAAATTGCTTTGAGTCTATAAGTCATTTGGGGTAGTATGGACATTTTAGCAACATTATTCTTCCAATCTATGAACACAGAATATCTTCCAATTTATTTGTGTCTTCTATAATTTTTGTTATTAACATTTTTCAGTGTACAGGTCTTTCACCTTCTTGGTTAAACTTATTTCTAAATATTTTATTTTTTGAAGCTGTTGTAAGTAAGATTGTTCTCTTGTTTCTTTTTAGAATGTTTGTTGTTACTATGTGGAAATACTGAGCTCCTTAGTCTCCTCTGCCACCAGATCTAGCTTCAGAATGTAGACAATGTCTTGAGGGAGAAATTAGCTGCAACAATTCATTTCCAACTTTGTCTTTCTAAATCCATGCATGTGACTGCCAAATTCTGTGGGGAATTCTCTGATCCCTGTCAGTGGCTCACCGCTTCCAGCCTGAAACATCACTCAACAAATATCTCTGAAAAAAGAGCAACAGTATATCATTAATACATCTTCGCAAGTTGTTTTTGTCTTCAGAATTTTAACTCTTACAGTTTTTGTTGCTTCCAAAACTCTCTGATGCCACCAAAAATACTTTTATAATTTATCCCACTTTTCTGGTATGATTTACACATACATACATACATACTATATAAATAACGTATTAGTATTTATATAGAAAACTTTGATTTATTTAGAATATGTAATATTAAATATATTGGAATAATATAAAATATAATTATACCATGTACCTAGACTAATGTATGTATGTATGCATGTAAATATAGTACATGTATATATGTGCGTGTAAATGGTACTGTTATATTTTATATTATACATATTTTATGTACCATTTACACACACACATATAAACATACACATATTTGTAAAAGAAATTATGACACTTCCAGTGATGAGGACTGTAGCTGGGGAGAACCTGAAAACTGTCCAGGCTCAGCCTATACGCCCCTTCTTTAAGAGATTTTCCCCAACTTCCCAAGCCTGCTATGTTGCCCTGATTTTTCTGAAGCATTTTTATTCTGCTTTTTTATTATTACAGAGTCTCAGAGAACATAACACCTGGCCTATTCTCTAGTTGTTTAACAAATTCAGTCCCTAAGATGGAGTTTGAGCATCTCAAAGGCCAAAGGCAGGGTCATGGTTGAGATCTCACTATACGTCCATCACTGTGATAGCTAAGTTAGTGTGTCAACTTGACTTAGCCAGAGTGCCCAGTTTTGATGGTGTCTCTGATTGGGGCACTGTCATCTCAGCCAGTGTCATCTTTGTAGATGCATGTCACCCTGGAGAAGACAATCCCTCCCAAGTGGAAATCCATGAAGGATAAGTGTCTATCTGATATGGTGGTCCAGAGGTCTTATATAATTTGGAGGCTCGGGTAAGAATAGCTGTGTGGGCGTCATGGTGGCTGCTAGGACTACAGATCTCTGTCACCTCCAGAAGCTTATTATCAGAGCACAAAGTTCTTTACTGCCTTCAGCCTAGATGAGCCTGTAGCATCCATCTACAGTAGATAAACACTTTGGCCACAATTTGATGCCAATTGAAGGGCAATCTTCTGGAGTCCCTCTCAGCAGTCAAAGATTTTGTCCGATGGCTGCTGTTTGAATGAGCTGGGATGTTCGTTCCAGGCTGGGATGTTTGAACAGTGTTTAGCTAAGAAAGTTTAATTTGATTATATTCGGAAGGCCATTCTCATTTTTAGAAGAATGGCTTGTAGGTTATGTGATGGAATGGAATCATGCATGATTGAACATCTGTTCCATGTGCTATAGAAGGCAGATACCTTAGCCAGGTGTGGTGGCAAGCTGGCTGGAAAAAAATGAGGAGGGGTCTCCAACATTCTGTTTTGTCACCCAGTGGTTCAGCTGTTTGCAAAAAGTATGTTGCTGGCATGTCCCATGGTACTCAGGAGCAAGCCCTGAGGGTAGGTGAGTAACCCCAGCACCCATGCAGCAAACAAGACTAAGACACAAAACCAAGCTGAACACAGGCAATGGAGAAGTCTCCCTGGCTTTTGTTTGGGAGGAGAAACTTGAATTATGACTGCAAGCATCTGTACATCCTCCCAGTGGATTGCTTTAGACATATGTCCAGGGCCTGTTTGATCATAGGTGCTTCCCATATGGAGTGTTGGGCCTTGTACTGATCACAGGCCAACACGATAGGTCAAATGGTAGTCATTTTCTAAAATGACTGGCATTCACTAGATGTAATTTTTTTGCCTCCAAAGTTGTGACCAGACCATGCTGCTGCTGGGACCAGGAACGGTGATCTCTTTCTGTGAGGCATAGAAGGAACTTAGATTTATTAACTAGATTTCAGATCCTTAAAACTTGAGTAAAGCCTCAGGCTTAGATCTAGCTGGTTCTGGGTATGAATGGTCAAGCAGCAAGCATGAGGGACATACAGTTTTTCTTTCAACTGTTGGGAGTCAGACTTTGTTATCAACCCACAATTAGTCCATCAATGTAGGAAATTTGGCAGATGATTGAAAAATTAAAAGTGTGTGATGAGTTTTATTGAGGAATGAATGTGGATGCAGTCCTCTACCACAATGAAGTGAGCGAGGGGAGTCTCCTGATAATATCAGAGCCATGGGAAAGAGTTTGAAGTACTTGGTGCATGACGTGGAAACCTGTAGTCCAAGAGTTAAGGAGAATGAGAGCTTGTATAAATGTGGCCACCCATTGAGAGTTCAAAAACTCACTGTAATTTGAGTAATAGGTCTTTGAAAAGGCCATTATGTCTTTCAGTTAGGACTAGTGCATGAGGTCTGTAGGCTAAGTGAAAGTTCTACTGTATGCCTTGGTTTTTGGCCCATTGTTGAACAGCAAGTGCTGAAAGATGAATGCCCTGGTTTGAGTCAAGGACCTGTAGGCACCCAAATGCAATAAGATGGAATTGGTGAGTCTGGCCATGGTTGTGGAAGCAGCAGTATGTCTGCTGGGATGGGCTAAGAGTAATCTGTGAACTCGTCAATCACAGTGAGAGCATTCTTTGTGGCTACGTTGCTGGGAGGAAGTGGACCAATGTGGTGAATGTGCCAGTGTGAATAAGGTCAATCCACTCCAGGAATGCAGTCCCAGCTGGAAAATGCCCAAAGCTTAGTGTTGGCATACATGGTGCAGTTGTAAGTGACCATTTTAGCTAAATAAGGAGTTAATGGAATGCCCCAGTGATAGGTCCAGTCCAGTGTAGAGATACCTTGGTGTCCCAACTTAGCACGTGCCCATTCTGCTGGAAGATAAAGAATGTCTGGAAAGATGCTACAGACTTGCTGCTTTGTAAGCATGTCTGCAATATTTTTGAAATGAGCTATGGGTTAGTGGCATTGGTTTGGGCCCACACATGTGAGATGAAATGGAGATATGTGATGGTGGCCATTTCCTTCCAGATGGCAGGTGCTCCAGTGAGGTTTATTTTGTATAATAAGGTTATTTAATGTTCACTGTCCCATCTAGATAACCAAGTAGTTGGCCACAGTTTGTGAGTCAGTAAAGATGTAAAACTCTGCTAGTCCCCACTTTTGGGCATGTCTTGTAGCCAAGGGAACTGCAACAAGTTCTTTTGATTGGGTGGATCCAAGGATGCTGATGCCATCCTCTAGTAGTGGGTGTTTACAGCTGGGTGGTTTGCTGCTGCCCATTAACAGGCTGTGTTGTGTACAATGGTGGCAGTGCCGTTGACATGTAGGCATGTATAACTTAACCACGGGGATATGTTCTGAGAAATGGGTTGTTAGGTGATTTCATCATTATTTGAAAATCTTAGAGTGTACTTACAGGAACCTAGATGGCTTTCTATGTATGCTCCATTAGTCTTATGGGACCCCCGTTGTATATACAGTCTGTTGTTGGCCTAAATGTCATGCAGTGCATGATTGTACACAGACTCTCTTTCCATGTCAGACCACTGGTCCCAAGGGACACCCCACTTGGCAAAAGGAGGAAGCAATGGAGTTGTCATCCCCCATTCCCCAACTGTAGTAGGCATAGGGCTGAGTGTGGGGGAAGCTACATTCTCCTGTAATTTGGAAATTCCTTTAATGTCAGGTTTTGTCCTTTCTTGCAGGTACCATTTTTATTTTAACAAGGAGGAGTCAATGGTTGTGCCAAGCCACTGTTGGAAAACATCTGCACCAAAGGCAGAAAGGGAATTTGTTTTTGCAGCCTCACAGGCTGTGCGAGCACCTCAGTCTCCACAGAGTCTGGTGTTCTAAAGCTGCACAGTGGTTAGTGACTGATTTTAGCTTCTTGGTTCAAAAGTTCCTGAGCAGCCAGTTATAATCATGTTTAGTGTAGAGACTCTATGATAGATACTCTAAGGTGGTCAAGGACTGGATCCAGAAGGCTGATCCTGGAGAACAGATGGTAAAGCCTGTTGTGTTCATTGTAAATCTGCCTGTTGGGGTCCCTCCCAGTGGAAGGAAGTGGGCTTTCGTGTAATGGCATAGATAGGCTTAAGTAGAAGAGACTTAAATAGAAGATGTAGGCTTAAGTATAAGTGACAGGTGAGGGCATGTCCTTTAGGACAGGAAAAGCCCCAGGAGATGTTGAGTGTGTTTGAGTCCCCTGGGGATGTATCCTGTGAGAATGTGGTGCTTCACTGTCATGGGAATGCCTTGACCATTGGAGACCACATGATCCACAAGAATGTAACAGTGGTCAAAAACCCTTGTCTTTTATGGGTAGCTATGACCCATCCCCCTACCTTCTGAGAGTAGTAAGGTCTGTTCATACTGTCTCCTGGGAGACTCCCATTAGTAATATAACATCAATGCCATTTCAGCAATGGAGATGAAAAAAAGTGTCTCTGTAAATCCTGTTCGCACAGATTACGAGCAAAGGCAGGACAATTTAAATATCCCAGAGGTAACCATGTGAACTTACATATATTGGGCATCTTTGAAAGTGAAAGCAGACAGGCACGGTGGCTCACGCCTGTAATTCCAGCACTTTGGGAGGTCGAGGTGGGCAGATCATGAGGTCAGGAGATCGAGACCCATCCTGGCTAACACGGTGAAACCCGTCTCTACTAAAAATACAAAAAATTAGCCGGGCGCGGTGGTGGGCGCCTGTCGTCCCAGCTACTCAGGAGGCTGAGGCAGGAGAATGGCGTGAACCCGGAAGGCGGAGTTTGCAGCGAGCCGAGATCGCGCCACTGCACTCCAGCCTGGGCGATAGAGCGAGACCCCGTCTCAAAAAAAAAAAAAAAAAAAAAAAAATGCAACCTGGCTCTGAGGATTCTTTACTATAGGACTGAGTAAAACATGTTGGCCAAGTCATTGGCTGTGAAAAAGGGCACCGGTATTATCAGTTGCAATGTTTACAGTTAAAACCTTTATTGGATGGACCTGACTGCTTAAATTGTGGCAGCCTATGGCTAATCTCTATTTGCTTATAGAGGCCTCGAGTACAGGCCAGAGGGGGCCACTAAATGGTGAAATTTGCAGGAACAATGACACCCCCCTTGAGGAGGTCGGTAATGACAGTAATCACGTAGCCCTCAGTACCCTGTTTTATTTGATATTGGGATTATGTGCCATCTCTATTGGGATGGGGCAGTGCACTGGTTCCCATTTCTCCCACCAGTAGCACTAAGGATTTAACTTGACTCTAACATGTATCCATTCCCACGGTGGAGAAAGTGACAGCCAGTGGGGCCGCGGCCACTGGGAATTGTTTAATAAAAATAGAGCCAATGCTTACATCAAAGGTCACCTGTTACCAGAGATTGTTTTGCTGGCAATCCCCTATAAGTCACAGGGTGTTCCTTCATTATAATTATTAGGATTTTTCAGAAGTACTGTGAATTGGGCACCTGTATCTAATAACGTCAGAAAGGTCTGTGAGTTTTTCCCATTCCAGTGAACCCCCAGAGGGCAATTGTCTGTGGGTGGTGGGCCAAGACCTGCAGAGGCAACAGACCCCTATGATAGAGGTCGAGAGGGCTCTCCTTGTGCAAGTCAGGAATGGCACAGCCTGAGTAAGGCTATTGTCTTGAACAGCAGAGGGCTTTTGTGCAGATTTTTTCAAACTGACTAGGTTGAAATTGTGCCTGTAATTGTATTAGAGCATTGTTTTTTTTTTTTTTTTTGAGACGGAGTCTCGCTCTGTCGCCCAGGCTGGAGTGCAGTGGTGCAATCTCCGCTCACTGCAAGCTCCACCTCCCGGGTTCACGCCATTCTCCTGCCTCAGCCTCCCTAGAAGCTGGGACCACAGGCGCCTGCCACCGCGCCTGGATAATTTTTTGTATTTTTAGTAGAGACGGGGTTTCACCGTGTTAGCCAGAATGGTCTCAATCTCCTGACCTTGTGATCCACCCACCTCGGCCTCCCAAAGTGCTGGGATTACAGAAGTAAGCCACCGTGCCCGGCTTATTAGAGCATCTTTAGTTGAAGTCTGGATGCTAGTTGTCCTGAAATTACATAGCTTGGCACTCTGTCTCCCTTAATTGCCAATGTAAGGGGTGATTAGGAGCTCGGGGGGTGCTCATGGGCTGTGCCGTGGTTGAGGTGATTGTGGCGGTGGCACTGGTGTGGTTTGTCCAGGCCTCCTATAAAAAGGCAAGTCTCCCTTATTATCATACTATTATTTGAGAATATACTAGTATTTTATTATTATTAATTAATTTATTTATTTATTTATTTTTAGACAGAGTCCCCAGTCTGTTGCCCAGGCTGGAGTACAGTGGTGCGATTTCAGCTCACTGCAACTTCCGCCTCCCAGGTTCAAACAATTCTCCTGCCTCAGTCTCCAGAGTAGCTGGGATTACAGGCACATGCCACCACACCTGGCTATTTTTTTTTTTTTTTTTTTTTTTTTTTTTTTTTAGTAGAGACGGGGCTTTGCCATGTTGGCCAGGTTGGCCTTGAACTCCTGACCTCAGGTGATCCACCTGCCTCGGCCTCCCAAAGTGCTGGGATTACACCGCACCCAGCTGAGAGTACACTAATATTTGAGAATTGGGACTTATGCTTTCCTCATGGCCAGCCAGCAAATCAATTCCATCCATGCCTCATAGATAGTGTAAGCTGCCCTCACCAAACTGAGGACTGTTTATGGTAGCTGGACAATACCTCTTGGGAAAAAAAGTATTTTCTTGACTTGGGGTCAAAAGGGGCCTCCTCCGAGTTAGAAATATATTCATTATCATTTTTATTTGGGGTGTTCAGAGAAATGACATACACACTAAACCATATGCCAGTTTTACCTCAAAGGGACCAAGTGTCCTTGGTGGTTTCCCACTGTCCCTGTGCTTCAGCAGCAATGTCTGCTATTAGGGGATGAGCCTCTTCCAGGCTTAAAAGCCCAAGTAAGCAAGGGCCGTGCTCATTCCTCCTCTTCTCTTTGGGTTGAAGGTCAGTACTCATCATATGAGTATTCTATAACCCTCCCTTCTATTTTGGGAGTTCAGCTTCTCTAGATTTAGTTTGACCCCTTGGAGGGCCATGATAATCATGTCAGAATTTGGTTCATAATATATGGGACCCTTTAATAAGTTACAGGTTTGGAAGTCTTTGGTTATGCCTAATTTTGAGGATATGCCTCACCGCAGTATCCCTTAGTAGTAACTTGACCCTATATTAAACGTATGTAACAATAAACCTGCTCCCTCTTGTATTGTGATTTTTCTCTAATTTCATCTTGAGGTCTCTCTCTCTGTCTGGAGAGTGGCTATAAACTTTAGCCATATCCTGCTGGGGTTCCAGGGGAGGTGGTCGTGGATGTTGACGATATTCCTTTATGGAATACCTCTTTATGTTGGTGGACAGCCGAATCCCTAAAAATCTGACAAGTGACCAGCTGTCCCTCTCACCTGAACCTTGTTTGTCCTGGCAAATGCTGTGGAGGCTCCTGACTGTGTCCACTCTATTCCTACCAAGATAGCCGCTCTCTGGGAGATCCCTGACCAGAAGGAGAGTCAGGTTTGGGTGTGTGAGTCAGGTAAGACACAGAGGAGGCAGCACAGCAAAACACATGAAATACCAGAAGCAGCAAATTCCTTACAGGTCCCATTGAGAAGAGGGCAGCTCGTGTCTGAGTGCCGATGGGAAGGGTGGGGGCATCTGGGACATGCACGCTTGTGCGAGAAGCAAGAGGGAATGAGCAAAGGGCCTGAAAACCAAAATGCTTATTGAGATCCAAGGCATTACCCAGGCAGGCTTCCTGTGGGAAGTTTTAACTGGTAGATGTAGAGCAAGTAGGCTCGAGTTCCAGGAAGTCACGCCATGACTGAGAGGTAGTCGCTGTGGCATATCTAAGCATTCCACATGGGGTGTGGAGGTCAGTGGGACCAATCAAGTAGGTTGTATGTAGCTATCCCATAGGGAGGCTGTACAATGCCGATATCTGGACTAACTGAACTGAGGAATGGGGAAGACGCAGGGAACTGGAAACTGTGTTAAGGTTGACTGAGCTCCATTTGCGGTATGAGAAAGTTGAACACATTCAGAATGGATGCTGAGGCAGTCAATATAAAGTTATACGAATAGCACTACGTTCTTGTTACAGTAGGCAGACGGGCATGAGTGGGGCAGGATAGGGCTCTCCCCCATCCACTAGGAATGTCAGGTGATGGTAAGGCAATTATCACATTGCCTCTCTAAAAGTGATAATCTGGCAGCAGGCACCAGGGCAAGGTCATATCCTGATGGTCCACACCTGTTGCATTAAAGTGTTAATTGAATGCAGGTGCCAGGGAGAGGCAAAAGAGGCTTCCAATAAAATCTCAGGTATTGGGCGAGTGAGCCTGGGCATGCGCACTAAGAGATAAAATGGCAGGAGTATGACCTTCTGGGGGCACTTCACCAGAAAAGGGAAGAAATCTCAGATGGGCATTCATACAACTTCCTAAACACACTATGCGTGCTCATCTCCCAAGCGTAAGGAGGGCACTGCGCATGCGGGCAGCCCACCCTAAGGGAAGAATCATGGGAAAGGGGCCAGCCTAAAAAGTCCTAGGATCAAGGTTAAACACGGCACTTGACTTTCACATGCCTGCCTGGGTTTCTTCCAAGGATACTTTCCTTTCTTTCCTGTTCTAAAGCCTTTTTAAATAAACTTCCACTCCTGCTCTAAAACTTGCCTCGGTCTCTTTTTCTGCCTTATGCCCCTCAGTCGAATTCTTTCTTCTGAGGAGGCAAGAATTGAGGTTGCTGCAGACCTATAGGGATTCCCCACTGGTGACTTGGTTATCTTCTGCCAGTAACATATTTGGTGCTGTGAGAGTTTGATACTTGCCACTTATAACATTCTCATCATCTTAAAACCTTTAAGAATAATTTGAACGTCTAATTAGATAAAATTTCTGGTCTTGTCTTCTAGGTTCTATTGTTCACCCTCAAGTTTGACCTTGCCAGTGACCTCTGGGAAGGTTTTTGGTTTTTATTGGTTCTATTTGTAGGTAGCTACCTGCCTCTCTCAGATATTCTAATTGACCTCATTTGGGTTTGGATTTGTTCCCACTAGTGCAACAGTGGCAGGATCATCTGGCAAGGCCCCAAGCTCTTGTGAGCCTGAGACCAAGGCTTTAGCATGTTGATTGGCTGCAGACCCCAGCAGAGCCCAGGTGCATTGGATGGGCATTTTTAAATTTCTTTTTTCATTCATTTATTTATTTATTTTTTGAGATGGAGTCTCACTCTGTCACCCTGGCTGGAGTGCAGGGGCACGATCTCAGCTCACTGCAAGCTCCGCTTCCCGGGTTCACACCATTCTCCTGCTTCAGCCTCCCAAGTAGCTGGGACTACAGGCGCCCGCCACGATGCCTGGCTATTTTTTTGTATTTTTGGTAGAGACGGAGTTTCACCATGTTAGCCAGGATGGTCTCGATCTCCTGACCTCGTGATCCGCCCGCCTCGGCCTCCCAAAGTGCTGGGATTACAGGCATGAGCCACCACGCCCAGCCTTAAATTTCTTTAATAGTTTGCTGATCTCCTCAGGGATCTTGCAAGGGATAGGAATGAGATATTCCAGCCCTTTAATCTGAGTCGTTAAGTCATTGGTCACTGAGCATCAGGAGTTAGACCCTCAGTAACCCATAGAGTTAGGGAGCAAAGAACAATAGCAACAGAAAAGGCAGCAGCAATGGGATGGCAGATCCCGACAGCATACCCTTTATGAGGTATCACGACTCCCTAGTTAGTGGGGACACCCCTCTTTCTAAGTAGGGCCTTTGTAAATCGTTCCCAATACCATCCACAGATACAGCAGAATGGGGGGTAAAGGAGTTGTCCTCTCCATATATATATATATGTATTTTTTTTTTGAAATGAAGTCTCACTCTGTCGTCCAGGCTGGAGTCCAGTGGTGCGATCTCAGCTCACTGCACCCTTCGCCTCCCAGGTTCACGCAATTGTCCTGCCTCAGCTTCCTAAGCAGCTGGGACTACAAGCACCCACCACCACACCTGGCTAACTTTTGTATTTTTAGTAGAGACAGGCTTTCGCCATGTTGTCCAGGCTGGTCTCGAACTCCTGGCCTCAGGTAATCCACCTGTCCCGGCCTCCCAATGTGCTGAGATTACAGACCTGAGCCACTGTGCCCGGCCCATCTCCATATATTTCCAAACACTAACTCAATATCTTGCCTAACAGCTTCAAGCCAGTGGGAGCTGTACACCACCTGTCCCCTAAAATATCTTGCTAGCTTGCAAGGACCTTTCATTACTCTGCAACCAATGTGACTCAGAACCATTTACTCCCAGGAGTGATGGAGGAGGTCCTCCCATTTTTCTGGGTCATAGCTGGCCAAATATACTCTGATTTTCAAATCCACAATTTAAGATAGGAGTCTTGCTAGCACTCTACGTAAGCAGCACCCAGCAGCACACAGCAGTGTGGTCCTAGGCCAGCAAGTGATTGAGCCTTCCTAGATGGTCATAGCCACTCTGGTCAGCCAGTTTGTCAGCCAAGAGCAGTCAAAAGGACTTCGAGGGTGTCCCTCACCAACAGTGAGGCCAGTTGTTACAAATTTTAAAATAATTTAAGTTAGATTTGGTACAGTCACGTGTGGCACAGTGAGGAATACTCAGACTGAAATGGCCAAAAGATAAGTTTATTACTCAGTTCAGCAAAGAGGGCAGCATGCCTCACAGGGCCAGTGGGAAAAGCGGGGCTGTCTTGGACCCACATGCTCAACTAGCGGGTGGGAAGCAAGAGAGATAAAGAGGAATCTGTAAGCTGAAGACTTTATTGGGGTCCAGGTTATTACCTAGGTGGGTTTCCTGCAACAAGGGTTGATTGATTAATTTGAAGGGAATGGAAAAGCTCAGTGCAGAAACAGGGGGATATATTATCAGGGTCACCAGGCTTAAAGCAGAAGTAAGGTGTTCAAACAGTTTATGTTATGGAGCCTTATGTATCTAGAACACAAAAATGGGAAAAATGTGGAGACTGCCTCAAAAAATGTAGCTCAAGGGCGACAAGTCAGAGACAGGACAAGCTGAATACTGAGGCAGTATTGACATGAACAAGCTATGACACTCAATTTCTTAACCCCTTATCATGCAGCATAAGATGTATTGACCGATTATCATAGTATTTAAGTATTGTTCACTTTACATCCAGCATTTAAGTTACAGAATGTCATGGAGAAGAATAAACATCACTCAAGGATTATATCTCAACTTCTGAGGAAGGGATTAATGCATTTTCAGGGTATTCAGTGTAGTTGCATCATATTTGCTGGAGGTATGACCTGTTATTGCCTTCATTTGGAGATTAAATATGATTTAAGGAGATGTGTATGAGTGGCAAGTTGGCAAGAGGTGGATGGTTAAATTTTATGTGTCAACTTGACTCAGCCATGGAGTGCCCAGCTATTTGGTTAAATATTTTACGGGATGTTTCTGGATGAAATTAACATTTTGTCTGTTGACAAGATAAAGCAGAGAACACTCTCCAGTGTGGCTGGGTCTTATCCAGACTGCTGGAGTTCTGAATAGAACAAAAGGCAGGGTAAGGGAGACTTTGCCCTGTTCATTTTTGAGCCTGGACTTCCATCTTCTCCTGTACTCAGATTGGGATTTACACCACTGGCTCTCCCAGCTTCAGGACTTCACACTTGGATGGAACTACACCACCAGCTTTCCTGGATTTCCAGCTTGCAGAAGGAAAATCATGAGACTTCTCAGCTTTTATAATTGTGTGAGCCAATTTATTGTAAGAAATCATTTATTATAGGTTCTGGTTCTGTAATCAGCCCAATTGTCCCATAGAACTGATATTTACAGGATTTTTGAATAAATATTGAAACTGTCCCTCCCTCGTCTTCAAACTTGAAACTTACCTTTGTCTCATCTGAGTTTCTTCCTCAGGAAACCAACCCACAGGCAAAGAATTGACAGATCACTGCATCCAGACAATGAGAGGCCAGACCCCTCATCCATTATGATTGCTTCCTTACTCCTCTCTAATTCCTGTTTTTCCACCTTCCTCACTACATAAACTCAATTTTAGTCGGTCAAGGAGATGGATTTGAGATTTCATCTCTAGCTCTCCTTGGCTGTACCATCTGATTAAAGCCTCCTTCCCTGGCGATATTGTCTCAGTGATTGGCTTTCTGGGTGGTGAGCAGCAGAACCTAGACCAAACCCCTAGCATTTTGGTAACAGATTTTGGTTCCCTGATCTGGAATGCATTGCTGTTGCTCATGGCTCAGCTGCTGCCAAGGGCTGGGAGTCTCAGAAGCCCTCCTAAGAAGCTGCCTGCCATTTTATGGCTGGAGGTGAGTTTTAGTCTCTCTCTCTGGCATCGCCAGTGCCGGCCTCAACCACATTCCTGATTGCCTAGGAAGAACAGCCTTTGAAATTTGACATCTGCATCTGGACAGGTGAGTGTCTTTTGTGGGCCCAGACGGTGGGGTCTGCTCCGCTCAAGTTGGGAAATTCCAAAGGCATTTTGCAGGTTTAAAAAGCCCAACTGACGGAGAGAGAAAACACCCGATTGTTTCAGTTTGGACACTCTTGGGGGCTTGTTAGTAACTGTTTGTGTGTCAGGGCAAGTATCTTTTGTGGGTACCAGAGAGCAGGTTGGGCTTCTCTCAATTTGGAAAATTGCAAAATAATTTCTGTTTGCAGGTTGAACAAGTCCATCTGATCGAGAGAGGAAATACTGTTTCAGTTTGGACACTTTGGAGGCTTGTTCATTGCTGCAGCAGTTGGATTGTATTTTCTTTGTTGTTGTTGTTTGTTTTTCTTTTCTTTTCTTTCTTTCTGTTTTTTTTTTTTTTTTTTTTTTTTTTTGAGACGGAGTCTTGCGCTGTTGCCCAGGCTGGAGTGCAGTGATCTCGACTCACTGCAAGCTCCACCTCCGGGGCTCACGCCATTCTCCTGCCTCAGCCTCTCGAGTATCTTGGACTACAGGCGCCCGCCACCCGGCCCAGCTAATTTTTTTTTTTTTTTTTTTTAGAGATGGGGTTTGACTGTGTTGGCCAGGATGGTCTCGATCTCTTGACCTCGTGATCCGCCTGTCTCAGCCTCCCAAAGTGCTGGGGTTACAGGCGTAAGCCACCGCGCCCGGCCGTTTGTTTTTTTGAGACAGAGTCTCGCTCTGTCACCCAGGCTGGGGTGCAGTGGTGTGATATCGGCTCACTGCAATCTCCGCCTCCCAGGTTCAAGCGAATGGTATTTTCTTGATTGTGTGGTTGTTGATGTAGTTGTGGGAGGTTGAGGTTCAATCCCAGGATGCAGCCCCCTCTAGTTGCACTCACTGGGGTTGATGTGAATGTAGATGTGGGCTGATGGCTAAGGCCATACGGGAACTCTGAACATGCGCTATCTTGTCTGATCTCAGAAAGTCTTTGAATTGTAGTGCTGTCTTCGTTTTGCTGTTGAATAGGAAAGCAGGATAGAGTCTCATGTATCCTGGATTTTATACTGCTGTTGTAAGCAGAGTTAGACCTGCTTAGTATGTGATGCTCTTCTGTGGTATGTTTGTCTCCAGTGTTCTCTGGGGTCTAGGAAGGTTTGGCCTTTAAAATTAAGCTACCACTGCTTTACCCAAAATGTTGTTTCACAGCTTTCATCAAATTACCTATCAGGGCAAAGTTTATCCATGTGAATAATAGAGACAGGAGGTGGCCAGGGGTCCCTGGTGAAACCCTGCCTTCAAGCCTAAAACCCTGAAGGCTGAAAAACCGGACCGCTGGTCCCAGATGAAGCCCACCATTTCCCCACTGATTCTCTCTGAGTAATGCCCACCTGAGCACTGGGAGGGCGGGGTGGAGCCTCGGGACTTTCCTGCTGTTTGCAGCGGGGAGAAGCCTGGCCTCTTCACTTCCCCTGTGGGGACCTGGGATTCAATCTATGAGGTGGAGGGCCAGTTAGCAGGACTCCATGTCCCTATGCTGAGTTCTTTTTCTTTTTCCTTTTCACCCAGTAAATTCTGCTCCTAACCCTTCTATGTATCCGTGAGCCTAATCTTTCCTGGTTATGTGACAAGAACCTGGTTTTAGCTGAACTAAGGAGAACGTTCTGCAAAATGAATATGTATGTAAACTGGTGAGTTTGTATTCTTATCTAATGGTTAGAGTTCTGAGGTAAAAGCTATTGGATCTTTGTTTATGGGTGTGTGTATGTCTAGATGAGTTTATGTGTATGAACATTTATTTTGTTTTGTGTTGTTTTAACTGGGTACCAAATTGGCTTATAAGTAAAAGAGTGCTCATAAATTCAGTCAGTCCAAGTATTTTTCAAATTGATGTGACTTAAGTAAATATTGAATCAATAAGCTGGCTTTAAGATTATTGATAAAATAAAAATTCAAATGTCTTTGAAATTGTCAGCACACATTTTTGTCCAGATTTTATATTTGTCTGTGCTAGCTATTTTAATGGGTCAGGGTATGGCACAAAAAGGTGTAAGACTGTAAACCCAGGCAAGAACAAAATAATTTTTGTGTGATTTTTAAGTAAGACTAATTTAATGTTGTTGGTTTAATGAAAACAGCTGAATCTTCTGAGTTATTGGTGAAAAGATCCATGTATTTCACTTTAAGTTTCTTTCTTAGGTGAACACCTGATATTCACACATTATAAAAATGGTTAACAAGGAAATAATGGCTAGCTCTAATATCTATATTCTTGTAAGTAATCTGAATAAATTGCTAAAAATGAATGAAATATAAATAGGGTAAATGCTGTAGGTGATCTCCTTGTGTAAGTTTAAATATTGCACATGTACCCTAAAACTTAAAGTATAATAAAAAAAAAGAAATTATCTTAGATGCTTGTTGAATGTCTGTGTTATTTTCCATTCAAAAGGATTATGGACTAGGAATGGTAGCTCACACCTGTGATCCCAGCAATTTGGGAGATCAAGGCAGAAGGATTGCTTGACCCTAGGAGTTTGAGACCAGCCTGCAACACAGAGGGAACTTGTGTCTACAAAAAATAAAAATAAAAATTAGCTGGGTGTGGCAGCACACACCTGTAGTCCCAGCTACTCGGGAGACTGAGACGGGAGGATCACTTGAGCCCAGGAATTCAAGGCTGCAGTGAGTCATGACACTGTTACTGCACCCAGCCTGAGCAACAGAGTGAATCTGAGAGACAGTCCAAGATCTCTTGCTTCCTAGGTTTTCACTAAAATTTAAGGTTACTAAGAATACAAATTCTAGTTATTATATAATTTTGCATATAAAATGTGCTGAAGAAGATGTGTTCTTATTGAGAAAGATAATTTTGTATAATTCAGAAGTTATCTAAAGGTTGATTCAAGTTATGTACTTGGAAAAGTTATTTATGAAACAAGGAAGAAAGGAACCAGTAAGTATAGGAGAGAGATGTGAAAACAGAAATTGTGGATATTAATATGTATTAGCTGGTGTGGTGACACACACCTGTAGTCCCAGCTACTCAACAGGCTGAGATGGGAGGATCACTTGAGCCCAGGTGATCCAGGTAGGAAAGGTTATAAGGAAAAGAGAATAATTTTGTATGGGAAGCAGTTTTGTGCAAGAGGTTTTGATTTTGATTCTATAATCTACTTCTTTTTAAAACTTCTCAGATTCATAGCTCAGAAGTGCAACTGTGTTGTGTCTTGCTGCTTTCAGCTTTTATGCTCTACTTGAAAAAGACTGAGATGATCATTCTCTCCAACTTTTTCATCAACTCCTGTAATTATTTTTTTCTGTCAAGTTCTAAGTGCTGTTGTGACCCGATGCTGAAATGTTTATCTTGAGGGTCTAGAAAAGCAAGCCTTTCCTCCAGTATAACTTGATTCTGTACTCAGGAGAATTAAAAAAGCCTTTTTCTTTATGTTTACATTGTTCATCAGGTTTGACTTTCAGGTTGTCTAAGTGGGCTTCTCATAAGGAGAAGCAATCACACTGCAGAAGGTCTTTCTTTGCCTTCTGGTAACTCGTTGGGCAGCAGATGTAGGGTCTAGTCCTATGGGGCTTAGTGAGTGTTTTTTTGTGTGTGTGGAGATGAGAGATTGTAATAAATAAAGATATAAGACAAAGAGATAAAGAGAAAACAGTTGGGCCCGGGGGACAACTACTATTAAGATGTGGAGACCAGTAGTGGCCCCGAACGGCTGGGCTCGCTGATATTTATTGTATATAAGACAAGGGGTAGGGTAAGAAGGGTGAATCTTTTAAGTGATTGACAAGGTGAAGTAAGTCACGTGATTATAGGATTAGGGGCCCTTTTCTTTTAGGTAGCCGAAGCAGAGAGAGAAGGCAGTATATGTCAGATGGTTTCTATTGTTTGTTTGTTTTTTTTTTTTGCACTTATAAGAAAGATTAAAGATTTTAAGACTTTTATTTTGTCACTATTTATTATGAACTTTGAGGAGGAACTAGGAGTATGGGAGGAACATGAAAGTGGACAAGGAGCGTGACTATTGAAGCACAGTACTATAGGGAGGGGTTTAGGCCTCTGGATGACTGTGGGCAGGCCTGGATAATATTTAGCCTTTTATAAGAAGTTGGTGGAGTAGAGTTTTTTGAGTTTTTTAAGGAAAGAAGACTCTCTTTTGTGGTTTGTTAAGTAATGGGTGCCTTTTTAGACACTGGCGTTATCGCTTGACTAAGGAGCTCACAAGCGGACCTTATGTGGGTGTGACAGAAGGCTCACCTCTTGTTTTTTAGGTCACGTTTTATAATGTCTCTTTAGTACTTGACCTTATATTTGCCGGTTATTTTTACGTTATATTAGTAATGTAACAAAGAGTAATATTAAAAACTAATGATTAATAATGTTTATAATAATGATTGGTAATTGTTCATGATCATCTTTATATTTAATTTGTATTATGACTATTTTTATTTTAACTATTTTTTTATTATATTGAAACAGTTTGTGCTTTTAGTCTCTTGCCTCAGCACCTAGGTAATCCTCCGCCCACAGTAACTGGCCTAAGAAACAGGTTTTACATTTTATCAAGATAATTACTATGTCATTGTTATTAGTTGTTTTTAATCATTTACGAAAACTGAGATTAAAAGAACGTTTTTACATCCATATAACTTTCTTTACTGTTTTATAATCTTTGTGCTATTAAATTACTGGGCTTTGATTCCTGGGTCTGAAAAAGGCACCAACTTCTTCTCAATCTTGAACATTGACACAACTCAAAACTTTGCCTTCAGACCAGGGAGAAAGCAACAAACAAAATGAGCTGCTTTTGTGAGACACAGGTTCAGAAATTAATATTATTCCGTCTCTCTAGGCCCAGAGACTGTCATGGAAGATGTGGGTGCATGAGATGTTGAAAGCCAATTTTGAGAGATAATTCAGAGTTTTTCTGTGAATTAAACATTAATGTCGAAAGCACAATAATGCAAAGCCAGCATCTGGGCCCCTGTATTGGAATAGCAGGGTTTTCTTGGAGCACTGATCTGCGCTATTTATTTATTTATTTATTTATTTTGAGATAAGGTCTCATTCTGTCTGCCCAGGCTGGAGTGCAGTGACACAATCCTGGCTCACTGCAGCCTTGACATCGCAGGCTCAAGTGATCATCCCACCTTAGCCTCTTGAGTGGCTGGGATTACAGGCATATACCACCAGGCCCAGCTAATTTTGTCCAAGCTGGTCTCAAACTCCTGGGCTCAAGTAATCCTCCTGCCTTGGCTTCCCAGAATGTCAGTATGAAAGGCATGAGCCACCAGAGCAGACCTGATCTATTTAATATAAAATTGTAAAATGTTATAAAAGGTTTATGGCAAATTTATCTTATGGTCAAACTGATTAAAATTAGATAGATATATTTATAAATTTGTATTAAAATTAGCTTTAACACTAATAATATACAAAGAATGTATAGAAAACAAAACAACAAAATTGTTTTTTTCTTTTGAACAAAGTTTTCATGTAATATTAGTAAGAAATAATGAAAGATTTTTGTTTAACTTTTGAGTAAACATCAGGAAAAAAAGGAGAGAGAGAGAGACTGAGTTGGTTTCATGCTGTCTTTATTAGGGCTTACTGTTTGGGAAACTATCAAAGAGTAAAAGTGTGTTTTTAAATATTTTGTCATTTTGGCTAAATGAATGACATTTGGTAGTGACCTATGATCCTATTTTGTGATATCAAGTGTTTTATACATTTGATATTTGACAAACTTTTCAAAAGCAAAATGTCAAGTTCTAACTTCAGTCTTTCTGACCTCAAACTAACTTTTTAGATATTATGGCCTCCTGAAGTCCAAGAGGCTTACACAGTATGTTAAAATTATATAGGAAGCATTGTCATGTAGGAAATGGTGTTTAACTTTCCTTCAGTTATATTTATATAAATGTGTTAGAAATGTGTTCCAAAATTGCATGAGATTCCTAAAATTCTGATATGTCTTAGTTTATGTTATCATTAATAATTATGATTATTATGATAAATTGTTGTATGCTGCAGAAATAACCACATTTCCTTGTCAATTTGTTACCAGTGCAACTCTGATGAAGTAGCTGGGAAAGTTCTTTTTCTTACTATTTTTCTTTAGTGCCTTATATATAGGCACAGCTATTTCAAGAAATCAGATGGTGCCAGAGCTTCATAACCATTAACCAGATACCAGAGGGAGATAAGACCCCAAACCTGTCCAAGCTGGAGCAGAAGACCCCCTAGTTACCTTTAAAGCATTAACATATTATTATAATGCTAAAGTTCCCTCTCCTGCAAAAAAAACCCTCCATTGTATATTTAAGTTGTATGGGCCGGGCACAGTGGCTCACGCCTGTAATCCCAGCACTTTGGGAGGGCAAGGCAGGTGGATCACCTAATGTCAGGAGTTCAAGATCACCCTGGCCAACATAGTGAAACACCGTCTTTACTAAAAGTACAAAAATTAGTCGGGGTGTGGTAGCAGGTGCCTGTAATCCCAGCTACTCGGGAGGCTAAGGCAGGAGAATCACTTGAACCCGGGAGGCGGAAGTTGCAGTGAGCCAAGATTGTGCCACTGCACTCCAGCCTGAGTGACAGAGCAAGACTGCGTCTTAAAAAAACAAAAAAAAAGATGTATGCTTATGAATGGAGCCTGTGGGTCTGGACTCCAACCCCAAATGTGCTTACATTC
The DNA here is from genome assembly GCF_000001405.40 of Homo sapiens. Lineage (NCBI taxonomy): Eukaryota > Metazoa > Chordata > Mammalia > Primates > Hominidae > Homo > Homo sapiens. The sequence continues at coordinate 23,591,559 of NC_000015.10, read as the reverse complement.
CTCTCCTTCTCTGTACCCAGTCCTTAAAAAACCCTTGTCTTCTATTGTTCTGGAGAAGGGGCATATTGAGTGAGAGCTTGTCTCCTCTCTTCCTGGCCAGAAATAAAAACCGCTTGCCTTTGTTTCTAATTGGGTGTTCTTTCTTTGTGGTACAAAGTAGGGAAAGAACTCACTCAACAGTGACAATTTCTGGATGCTTGTCCAGGATGGCCATGGCCTCCCTCAGCTGGGGACTGAGTGGCACCTCCTAACCAGTGACTCCCAGCAGCTGGAGCAGTGGGAAGTAGCAGCTTATCTTGGGCCAACACCCAAGTCAAATTGTCATGGCTTGGAGTGTCTGCTGGGAGTGTCTGCAGGTGGGGCTTGAGCCCATGACCATGCTACTCTGTATCGAAGCCCATCACCCTGTCAGTCCTCTCCTCATCAGGCCAGTGGCCACAACCCTGAGAGGACTGCGATAGCTGGTAACATGGGCATTTATCAAATTGGGAAAAGGCATCAGGAAAGGGCAAATCTCACTTTTGGGGCATTGGAAGATATCTCCATTGTGAGGTTTATGGATCACATTCTGGGAATTGAAAGAATACCCATGGTTTAATTGAGGCATCTAGGGAAGACCATCTGAAACAGATGGACCAGACTGGGAGACTGGGGATGCCTGATTGGACCTCAGGAAAGTGCCAGGCATGCCTGAGCTCAATGGTGTTAGTCCTGTGCATGGTTTAAATCATCTTTCTTCTCTTTTTCTGTCTCTGCTGCTGCAGCCTCTGCCTCCCTCCTGGTGCCTGTGTCCCACTGCTTCAACCACTGCCATGTCTGCCTTCCTGCCGCTGCCCATGGCTGTGCTCTCTACCCTGCCTACTCACCTCTCTTCCCTTGCTTTGGCCTATCATCACCCTGTCTGTAAAGCAATACATTTTTTCTTCCTTCCCATTTTTTCCTTCCTTCCCTCAACACCCTTAAGGACGACTTATCCCCTCCACATTGCAGCTTCTCTCACTGAGGCAGGGATACTCCAAATTCCCATCTGCACTGGCAAACATGCCCTGGGCCCCATTAGTTAGGCTCGCCTTATTTGGAGAAGATCTGCAGTGGTATCTGCGGCCCAAGGTAGCCCAAGGCCTAGGAATCATCTGGAAACTTCATATAGCATGGAGACCCCAATCCTCAGGAGAAGTGGAAAGAGCCAACGAAAGCTTAAAGAGAACCCTGGCTAAACTGTACCAAGAAACAGGAAAACTCACTCTCTTACTCATGGCTCTTCGTAGAATGAGGACTGCCCCAAAAGGCGAACTTAGAAACTGAGTACATTTGAACTGATGTGTGGGCGACCAATCCCAGAGGCAGCCACAGGGAAGGGGCTGAGTCCACAGGAACAGGAACAACTAAAATATGCATTACATATCAGGGAGATGGCCTATGTTTTTGAAGCTTACAGAAACTAGGCTTCTCTGTCATTGACAGATCTGGTTCTGCATCCTTATGTCCATGGAGATTGGGCGTATCTGAAAACCTGGAAGGTCCAAAGCCCAGAGAGGCAATTAGGTCCAAAACGGATGCGACCATACTTAGTGACTGTGACCACACATTCTGCCTTAAAACTTAAGGGCGTCACCCCACAGATTCACCACACATGAGTGAAACAGGTGGATGCACCAGTGCAGGAAACTCCCTCATACTGGGCTGTACTGGGCTGAACCCATCTCGGATTTAAAATGGCTGTTCTGAAAACCCGACCTGGACTCCCAAAAGATAAGAATACTTAGACCCATCTAAAGAGGTCACTGCTATAAAACTTACACGTCTCTACCTTCCAGGAGAGTTCTTGGTGTCACTTTAGTGCTGTCTGCTTCTGATTGCATTAGGACTTGTTCTGTAGTCCACACAGGTGGTCCCTGGCTTAGGGCGCTGTTTCCTTTTGTATTGGAACATATTGACCATGCTAGTCCTGATTGATATCCCTCTGGCATCTTGATAAAACACTGCATATAGCTCAACCACAATCCCTCAAGCACTCCCTGAAAGCCCCATGGTGTTTCCTTAAACTAGTGACCCTTCGCCTAATACCATCCTCATCTCTGAGCCACCTCTGAGTGCTTAGTCTAGATAAATACAAATGTATTCTTTCTTTTTTTCTTATGCTCTTTGGTGATTTTGATCTCAGCAGCCAAAGAACTCTGGGGCACAAAGGCAATAGTCAACTTCTACCACATTATAGCCAGCCAGAACAATCTGTCTTAATGCCGGACATATCACAGGCACCTCCAGACTTGAGGAACATTGCACACTGTGTGTCCTTGGGGAGGTGATTTCAACCTTACACAGGTGCCATGAAAATCTAAAGTCCAACCCACACCTGTTCTGTGCGATTCCCTGTCTATGGGTTGCATGGATCTTACTCCAAGAGTCAAAGACTCATACGGTCCAGCACCTACCTCAGCCAACAAGGGATACTGGGGACTCCACTACCCACCTCCAGCAATAGCTTCAGTAATAAAAATAAATTTCACCTGGACTCAAAAAGGCCCCCTGTGCCCTCATTGTCAGAAGATTCACCCTCCCCTTCAGGGCTCTTAATTACTTCATTGGCTAAACTTCCCCATTCCCACAAGGGTGTGTGCATCCGCAGGGTGTGTGTTCATTTGTGGCTCTCCCCACCACCACCTCCCTAATAGCTCCTCTGCTGCTACCTTTTCTTTTCCATCGCTAGTGGTAGTTCACCCTTGTGTAGATAATGTAATACACACAGGACAATATATAATAGGTGTTTTGGGACCCAATGGAATAACCATTCATACCAAAACCTGCCATTGCAATTAAGTCTAAGAGGGCTCTTGGGCTGATCCTGGTAGGTATAGTACTTGCTGTACGGTTGGCTGCCCCTTGAGGGGCTTCGCCTATCATGAGGCTACCCTAAGAAATATAACCCAGTCAAAAAATCTCACAGGTAATACCAGGAAGTCTCTTCAGAATATACAGCCTTCTTTCAATTCACTGGCCAGTGTAGTACTGGACAATCAGTTGGCCTTAGACTATCTACTAGCAAAACAATAAGAAGTATGTGTGATCACCAATACCTCCTGTTGCACCTGAGTAAACACCTCTGGGGAGATAGAAGTTAATATAATGGAAATGTTTAAACAAGCAGAATGGCTCTAACTCCTTTGGGGTAACCAAGATTAGCTCTAACGACACCTGGAATGCAGTAAAAGGTGTCCTTTGCCTACTGGTGATGATCATACTTTTACTGGTTTTTGGCCCTGTATTCTTAACCTTTCAGTAATCTTTATCAGCAAGGAAGTGGAAGCAATCAAGCTACAAAGGGTAATCAAGAAGGGATCTTGGCAATTAGGGTTGCAGCCTGGTGACAGTCAGACCTACCTTAGAATAGCAAAGGAAGAGTTTTTCTCCTCTAACTTATGAAATGACAATGCCTATACACAGCAGAAAGCAGTTCTAGAAGATGGACCCCACCCCTCAGCAGCCATCAAGAATGAGGAGCAAACAGAGGAGGGATTTTGTATCTAGGGCAACCCTGATGAAATAACTTGGGAAGACTCTTTTTCTTACTGATTTTCTTTAGTCCCTTACTTATAGGCATAGCAGCTTAAGAACCCAGTGGGCCTGGGATGGTGCCAGAACGTCATGACCACTGACCAGCTACCAGAGGGAGGTAAGACCCCCAAAGCACCCAAGCTGGAACAGATGATCCTAGTTGCCTTCAGATCATTAAAATATTATAATGCCAAAATTCTGCACCACCACCACCCCCGCCGCCCGCAACACACACACACAAAAGAAAATCTCCACTATTTTATGTACATGGATTGTATGAAGATGTATGTTTATGAACTGAGCCTGTGGGTCTGGAGTCCCACCCTGCACATGCTAACATTCCTCTCCCTCCCTGTATGCAGTCCTTTAAAACCCCATGCCTTCTGTTGTTCAGGGAGAAGGTGCATTCGGAGCAAGAGTTTGCCTTCTCCCTTCCTGGCCAGGAATAAAACATGCTTCACTTTGTTTCCAGCTGGGTGTTCATTCTTTGCAACTGGTACAAAGTAAGGAAAGATCCCAAGTTACCAGTGACAAGTTGTCTTTATGACTGTCTTAAGACATCTGTCATCCACAATTATTGTTTTACTTTGATTCTTCTCAAAAAGCAGCTTACAATCAGCTACAGTCCAAAACTTACTGCTGTAGGGGGGTTCATGGAAAGGACTTTTGAATACAGGTTTCTGATTACTTTGGAGATTGTGCCATTGGACTAGAGAGAAAGCATGCAGGACTCTAATTAAAAGGCTGATGTGTACATAAAGACTGCTAACCCAGTATGAAGCAGAACAAGAGTTAATTGCATGGACTGAACTAATAGAGGACTGAAATAATTTTTATGGCTTTTTTTGTTTGAAAGATTGCCAGTTCTTTTTGTTCTGTTTTTTAGAGTAAAGAAAACTTTTTCTTTTGAGCTATTTATAGTGTTTAACAACTAATAGAGTATACTCTTGTAAACAAAATTTGAAGTATTTTTTTTCTCTCCAGCTGATTTCTCCAGATTTTGGAAATTATTTACAAGTATTCTCAATTTATGGCAATATGGTTATTTGTATAAGTTAAATAAGAATCTGTTTTATTTTATAACAGGTCACAACTGGAGACACTGATTGTTTTACCAAGGCTCGGACTGGAATAACATATTTTCAGATATGAGCAGAATGCTTTGAGAAACTGAAGTTGACTTATGGAGCCGATAAAAGCTTCTTGAAAAGCCTGGCCTTATACCTTGTCTATACAGTTCCTTCGCAGGCTTTCTGACCTGTGGAAAACAAAGAATGCCACTTTCTGACAGTATCAGGAACCTCCTGTTATTTTGAGACCTCAAGAAGACAGGAATTCACCCAATTTATATAGGTATCTGCAGGCACAGATAAATCTGTTAGAAATGCTTGTTCCCTGGTGTCATTAAGAAATAGCACTTGAACATAAATTTAGTTTCCTCAGCAAGGCCATTTTTACTTTCTGCAGAAAGGGTACACTCGCCAGCAGTTTTGCCACGAGAGTACACAGAGCAAAGGAGACAGGGTCATTTATACCCTGATGCGTCCACCCCACTGCTGTGTCCGGTTTCCATTGGCTGGAACAGGACCTCACATTCCATGTTTGTCCTGATTGGCTGGCAACTTAGAACTTTTTAAAAGAGGCAAAGGCAGAGGAGAACAAAGGAAGGAGGAAGTAACTTTTGGAATCTGGAGAAAGGTAAAAACACCTTCAAATAAGGAAGAGGAACACGCTATGACCTAATGCTTGCTTGGACCAGTATAAGCATGCCAGGGCAAATATTTAGGCTAAATTGTGGGTGCTAAGAACATGAAGTACATTCATTTCTTTATTACGGCTAGCAGATATTTAAGAATATTAGCACAGTCGTGAATACATTTTGCTTCTAAGAGAAGTTACCATTTATTCCTAATTAGACGGGGAGGAAAGTCTTTGAAGAGGAGCCTCTACTTTACTTTTTATAAATCCTTGGCTGTGCTTGAAAGGCCTTTAAAATCCAAATCAGAGCTACCTTAGGAAAATTTCCAGCAAAGCCAATTTGTAAGAGCCTACAATAATTCTTGCTGCACGTTGTACAAATAATCAGGTCAAATATAAGACTAAAACTTATTTTGTAAATAAATTGGTCCCACCATGATTTGTCATTGTTAAAAATGGAGGACTAAGGAAAGAAAAATTATGTTTCAGAACAAAGCTGTAGTACACCTGTTATTGGATTAACCTTTGACTCCTGAGTGGCAATGTGGTCACCCATGGTGTGGAGCTGCAGCTGTGCTGCATTCAGTTACTAAAGGTAAAAGTTACCAATGGAATTCTGAGATGGATTCAAGTCCTGGGGAGTTGATTCAGTGGATGCATAATGAAATGCAAACTTCATAGGGAAAAGTGAAATATTCAATCCCTTTGTTATTATTATCTATAATAGCTAGAATAAAGGTAAGAGAGTGCTGAGTTGGATCTAAAAGCTAGGCCAAACTCAGACCTGGGTCTGTCTGAGCTCAGATCACCAGCTTTAAGGCTACCCACAAAAAGGGAAAATTATGCCAGGCAACCAAAAAGTATCTCTAAGACCTGTGGTTTCCAAGAAGTATCTCTGAGACCTATGGTTTCCAATGTGAGGAAAGGGCAGAACCAATTTACTACTGAAACCAGAGGGTATAATGTGAAGGAATTGTTCCATTTTACAGATTGGTATCGACAGCTTCCTGAAGACCCTTTACTACAGAGGATTGTGAAAGTAACTAATTTAGGAGCAATGTCTTTGGTTTTAAATGCTGCAGAATTGCAAAGCGTTTTTTTGGTTCATCTAGGACCCACGGCTCACTACTGAACAATTGCAGATGGGTATATGTAATCCAGACACACAGAGGGTTATTCCTGAGAGAACAGCCAGGCTGGTGGACTGGATAAAAGCCACTGCAAGATCTGTTTACTCTGAGAGGAGGGAACCTATCAAAGCCAAGTGGAGCAGCCCGGATGAAGCAGCTGATATGCTTCATATGCAAATCCTTGGGACTGGCTTTATAATGACAGGGATATTAACCTTACGTTTTGGAAATAAATTAACTAGTCTGAGTTTGCTTCCAACAGGTTCTAGTTCAAGTTAGCTGGTGTTAAGCCATAAATTCACCATACTCAGGTAAAACCAGTCCCTCTGGGGTCCCTCCAAGGGAAACAGTCATGGTCTTTTGAACCCTTAAAGACAGCCTTAAGTTAGCATTCAAAGCCCAAAGACCCAAAATAAGAAATCATTAAGGGACCACACACTTTCAGTTCGTTATTGTTCTCCCCTAAAGGATAAACCACAGCTTTCTGAAAGTGGATGTGATGAATCAGGAATTCTTTTTGGGAGGCTTAGGTTTGTTCTCTTGGGTTCCACAAGTGTGTGTGTATGTGTGTTTAATTATGGTTCTTCAGCAAGCTGGATGCTAACCAGGTACTACATTTTCATTCCTCGTCACTATCCCATGATGCCCCTCCTCAGCATGAGGCAGAGAGAAGGATCGACAACAGGGTTCCCGACATTGAGGGACGGATAAAGGTGGGGGACTATAACCAGCCCTATTATCCCATATAACTGATATTTATGGGTTTTTTGGAATAAACAGAAATTGACCCTCTCTAGTCTTAAAATTTGAAACTTACATTTGTCTTACTGACTTCCTTCCTTAGGAAACAAACCCTCTGGCAAGGAACTGAAACTCATCAGACCACTACATCCAATGAGACACCAGACCCCTCATCCATCATGATTGTTTCCTTACCCCTCTCTAATTCCTGTTTTTCCACGTTTCCCACTCCATAACCTCCTCAGTTTTACTTGGTTGGGGAGACGGATTTGACTTCATCTCCCATTTTCCCCAGGTTCAGCACTTGATTAAAGCCTTCTTCCTGGCAATAGTTGTTGCCCCAGCAATTGGCATTCTGTATGGCGAGCAGCAGGACCTAGACTGAACTGTGGTATTTTGATAAAAGTTCTGTTTCTCTGAAGAATCCTGAGAATGTAGGTTCTGATTCTGGTTCTCTGGAGAATCCTAATACAATCACCATGCCTAGCAGCATAGCTGGAACATTCAATACCTTCTGGATCATTCAACTACAGGGAGTTTTAATTAACCCAGGAGGCCCAGTTAGTATTCTCTGAAATCCATTACCACATTTTTGTCAAAGCCATACTTCCATGGGCTGCTCCCAGCTAATAACTAAATGTGACCAGGCCTATTTCTGAGAGATATAAAACTCCAGTAATGGCAGACTATGGCTTAGGGATGGCCTTGCTGAGCCTCTACTAGATTACATAGCAGTGCTTCTATCCTGCCTGCCTTCTGTCTCTCCTTCACGCAGAAACAGACATGCAGTGTGGTCCAAAGTATATCAAAGCCTTTCTGGCGTGCTCCCCATTTTCTCTCATGGGAATGCCCTCAAGTAAAATCCTTGATCATTTAATCCTGTCTTGGTGTCTGCTTCTCAGAATACCCAAATTATTACCCCTAGTTAAGAATTTGGGCAATATGTTGAAAGAGACAATATTCAAAGAAATAAGCAAAGCCACAGTTAAAGAGACTAAACCACTGGACCAGGAAACAAGGAAGCAGAGCAAGGAGAGTGCTGTTGTATGAATTTGAGGAACTAGGCATAGTGCAGGCAGTAGAACAAGTAACCTTGTTTAGAGGAAGATGAGATGAATAGATAAGACCAGGTGGATCTGGCAGTCTTCTATTCCCAGCAACTCGGCGCTTCTCTTGTGTCTGGCCCATCTACAATGAAGAAAATGTGCTTTTCTCCAAGCAGCTTTTTGTAGGCAGATTCTTCCCCACAACACCCTCCAGATCAAAAGGGTAGCAGGAAAGAAGGAGGAAGTCAACTTAGGTGTTCTGAATATAGATAACCCAAGTTCAAATCCTGGCTCCACAACTTTCTCAGTGTGGGATTGACATTGAGCATTGAGAAGTTAAGAGTTTCTTGGCCGGGCGCAGTGGCTCATGCCTGTAATCCCAGCAGGTGAGGCCGAGGTGGGCGGATCACCTGAAGTCAGGAGATTGAGACCAGCCTGGCCAATGTGGCAAAACCCCGTCTCTACTAAAAATACAAAAAATTAGCCAGGCATGGTGGTGCATGCCTGTAATCCCAGCTACTCGGGAGACTGTGCCAGGAGAATTGCTTGAACCCGGGAGGTAGAGGTTGCAGTGAGCCGAGATCACGCCACTGCACTCCAGCCTGAGCAACAGAGCAAGACTCAGTCTCAAAACAAAACAAACAAACAAAAAAAGTTTCTTAACTAGCATATTGTTCTGAGTGATGTTATAAGAATTAGATTATCCTTATCAACTCATCTGCACATTGCCTACTACACAGTAAACTTATGTGATCTATTTTTATCAGAGAGGTCATCTGGAATTCAGAGCTTTTGGCTAGGTCATCTTCCCTTTTTTGTCTACTGTCATACCATGAGAAGTGACTTTTCTCCAATGATGAGTGTAGGCGTCTAAACATGACAATTAGGTCCACTGTATTCATCGTGTCATCCAAATATAACAGTATTTTAAAATAAGTGACTACTGCATATGTTAAAAATATCTGCTAAGTTTGTAGGCTCATGGATTTCCCGTAATTGTTTTGACATTTTTTTCTTTTTCTTTTTTTTTTTGGTGGGGGTGTTGTTTTTTGAGAAGTTTTGTCCTTGTTGCCCAGGCTGGAGTGCAATGGGACAATTTTGGCTCACTGCAATCTCTGCCTCCAGCGTTCAAGTGATTCTCCTGCCTCAGCCTCCCAAGTAGCTGGAATTACAGGCATGTGCCACCATGCACAGCTAATTTTTTTGTATTTCGTGAGACAGGGTTTCACCATGTTGGTCAGACTGGTCTCCTGGTCTCGAACTCCTGACCTCAGGTGATCCACTCACCTCGGCTTCCCAAAGTGCTGGGATTACAGGTGTGAGCTACCATGCCCGGCCGTTTTGTCATTTTTTCTTTGTATATTCTGAGGCTATGTAATTATGTGGATAAAAATTTAAAATTCTCTTAAATTTCCGAGTCATTGATTGTTTTTTCATTTTCTCTACTAATACCTGTGCCTTAAAATTCACTTTGTCGGTGACAGCGCAAGACTCTGTCTCAAAAAAAAAAAAAATCACTTTGTCAAATATAAGTAAATTTAGAAAATCTTTCTTTTGGATTACTTGTGTTTAATTTCCAATATCACTTTTTTATTTCTATTTATCTTGCTTGTTCTAGGTCAATTTTCACTTCTTTACCTTCTTCCAAATTTGTTTTTATTCTTTTTCACAGATTTTTAGTCACTATTTCAATAATTTTTCAGAAAAACATCTTGTTTAGAGAGGCTCAGGAGAATATAGAATATTGAGTAGAAAGACCTGCATATCTGATTCACAGATTTTCTCACATGGCAATATCAGACAGTCCCAAGCCTGATCAGTAAACCTATGTCTATATCTGTAGGAGCACTGAGAGCCAGCTGTGGCATCATAGTGATTTAGCAGCAAAAAATCATTGCTGTGTCCTCACGATATTTACCTTAAACCACTTAAATTTTTCTCACTGCAGTCTAATCAAACACATTTTTCCCTCTTCACAAAAACTCACACTCACAAAGGAACGAAATGTTTTAACAATTGACATTCAATTTTAAGCTCTGCTTTATTTTACATGCATATATATATATATATATACACACACACACATATTCTCCTGTATTTATATATAGATATGTACACACACTTACATATTAAAGTATGTTTATACACATTGGGTTGGGTGTGTACATATTTAGATATAGATAGATAGATAGATAGATAGATAGATAGATAGATAAATTTCACCTATGTATGATTTTTCAGGAGACTTATGCACACACAAGCATAGACACCATATCTGATTATCACTGCTGTTTTTTTTTTTTCCTCGAGACAGGGTCTTGGCTCTGTCACCCAGGCTGGAGTGCAGTGGCGCAATCTTGGCTCACTGCAACCTCTGCCTCCTAGATTCAGGCAATTCTCCCGCCTCAGCCTCCCGAGTAGCTGGGATTGCACACGCCCACCAACACACCCAGCTAATATTTGTATTTTTAGTAGAGATGGGGTTTCACCATGTCAGCCAGGCTGGTCTCAAACTCCTGACCTCAAGTGATCTGCACGTCTCGGCCTCCCAAAGTGCTGGGATTACAGGTGTGAGCCACCGTGCCAGGCCTATCACTGGTTTTATATACAAATGATTTATAAACTTTAGCACATGTATATTTCCTACTTGCCACAATATTTCCAGGTCAGCCCAAGCAAATTTCCTGTTTTTATGTTTGTTTACTTTTAAAATCTTGTTTTATAATATTCCATTGTATGTCAATGCTATTTTTTAACCAGTTAACTATTGTTGGATTTGTCTTTTCTAATTTTTTCTTTTTTTTTTTTTTGACACAGTCTGGCTCTGTCACGCTGGCTAGAGTGCAGTGGCACCATCTTCACTCATATTTTTATATGTATTAAAAATATAAATGCAGATCCAAGATAAACCTAAAATAACATATATCAAAAAGATTAAAAACAAAATTATGAGTATAAAATATATATATGTGTCTCTGTCTCCAGTTTTGTTTTGTTTTTTTTTTGAGACAAAGTCTGGCCCTGTCATACGGGCTGGAAAACAGTGGCACGATCTTGGCTCACTGCAACCTAAGCCTTCTAGGTTCAGGCCGTTTTTGTGCCTCAGCCTCCCAAGTAGTTGGGACCACAGGTGTGCACCACCAGCCCTGGCTAATTTTTGTATTGTATTTTTAGTAGAGACGGGGTTTCGGCCATGTTAGCCAGGCTAGTCTGGAACTCCTGACCTCAAGTAAGCCCCTTGCCTCAGCCTCCCAAAGTGTTGCAATTATAGATGTGAGCCACTGCACCTGTTATAATGCAGGGTGAGATTAACAAACTTGTACCTGAAAGATTTTGTATGTATAGAATAAACCTGCAAGTCACATTTTTAAAAAATAGAATGGCTTGGTCAATGTGTATGCATATGTGAATTCATGATTTGATTCTCATCGAATGTTCCTCCATGGAAATTGTACCAATTATACTCCTGCAAGCAAAGTATGCCT